>NC_000008.11:26223738-26526769 GCF_000001405.40 Homo sapiens | reverse complement strand
ACAAACCCAACTGGATCGACTACAGTTGTGTTCCTGGTAGTCACTCACTGAAGGACATTGACAATATGCTCAAGTAGCAATTAAAAGATGATTCTTTAACATGATAGAGAGCATCGCTTTCAAACAATGACAAAAGAGGCCTTTTCATCAGTCAGAAATCAAACAGGGAACCCTAATATTATCACCATGGTTCTAGAAGTTATAGTCAATGTAATCAGACAAGGAAGAGAAATAATGAATAAAGCCTTTGGCAAAAAACGCACAAGACTATTATTAGCCACAGATAATAAAACTGTCTAAAAAGAATCAATGGAAAACTATTAGAACCAAGAGTGAGTTCAATAACATGACCTATTGCTAATTAATATAAAACCCCAGAGTTGGCAAGGTGGCTCACTCCTGTAATCCCAGCACTTTGGGAGGCCAAGGTGGGTGGATAACGAGGTCAGGAAATGGAGACCATCCTGGCTAACATGGTGAAACCCCGTCTCTACTAAAAATACAAAAAGTAGCCGGGCATGGTGGCACATACCTGTAGTCCCAGCTATTTGGGAGGCTGAGGCAGGAGAATCGCTTGAACCCAGGAGGCAGCGGTTGCAGTGAGCCAGGATCATGCCACTGCACTCCAGCCTGGGTGACACAGCAAGACTTCATCTCGAAAAAATAAAATAAAATAAACCCCAGAGTCTCCCAGAAAATAAACTACCAAATATAACAGGGAAATTTCCCGTTCACTATAGTAACAAAACATCTAGAAATAAATCTAACAAGAAATGTCACAGAAATAAAACGAAATATCTGAATAAGAGGTAAGACATAATATAAACTTAAATAGAAAGACTATTTTAAAAATACATGTGTCTTAAAATAACTCAATATATAAATTTAATATAATTCTGGTTAAAAAATCATATCAGGTTTCTGTAACTAAAAATATCTGCAATGGAAAGCACATTTGAGTGACGGGGAAAACGAAAACTAAAGATATTAAAGAGCTACAGTAACTAAAGCAGTATTGAACCACCGTGGATTTAGTAAACTGGATCAATGAAACAGAATAGAGAGCTAAAAAACTGATCCTGGTGTATATAAGAGGTTCAGCATATTAAAATATAAGTGGTAAAAACATCAATTGTTCAATAAATGCCATTGGAAAAACTGTCTACTTGAAAAATTAACTTACATGTTACTTCAAGTTAAAGACAAAACTTAATTATCAGATTAAAATGTAGATAAAAATGAAATTCAGGCTGAGCATGATGACTAATGCCTGTAATCCCAGTACTTTGGGAGACAAAGGCAAGAGGATTTCTTGAGCCCTGGAGTTCATGACCAGCCTGGGCAACATAGTGAGATCCCATCTCTACAAAAACATTTAAAAGTTAGCCAGCCATGGTGGCATGTGCCTGTAGTCCCAACTACTCAGCAGGCTGAGATGGGAGGATCGCTTGAGCCTAGGAGGTCGAGGCTGCAGTGAACTTATGATGATGCCACCGCACTCCAGCCTGGGTGACAGAGTAAAACCCTGTCTCAAAAACAACCCAACAATTTCAAAAACTCATGAAATTCAAAAAGATTTTAGGAGAAAGCACAGGTAAATAATTATATAATCTTAAAGTCAGAATGACTACAAAGGCAAAAAATACGTCAGAAAAAATGGATCAACTTAATTTGTAAATTTTAAATTTGCATGTCAAGAGATCAAAGCCGTTTAAAAATTAGAGGAAAACTAAGAAAAAATATGTAGCAGATGACATTAAAATGAATACATTTTAACATGTAATTTTTACAAATCACAGTCTGAAATATGAACACAGATAGGAAAACCGTCAAACAATAGGATACTATTTGCCACCTATAAACTTGGGAAATAGCTCCAACAACTATAATATCTAGTGATGTCAGGAATATTGAAAAACAGTAATTCTCTCTCTTTTTTTTTTTTTTTTTTTTTTTTTTTTTTTTTTTGAGACAGAGTCTCTCTCTGTCCTTCAGGCTTGAGTGCAGTGGTGCAATCTCAGCTCACTGCAACCTCCGCCTCCCAGGTTCAAGCGATTCTCCTGCCTCAGCCTCCCAAGTAGCTGGTATTACAGGCACACGCCACCATACATGCCCGGCTAATTTTTGTATGTTTAGTAGAGACGGGATTTTGCCACGTTGGCCAGGCTGGTCTCAAACTCCTGACCTCAGGTGATCCGCCCACCTTGACCTTCCAAAGTGCTGAGATTACAGGCATGAGCTAGCGCGCTCGGCCCTCATTCATTTTTAATGGGAATTTAAAGCCTGGAAAATATAATGCAACAAAATACTATCCATGGTTATTTTTACGCAGTAAGATTATGGATGATTTTTTTCTTTTTAAAAATTTGTTTACCAATGTCATCTACAATAAACATGGTACTTACTTTTGTTATTATTTCTTTAAAAAAGAACAAAATAAAAATTGAAATCAGAATGTCTGTTCAGCAAAGGACATAATCTTTTGTGAAAAGATGCTCAACAATGAGACAAAACCACAATGAGACACCATCTCCCATTCAGTAGGATGATGTCTATCAAAACAAACAAACAAGAAACCTACCAAAAAATAAGTATAGGCGAGGATGTGGAGACACTGGAAACCTTGGGAACTGTTGTTGGGAATGTCAAATGGTATAACCACTGTGGAAAACTATATAGTAGTTTCCTTTAAAAATTAAATAGTTATCAAATTATCTAGCAATTCCACTTCTGTGTACACACTCGAAAGAATTGAAAGCAAGGTCTCAGATAGATATTTGCATAGCCGTGTTCATAGCAACATTATTCACAAGAACTAAAAGATGGATAACCCAATTGTCCACTGATGAAAAATGAACAAATAAACAAAATGTGGTCTATACATACAATAGAATATCTTCAGTCTTGTTTTTTAAATTCAGCCTTAAAAAGGAAAGAAATTCTGGGCCAGGGGCAGTGGCTTATGCCTGTAATCCCAGTGCTTTGGGAAGCTGAGACAGGAGGATTGCTTGAGCCCAGGAGTTTGAGGTTACAGTGGGCTATGATGGCACCACTACACTCCTGCCTGGGTGACAGAGCAAGACCCTGTCTCTTAAGGAAAAAAAGAAAAAAAAAGTAAGGAAATTCTGACACATGCTACAACATGAACAAACTTTGAGGACATTATGCTAAGTGAAATAAACTAGTTAAAAAAAGACACATACTCTTTGATTCCACTTACATGAGGGTCCTAAAGTAGTCAAATTCACAGAGACACAAAGTAGAAAGGTGATTGCCAGGGGCTGGGAGGAGAGGGGAATGAAGAGTTGTTGCTTCATGGGTACAAAGTTTCAGTTTTGCAAAATGAAAATAATTCTGATGATTGGTTGCACAACAATGTGAATATACTTAACGTCACTGAACTGTACACTCAAAATTGTTAAGACAGTAAATTTTATGTTATGTGTAGTTATTACAATATAATTTTTTTAATTGAACTCATTTATTTTCCCAAATTTATTAGTTTAAAACTCAGCTTGTTGGTTGCTGCCTTCCTCAACACCATCCCTGCCACTCCCAAATCATTGGATTAGAAAGCAAATTTTAAATATTATTTAAAAATATATATATATATATACATGTATGTCTGTATACATACATATATATGCACACACAAAGAAGGAGTTTTTTACATATGAACAAGATCTTCAGATAGAAGAATCAGGCTTATTCAGTGCACAAAACACTCAAGAATACTGAGCTACTACAAATGCTATTCTAAATGAATTTCAAAGCTCCCCAAGGATTTAGTTACATGATTCTAGGAAATTAGGTACTGGAACTCTTTCAGTAGATTTCAGATGATCCAGCAGTTTTTAAGAACAGCCGGGGATAGTATAATACCAAAAGCATAAGCAACAAAAGAAAAAAATAGATAAATTGGATTTCATCAAAATTTAAAACTTTTGCATACCATCAAAAAAGTAAAAAGATAATCCACAGAATGGGAGAAAATATCTGCAAACTATAGATCTGATAAGGGCCTAGTATCTAGAATACATAAAGAATTCATACAATTTAACAATATGATAAATAACCCAGCTAAAAAAAATGTACAAAGTTTTGAACAGACATTTCTCCAAAGAAGACACACAAACGGCCCATAAAGCAGGAGAAAAGATGCTCAACATTATTAGTTATTAGGGAATGCAAATTAAAGCCTCAATGAGATACCAATTCCCACCCACGTGATGGTTATAACCAAAATGAGGAAAATAACAAGTGTTGGCTAGGATGTGCAGAAGTTGGAACCTTCAAATGTTGCTGGTGGCAACGCAAAATGGTACAGCTTCTACAGAAAAGAGTGTGGAAGTTCCTCGAAGAGCTAAACATAGAATTATTACATGACCAGCAATTCTACTTCTAGGCAGAACACAAGAAAACTGAAAACATTTGTTTGTTTGTTTGTTTGTTTGTTTGTTTTGAGACAGAGTCTCACTCGGTTGCCCAGGCTGGAGTGCAGTGGTGTGATCTTGGCTCACTGCAAACTCCGGCTCCTGGGTTCAAGCGATTCTCATGCCTCAGCCTCCTGAATAGCTGAGATTACGGGTGTGTGCCACCGTGCCCGGCTAATTTTTGTATTTTCGGTAGAGATGGGGTTTCACCATGTTGGCTAGGCTGATCTCAAACTCCTGACCTCAAGTGATCCGCCCACCTTGGCCTCCCAAAGTGCTGGGATTACAGGCATGAGCCACTGTGCCCAGCCTTAAAAACATATGTTTAAACAAAAACTTGTAAAAAAATGTTAATAGCAGTATTATTCCTAATAGCCAAAAGGTGGAAACAACCCAAATGTCCATCAAATAATTGGAAAAACTAATGAATAGGATACATACAAAACAATGGAACATTATTTGGCCCTAAAAAGGAAGGAAGCACTCATACATGTTACAACATAGATGAACCTTGAAAACATTATACTAAGTGAAAAACAAAAGCAGACACAAAAGGCCATATACTGTATGGTTCCATGTCTATGAAATGTCCAGAATAGGCAAATCCACTCAGGAAAAAAAAAGCAGAATGCAGATTAGTGATTGCTAGGGGATGGGGGGAATGGGAAAAGGAAAGTGACTGCTTAATGGTACAAAGTTTCTTTTGGAGGGGTGATGAAAATGTTCTGGAATTAAACAGTGGCAATGGTTACACAACACTGTGAATGCAGTAAAAGCCATTAAATTGTGCATTTCAAACCTGCCAAAATAAGAATTTTATGTTAAGTCAATTTTGCCTCGATTATAAGAAAAAAAAAAAAAGAACAGCCATGGGCAGCATAGCTTTCTTTCAGAGCCTTCAGTGGAAATGGATAGAAGGAGCATTAGAGATTCCTAGGACAGCCCAATGACCACTGAGGTTAGATGACTGTGCAGGTCACACAGTCAGTCAATGGCAGAGCCAGGACTACCAGCTGGCTTCACTCAGTGCTTTCTGCAGAGTGCCCTCAGAATCAGAGCCCATGCAGGTTATCTGCATATTCTCAAAAACAAACACAAACCACCTTTAAGACCAGGCACTTGCACGTAAGACAGTATTTGTGTGCAGTACCTATGGTACTAGGTTACCACCAGCTGCAACCAACTAAATCAAGTGTCCATCAGTCCCACCTGCCAATGCTTTTATTGATGACTCTTTCATTAGTTTCATTTGCTTGTATTTCATGATTGTTATGGACTTTGTGTTTGTGTTCCCTTCTCCAAAATTCCTGTGTTGAAATCCTAACCCCTAGTGGAATGGTATTAACAGGTAGGGCCTTTCGGACGAACATAGGCCATGAGGGTGGAGCCCTCATAAGCAGGATAGTGACCTTATAAAAGAGACCCCAGAGACCTCCCTTGGCCCCTTCCACTATGTAAGGACACAAGGAGAAGATGGCAATCTGGAAACCATAAGGTGGGTCCTCACCAGACACCAGATCTGCCAGCATATTGATCTTAGACTTCCCAACCTCCAGAACCATGAGAAATAAATGTTTCTTGTTCAAGCCACCTGGTCATGGTAATTTGTTGTCACAGCCTAAGACAATGATTTACATCAAGTAGAAAAATTACACTGTCATCTCACTGCTCTAATTTCTAATCTTAGAAAAGCATGTCATTCATACTATCACAGTTGGCTTTTGTCCCAGGGATATTTGAAGACATTTCTTGTGTTTTAAAAAATGATAGACAGAATGTCAGCAATTTAGGGCACATTCATAAAGACAGATCAACAGTCCATTTTATAAATGGCTCCAAAGAGTACACTGAAAAAAAAAAAACAGGCATTCAGAACTTTTTTGCAAGAATACATTATTTGGAGATAAAATGAGAAAAAATAATTAATATCAAAAGCAAATCAGTATATATTAGAGTGATAGAAAAAGCTCTCTAGTCACATATCCCCGGGGTTCAGGCCCTGCCTCTGGCTTTTCATTAGTAGGTTGCTTTATGTATTAGTCTGTTCTCACCCTGCTAATAAAGACATACCTGAGACTGGGTAATTTATTAAGAAAAAGAGGTTTAATGGACTCACAGTTGCACATGGCTGGGGAGGCCTCACAATCATGGCAGATGGTGAAAGGCATGTCTTACATGGCAGCAGGCAAGAGAGAATGAGAACCAAGCAAAAGGGGAAAACCCTTATAAATCTTGTGAGACTTATTCACTGCAATAAGAACAGTATGGGGGAAACCACCCCAACAATTCAATTATCTCCCTCCAGGTCCCTCCCACAACATGTGGGAATTATGGGAGTACAATTCAAGATGAGATTTGGGTGGAGACACAGCCAAACCATATCATTTTACAATTTACTTTTACCTTTATATATTTCATTTGCAAAATAAGAATAAGAGTAACATCTACTTAATAGAGTCATCTTAGAATTAACAAAATCGTCCATACCAAGCATTTAGCACATGACCTACACCATAGAAAATATGGAGTTTAATGGGATGTAACATATTTTGCCTGCAAAATTAAATTGTACCCTTATGTTTACTACATATCTCTGGCAGTGTAACTGAGCCACGTAATTGACTATTGGAAGAAATACGATACTAGATTAGGAAATATTAGTTCAAATCCTAGTTTACATACTTACTAAATAGCAAGACCTTAGGAATTGGCTAAGTAAATATCACTAAATCTCGGTTTCCTTATTTACAAAAAGTAAATAATGCCTGTATCAGACAGTGTTGGGGCAAGGTTTTATTAATAGAATAATATACTCTAAACATTCTAAAATGTAGAATCTAGAATTTAAAAGCACATTCTAGAGTTATATAATGCTACATAAATCACATGGCTTTACTGATAGAGGACTGCAGTGGGACTGAAAACAAGAGACCTCTCTCCCAGTCCTGGGACTATCACCTGGGCTCCAAGGAATGAAGTAGTTTTCAGGACATCACTTTCTTCACTTCTAGAATGAGGTAATTAAACAATCATTAGGTCTCTTGCAAGCTCTGACATTCAATGATAGTACACATTTGAATCTATAATCAATTCTGACTTCCCCTTCTTGCTCAAGAAAGTAAAGAGGGATGCTTGCATCAAAGGACCCTGGAATACGTGGCCTGTCTTTACCAGGCTGGAAAAACTCCCCAGCCTCACCCTGATTTCCATGGTATAGAGCCATGAGTTTGTGAACCACATAACATTGCATATGCAATATGCAAAGGTCATGGCCAGAAGTTGTCACTGGCGGTCCAATGACAGCAATTCTCCTCTCTATCCTTGAGCTCCAAGGAGAAAGATGGTAGATGCTGGTTAGCTGGTAGGAGTTTTCTTCTAGTTAGGTTATAGGCCCCAGACCTGGGGAAGCCTATTTCATCCCAAATCTAATCCTTCTTATTTCCTGCCACAATTAATTATTGCAGGCCAATTAATTGAATAGCAACTTTTTAAATCATTAAAGACTTGTTATAATTTAACTAATTATAGAAATATTATTCAGCCATAAAAAGGAAGGAAATTCTGTCACATGTTACAACACAGATGAACCTTAAGGGCATTATGCTAAGTAAAGTAAGCCAGTCGCAAAGAACATAAACGGTGTCATTTCACTTATATGAGGAGTCTAGAGTAGTCAAGCTGGCAGAGACAGAAAAGAGAATGGTGGTTGCCAGGGGCTGGGAAGAGGTGGAATGAGAAGTTGGTGTTTAATGGGTACAGAACTTCAGCTTTGGGGGATGAAAAAGTTCTGGAGATTGGTTGCATAACAATGTGAATACACTTAACACCACTGAGCTGCACTTAAAAATGGGTAAGGTGGCAAATTTTAGGCTATGTAAAAATTATTTTAATTTAACTAATTATATGATTAGTTCAATAACCAGCTGGGAAATCAAGAGCAAATAATAATTATGGATTTTCATCCTTTCCTTCCCCTCTCCAATTATCCCCCACCCCCACTTTCCTCCTTTTGAACCCGGGTGGGTCTTAGGTTTTTTGGAATCCTGAACACACAAATGCTTGTATCTCCTGTTTTGAACCAATATGACCTGTAAAGTATCAAGGTATTGCCTTTATTCCAAATCTCCACCACACACCCCACTAACCACACATTCGTTTTGTTTAACAGGCTAGTCTATTATCAGACACGGATCTCTGGGGACAACTTGGGCATCAGTTGTTTGCCTGAGGAGCAGATGGCTTTAATCATTGGAATTTCTCTTTAACTAAGATTAATGCAAGTTAAGAATTCTGAATGGGAGAAGGGAAGCCAAGACTGATTTTAGAACCTGTTGCCCTTTGGAAGAAGAAAGGTCTAGAAGGGGCATGCTATGGGGATGGAGTAGGGATGACGTTGTACAGTTAGAGGGCAGCACAGCACTGGGCTCCCAGGGCCAGAAGAGATTCAACACAGGCAGAAGGGATGGGGACCCAGATGGAAGGGAGCACCAGAAAGCACTTCACAGACTCAGTAACATTGCCAAGCTCAGCAGCACTGTGCAGTTCATTCAGCGGCACCTGCCCTGGAGAGGAGGAGAATCACTCCCTGTCACTCCAGCCTGCATAGGTTGTTTGCTGCTGGGAAAAGGGCCTAGAGGCCCCTTTGAAAAGCATTCTTATGGTCCAGTATTGCTGGTGGAGCCACTGGTTCTGGCTACGCTGTGTCTGGAGTGGAATGGAGGAAGTTCCTAGGAGGAAGGGAAGAGGCTGAAGGACCCCTGGGCACTGACAAGGGGGGATTGGGCCAACAGAGATGCCTTTCTTCTCTCTCTTCCAAGAGGCTCAGAGTCTTTCACAGTGGTGATCAATGTAACCTCACTGAAGCCCAAAGTGGACTTATAGGAAAAAGAGAGTAACAAGATAGAGGCTTTCCTCATTCACAACCACTATGCCAGCTCTTTTCCTCCGCCAAAATCTGACATGCCGAGTCAAGCCACACCCATCGCTTTCTGGTGCTGTCTGGCTCATACTCTGAATATAATTTCATTTAGTTCCTGCAAATGCACATGTCCAACATCTCTCATCTTCCATGAGCCATGTGGCATGTGGGTCAAGGAAGCCTATTCTCTCCCTTCCCAAAGCCTTGTTAGGGGAACAGCAGGCCTCTTAGTGCAACAGATGAGCAAAGCCACATCTGACCATACATTAGTAACACATAAATAAAGCTGCAAGAGAGGAGGGATGGTGTGAGTCAGGGTCCCAGGATCCACCCATTCTCAATCTCCCCCACCTTTCTCTGCGTCAGGGCTTCCAATTAGAATGCACAGAGATGCTGGCACTCACCCAACTCATTCGTTGAAAACCAACTAATGACAAGTCAACTCAGTCAAAATGGTGGGCCAGTTGAGCTTTTCGGAAGTCACATTGTTATAAATATAAACACATGTATAGCCACAGCCTTTCCCCTTTTCTAAAGACATGAAATATTGAAACATTGCAAGTACTGATCCAGGTAAATGCTCTTAGTCGTGAATGACAAAATCTCATTGAGTAGGCCTTATATGATAAGGCAAGATTAAACATGAAAATTCAGGGGAAGGTGCTGCAGAAAGGCCAAGCTAGAATCGCCCTCTGTTACTAATAACTGGGCAACTGAAATCAATGTGAATTGCAATCTAAAACTCCCTTGCAGTTTGTTTGAGTATTTTCTCTTCAAATCTCCCCCTCTGCGTGCCTTAGTTTTACAATTTAGAATTTCATATATCTAAGCTTCTAAATGGCCAAGAAAAAAGAAGTGTTATTCAACCCGATAAAACTATGCCTTTCAAACTTGAGTTCTAATTCATGATAGGGGTGGGCCACTTTCAACCCCTATCCTCTGATCTGCCACTTTTTACATGATTTCTTCTTTATTCTCCAGTTGTTTTTCTGCTTTCTCTAGGACATCACAATCACCAGCACAACTCGCCATGCATGAGGCTACTCACTCAACCAAGATGCTATATGATTTTGGCCCTCACTCAATGTACTCACACAGGGAAGTGTTTCACACACACTCACTCAGCTTTCAGTATAAGTTACATTATTAGAAACTTTTACTTCAATTGTCTGATCACTTGGAACAAAGCAAGTTTTTTGGATTTAGTTTCTTCTGGTTGACTCATAGTGAAATATGGATATGAGACACTCCCTTATATGAATAAATTAGAGGGCAGGGCTGGGGTTGGATATAAATTATTAGTTGTGTCACCTTTTACAAATGACAGCAAATGCCTTGTTTTTCCTAGACTTGACCCTACAAAAGTCAAAAGCTGCAAAACTCTATGTCACATCAGCAAACAGTCAAATCATGCCCCAACCATCATCACCAATTCTGAATTGTTCTCAAAGGCTGTCACTGTAAGTACACAAATGTAAATGCTTGTGGAATCCCTCGCTGAATATGTATAGACCACTCCCAACTACTCTGGAAGCCCTCTGAGAAGAAGAAACCTCTTGCACTTTCTATAACTAACCTTCCCTCTGCCCTACAAGGCAAGGCGCACAATAGGTATTCAATCAACAATCATTCATTGATTGACTTATTATTTTTACCAGCAGGCATGGGAGAGAAACGGAAAACGTGTTAAAACATTTTGCATTGTAAATTATCAGTTAAGAAATTAAGGCTGTGGAAAAGAATTACACTAGTGTAAGGATCACTCAGATAAAGAAAGAATTGTGGTGTGAGATTATTACTGCGCTGAAAATGCTCACTGTTCATATTTGTCAGAAAGTGACAAACATTTTCTAAAATCAAGCGTGACCAAATTGGCCTTTGTTTCCCCCATTAACACAATAAAAGGGGGTTTAGTCTTCTTCGACAGTCTATTTCGAGTGCGAGGGGTTTTCCCCCTTTTCTTGTCTTTTTGACCCTTTGAACATAATCCACTTAGTTCCCCGCTTCCTAAAGCGCCTCCCACATAGCGGTTTGGGGAGCGCTCTGTGAAGCCCCGGCTGAGACACTTATTGGAACTTTGTTCCCCACATAGGCTATTTAGGAGCGTCTCGGTTTCCTCGGGTGACTCCACAGCCTTCCTGGCTCTTCTCACGCTGCGAGCAGGAGTCAAGGGCGGTGCGGTGCTCGGAGGGGGTCCGGGGGGCGCTGACCATGGTCCTGGCCTCGGAGCTCGGGACGTGAGCGCAGAAGGCGCGGGCGGAGGCTGTAGGGAGCGGCCGTCCGAACCCCCGCCCCTCCCGACCACCGGGGAGCCGCGGGCCTTCACGCAAAGCCTCCACCGCACGCTCTGAGCCGCTCAAAAAAAGGGTGGGGCACCCAGCCGCAGCTGCAATCGGAAGCCGCCCGGGAGGGTTTCAGAAGAATGGAACCGCGGCCAACCCCCTCCCAGACGACCACCGCCCGCCCCAGCAGGGGATCAGCCCATTCCCTATGCCCACGCCCCACCTCTCAAGCTCAAGGAGACGCGGGCAGCCTTTGTGGGCGCACGGCCGCCCACCGCCCAGCCCGAGCCTCGCCGCACCCTGCGCGGAGAAGGGGCGGGTAGGGCGGGGTGCGCGTGCAGATGCGGGAGGCGAGGTCCAGGGCGGGGCATGAAGGCGGGCGCGCCGGGCTCAGGGGCGAGGGAGGGGCGATCCCCGCGCCCCGTCCTCCGTCTCCACCCCCAACCCCCACACCGACCTGGTCGTTGATGTTCTGCAGGGCTTCTTTGCCCGAGGCCCTCCGGATCTCCACCTTCCGGCCCGATTCAACAGATGGCTCTCCGCCGGCGCGCCGGCCCTGCCGCGAGTACGGCGGCTGCGGGTCCGGGCCCAAGTGGGCGACGTCCCGCTGCTGAGCCACCACCTGCCCCGAGCCCCGGCCCACCGACAGCGAGTCGAAGTCGATGGTCTTGTTCTCCGAGGACCCTTCCACCGGGCAGAACATGCCACAGAATTTCTGCCGGGGCTTGGGGCTGCCGGAGCCCAGGTTTTTAAAAAAAGCAGGGACCTCTTCGTCCTCTGCCGCCTTCCCGGATTGCTTTCTCTCGGCCATGGCTCGGGGGCTCGGGTAGGGTCCTCGCCGTCCGTCCGTCCGTCTGCCAGTCCCTAAGTCTCCCTCGCTGTGTGCACAAGCCCCCTAGCTGCTGCCGCGGCTGCCGTTCGCCGCCCACCGCAAGGTGCACAGAAAGGAAGGAGGGCTGGCGAGCCGGCGACCCACCCTCCCGGTCCCTCCCCCTGACCCCGCTTCTCCCCTCCCTGCCCACGCCCCCCGCGGCTACAGCGCGAGCTCGGGGAAGCGGCAAAGTTGGATCTGGGAGGGCGTCCGCTGCGGCTGCGGGAGCCGAAAGGCTGCCAGTTCCCGGCAGCGCTGGGAGGAGGGAGGCGCGGGCGGGGCGCGGCGCCGGGGAGGGGAGCGGTGCTCAGGGGAGGGCTGGAGGGGAGGGAAGGAGAGAGAGAGGGGAGGGCGGCACCGCCCCTAGCCCCGCGCTCCGGAAGTGAAGCGGCCAGACCACCAGCTAATGGATGCGGAGCGGAGGGCCCGCTGACCGCTCTCCGCGCCTGGGTAAGTATCGGGCAGGGCACGCGGAGTGAGGACCGGAGGACGCAGCCCCCAGCCCCAGTGCCCCTCTCCTCCACCTGCCTGGCCCAGGCGCCTCTGCCCCGCCGCATGGCGGAGGTGGGCCGGGGGCGAGGGCGCACTGTGGATAGGGGTCCCGCCCCGTTACCCTGGGTGTGAGCTGATGGATGGGAAAAGGGGACAAGCCGGGCGCCAGGCTACTCAGGGTGTGGGAAGCGGGATGGCACTGAAGATGAGCAAGGATAGCACAGGCAGGGTGGACAGGAGGGGGGCAGCCAAGACGCTGGACACCCCAGCTTCAGTTTGTCCACTCGCCTTGGCAGGCTGCAGGGAGCAGAGACTGAAACGAGAAGGTTCCCGCTTCGTGCATCCACTTTGGTGTGGTTGGGGTGACGGGGGAGTGGGGGGGGGGCACACAACATGGCGGGAAGAAATTCAGAGGGGCGTAGCAGATGGGAGAGGAATATAGAGAGAGACGCAGGTCTGCGGTCTATGGGGGTGTAGCAAAGAGTGCAGTCGGGAATTCCAGCCCAGGGCCACGACTTAAAGACGGGGTGCAGACCGACTCTATTGCGCAAGGCGCCATGGACCGTGTCTGCGCCACTGCGCCAAGAAGGGCGCAGGAACGTGTCGCGATTTGGTTTATTCTGCTTCCTCCACCAAAAAAAAAAAAAAAAAAAAAAAAAGAGAGAAAAAACAAACTGAAACCCCCTTCCCAAATCTCCAGCTTTCCCCTGCGCCCCAGAGCCCCGCCTGGTTCCCCCGCCCCTGTTGCGCACTGCGCCACAGTCGCAGCGTTTCCCGGGTTACCAGATGCCACGTGTTTGGGGAGTAAGTGCGGGTGCGCATCTGGTGCGGAGTAGGAGGTAGGATGTGGGCTGTGAGTGCCATGAATTGTGTGGGGCCAAGCAGGGGAAAGGTGTGTAGGAACTTGGTGTGTGTGTGCAGTAGCTGAGCCACGGCCACCGGGTTGGTAAGTAACCAGGGGGCAATTAGATTTGTGTGCCTAACACGGTCAATGCTGGTCCTTCATTGCTTATTCCCATCTCCACGTCCTTTCCGCGTATCAGTCCCTGCCTCTGCGCGATGACAGCTCCGCCTCTCTTTCCACAGTGGCAAAATCCTGCAGAAATGGTGCCCCTCCTTTGGTGGCCCGGGAGGGAGTTCTGGGCATGCTCAGTAACCAGGGTGGGTTTGGGCTGAGAGGCCGTTTACCGCAGGGCCACCGCGTAGGGCCGTGTAACCAGGGATCCAGTCCCATTGTCAGCCCAGGATTAAATGCGGTTACCAACCACCCCCACAGTCCAATTGTGAGAGATAGTTTGGTGAATATAGTTACATCTGCTGGACAATCAGTCGCAATTTGAAGATCAGCCCATCTTGATAGGTGGAAAGGCGTCTCCGGATGAGAAACAGACTGGGGAAGAAGAATATAGGAGTGGAGGGGCTGAGAGAACCGGAGGGGGCATTTTGGACTTAGCGGCAGATGTGCTTTGCATTTGAATAAAGCATTTGAAAAAAGCGCTTCCAACTGAATTACATCATTTCCTACTCACAGCCCCACTGTGAGATGCGTGCCTTATCAGCACTGCTTTCCAGGTTAGGAAACAGATTTAGAGAGCTTGGGGCGCATAGCCAAGGTTGGGTATTTAGTTAAATGATCCAGCAATTCCAGTGGGAGTCTTCCACCTCAAAGTCTGGCTTCTTTTCCAGCTTGTCCTGTGACCCCCTTTATGTGAGAAAATACAAGGTTCTTCTATTTCTACCGTATCCAGATATTTCCATCCATGGCCCTATTGTATATCAAGGGTGTTTCTTGCCATGTTTTTATTTGAAGGTAACACTGCAGGTCACACTGGGAGGAAGAGTCATCTGAAGATAGCCTAACTTCAGCATAGCAGTCATTCTGTAGACCATAGAGATGCTTTTTCCTGGGCAGTGTCTTTTTACATTCCCTGTTTCCTCTAAATATCCCAGTGGGGAGGAAGGTTGCCCCCAGCTGGTTTTTTTATTTTTGTTTTTGTTTTCAGACAGAGTCTCACACTGTCACCCAGGCTGGAATGCAATGGTGCAAACGCAACTCACTGTAGCCTTGACCCACTCGGCTCAAGCAGTCCTCCCTCCTCAGCCTCCCAAGTAGTTGGGACTACAGGCGAGTGCCACACGCCCAGCTAATTTTTTTATTTTTCCTTTTTGTAGAGACAGGGTCGCACTATGTTGCTGGTCTCAAACTCCTGGGCTCAAGTGATCCTCCCGCTTTGGCCTCCCAAAGTGCTGGGTTTACAGGTGTAAGCCACTGCACCTGGCCCTCCCCCACAGTCCCCACATTTTAGAAAGGAAAAGTCAGGCATGGAGAAGTCAGCAGTCTCAGGTCTCTGGGGCTCCTGGGCACAGGGGTGAAGCAGCATTTTGCCCTCCTGGCTCTCTGGCACCCCTGGTGCCTTCAGCACTTCCCAGAAGACTCAGGAGATCTTCCCACAGCAGGAGCACTGCTGATAGAGTTACAGGACAGCACTGTGGCGTATGGCCCCCATTCGAATTGATGAAGATGTTTAGGCCAAGGGGGAAATGGTTGTAGCCCCTTAACACACACTCCGCAGCAGTAACTGGGAGGTATTAGGAACTCTAACTTTTTTTTTTTTTTTTTTTGAGACAGAGTCTTGCTCTGTTACTCAGGTTAGAGTGCAGTGGTGCAATCGTGGCTCACTGCAACTTCCGTCTCCCAGGTTTAAGCGATTCTCCTGCCTCAGCCTCCCAAGTAGCTGGGATTACAGGCACGTGCCACCACACCCAGATAATTTTTGTATTTTTGGTAGAGACGGGGTTTGGCCATGTTGGCCAGGCTGGTTTCGAATTCCTGACCTCAGTGATCTACCCGCCTTGGCTTCCCAAAGTGCTGGGATTACAGGCATGAGTCACCACGCCTGGCCAACTCTAACTTTTTTACGTTCTCTAATCCTCACAGGTTCTCCAGAACAAAATCCTTGATAGGTGTGCTTCCTCCTTTTTTCTTTTTTCTCAAATGATGGGTTAAAGTTCAAATGTTAGGAAAGGCTGGGTGTGGTGATTCAAGTGTGTAATTCAGCACTGTGAGAGGCTGTGGCGGGAGGATTGCTTGAGCCCAGGAGTTTGAGACCAGGCTGAACAACGTAAGGAGACTGCGTCTCTACACAAAATTTAAAAAACTAGCCAGGCATGGTGGCATGTGCCTGTGGTCCCAGGTACTCAGGAGGTCGAGGTGGGAGGATTGCTTGAGCCCAGGAGAGATCAAGGCTACTACAGTGAGCCGTGTTTACACCACTGCATTCCAGCCTCGGCAACAGAGTGAGACCCTGTCTCAAAAAACAGAAACAGAAACAAATGCTTGGAGAGTGTTGTGTTAGTAACTTATTGTCTTAGTCTATTTTGTGTTGCTATAAAGGAATACCTGAGGCTGGATAATTTATAAAGAAAAGAGGTTTATTTGGGTCACAGTTCTGCAGGCTGTACAAGAAGTATGGTGCTGACATCTGCATCTGGTGACCCCTCAGGAAGCTTCCAGTCATAGCAGAAAGCAAAGAGGGAGCAGATGCGGCAAGAAAGGGAGCAAGAGTGAGGGGAGGGAGGTGGCAGTCTGTTTTTAACAATCAGATCTCGAGGAAGCTAATAGAACAAGAACCCACTCATTACCCCAAGAATGGCACCAAGCCATTCATAAGGGATCCACTCTCATGACCCAAACACATCCCACCAGGCCCCACCTCCAACACTGGGGATCACATTTCAGCATGAGATTTGGAGGGGACAAACCTTCAAACTATTTCACTTACCATTCATAGCAAAAGCAAAGCCCAAATGTGTGTTTGCAAAGCCTTCCAGACACAACAAAAGAGAATTAATTCATAATTCCCGATTTAACTTAGTCGGCCCTGAGATTTTTTTCCCTGAATTGTTATACCTAGATTAAACTATTTTTAAACGTTTGAGTGATTCCTCATTAGTTTTGTTAATCAAAGAGGTAAAGCAACTTAATATTGAGTAGTATTGTGAAGGATTATCATATTTTTGAATAAGTGCATTAACGGTCTTCCTACTGAATATTAATGAAGCATAAATACCTGTTCTTATTGTTTATGTGTAACAGAGCAGCTTGGCTTGGCTGGAGCTAAGAGCCAGACACACCACTGTGTGGAGGTGGGTGATGTCTTCCTGTGCTAAAAGGTGAATAAATAAGCTCCTCACCTCTCGCGGAACACTCGGGAACACATCAACAGGTATTTAGCCACATCTCCTGATTTCATCTTTCAATGGCAAAGACCTTGAATCCTGTCCTTAACTGGGGCTCAGACATTAATCAACAGGTCTGATGAGCATATGGTGGGGACACCAGATTTCATTGGAGTCCCCAAGAGAAAAAAAAGTCACAGTGAGCAAAGAAGGGGTCTGACAGAGTGGGACAAATGCAAGCGCAGTGTAAAGCAGAACCGCCATCTGCCCCCAGTTCCATTCCAGATTAGAGTATGGATGCTTCCAAGGAAAGAGAGTGCTGTGTAGTAAAACTGAACATTGTTTCACCAGGGGTCCAAGCCGCCCTGCTGGGAGGCTTCTCTTCAAGAGTTCTGGGTCCCAGAGTGGAAGGCATTTTCCCATCAACTGGAGAGAGACGAAACATCAGAGACCAGGAGGCTGTGGAGAAAGCAGCTGTCCCAGGTGCCTCAACTATCAGAGAAGGGTCAGCGTCACGTGGCTGCCAGCATCTTTGAGAAAATCACTGGCAATCGGACTTCAGAGCTGCGGGCACAGGTGTGGTTAGAACTGAGATACGACCTGCCCACCTGGGTCAGGCCTAAAGACAAGAAGTCCTGAGTTCTTGCCACTGAGTAGGCCAGGGTCATTTGTCCAGAAAACTTTGTGACTGTCTTTGAGTGACCTAGTCTGGGACCCATTCATTGGTGGGTTCTAAGGTTAGAAGCTCATCCAGGATATTTTCAATATTAAGTCAGTGCATAGCTGCACCACTAACAAATTGGTGCCTGTAGAGTCAGAGTGGGTCAATTCTTAGGACAATGGCGCTGGCACTGTTAGAGGACTGGTGCAGGATAATGAGTGTGGATGAGCAGAAGTCACTGATGGTTACGGGGATACCGGCGGACTTTGAGGAGGCTGAGATTCAGGAGGTCCTTCAGGAGACTTTAAAGTCTCTGGGCAGGTATAGACTGCTTGGCAAGATATTCCGGAAGCAGGAGAATGCCAATGCTGTCTTACTAGAGCTTCTGGAAGATACTGATGTCTCGGCCATTCCCAGTGAGGTCCAGGGAAAGGGGGGTGTCTGGAAGGTGATCTTTAAGACCCCTAATCAGGACACTGAGTTTCTTGAAAGATTGAACCTGTTTCTAGAAAAAGAGGGGCAGACGGTCTCGGGTATGTTTCGAGCCCTGGGGCAGGAGGGCGTGTCTCCAGCCACAGTGCCCTGCATCTCACCAGAATTACTGGCCCATTTGTTGGGACAGGCAATGGCACATGCGCCTCAGCCCCTGCTACCCATGAGATACCGGAAACTGCGAGTATTCTCAGGGAGTGCTGTCCCAGCCCCAGAGGAAGAGTCCTTTGAGGTCTGGTTGGAACAGGCCACGGAGATAGTCAAAGAGTGGCCAGTAACAGAGGCAGAAAAGAAAAGGTGGCTGGCGGAAAGCCTGCGGGGCCCTGCCCTGGACCTCATGCACATAGTGCAGGCAGACAACCCGTCCATCAGTGTAGAAGAGTGTTTGGAGGCCTTTAAGCAAGTGTTTGGGAGCCTAGAGAGCCGCAGGACAGCCCAGGTGAGGTATCTGAAGACCTATCAGGAGGAAGGAGAGAAGGTCTCAGCCTATGTGTTACGGCTAGAAACCCTGCTCCGGAGAGCGGTGGAGAAACGCGCCATCCCTCGGCGTATTGCGGACCAGGTCCGCCTGGAGCAGGTCATGGCTGGGGCCACTCTTAACCAGATGCTGTGGTGCCGGCTTAGGGAGCTGAAGGATCAGGGCCCGCCCCCCAGCTTCCTTGAGCTAATGAAGGTAATACGGGAAGAAGAGGAGGAAGAGGCCTCCTTTGAGAATGAGAGTATCGAAGAGCCAGAGGAACGAGATGGCTATGGCCGCTGGAATCATGAGGGAGACGACTGAAAACCACCTGGGGGCAGGACCCACAGCCAGTGGGCTAAGACCTTTAAAAAATTTTTTTCTTTAATGTATGGGACTGAAATCAAACCATGAAAGCCAATTATTGACCTTCCTTCCTTCCTTCCTTCCCTCCCTTCCTCCTTCTCTCCTTCTCTCCTCCTCTCTCCTCTCCTCTCCTCTCTTTCCTTCCTTCCTTCCTTTTTTCTTTTTCTCTTTCTTCTTTATTTCTTGGGTCTCACTCTCATCACCCAGGCTAGAGTGCAGTGGCACAAAAATCTCGGCTCACTGCAGCCTTGACTTCCCAGGCTCAGGCTCAGGTGATCCTCACACCTTAGCCTCCCAAGTACCTGGGACTACAGGCACGCACCACCATGCCTAGCTATTCTTTTGTATTTTTGGTAGAGACAGGGTTTTGCTGTGTTGCTCAGGCTGGTCTGGAACCCCTAGGCTCAAATGATGTGCCCAACTCGGCCTCCCAAAGTGCTGGGATTACAGGCATGAACCGCCATGCCTGGCCCTTGATTTTTCTTTTTAAGAAAAAAATATCTAGGAGTTTCTTAGACCCTATGTAGATTATTAATGAACAAAAGATTAAACTCCAAATATTAAATAGTAAGCCTGAAGGAATCTGAAACACTTGTACTTCCAATTTTCTTTAAATAATCCCAAATAGACCAGAATTGGCCCATACCATAGAAGAAAGAATTGGCAGTCAAAAAAAAAAATACCTTTTGTAATGTTTGAAAAATAAAGCTGTTTGACTTGTCAGGTGTTTTCCTTTCTCAAATCAGCAAATTCTCTCTGAGTGCCTGGCTTTGTGAGACACTGTACAAGGAGTTACAAGACTACAGCTATAACCTGCAGTTGAGCAGTTATAAACCTACAAAATGGGCCCTGCCCTCAGAGAGGTTCCAGTCTAGATGAGGAGCTGATCTAGACAGGTAAAAGGCTAACTAACCCTTTGTGTAAATAAGTTCATCACCCCAGTAAAAGTGTCATCACCCAGTGAATAGGACCACCTCTGCCTGCAGATTTTTGTTGTTGTTGTTGTCATTGTTGTTGTTGTTTTAACCTGGGAAGTGTTCTTCCTGCCTTTCTGCTAGGTGTCAGATAGATGGTCCCAGAGCTAGGTGCTGTGTCAGGCCCTGAAGACACAGATGACTCAACCTAAGCTTTACTTTCCAGAGGTCCACAGCCTGAGAGGTGTCCCCAAAGAAAGGGGGACATGAGGGGACTGCATGCTTGAGAGCAGGGTTGTTTAGGGCAGGTTTGGATTTAGTGAGCAGGCTGGTTTGCTTAGAGAAGGCTTTTAGTGGCAACAAAGGATGAAGAGGAGAGAAAAGGAACTCACATTTATTGAGGGCCTACTGTGTGCAAAGTGTTTCATGTATATCTCATTGAATGTATACAGCCACCCTGTTGTGGTATAATTTTGCTCTTTATAAAGAGAAAGACCGAAGCTCAGATGAGTTAAGTGGTCTCCTCAACACCAAAATGCCAAGAAGTGATGGAGCCTAGACAGAAGCCCAGAACTTTCTGACTCACACTAGTCCATCCTCTACCATCACGATGACTTTCAAATTGTGCTCTGCAGTTCTGCAGATTTTCTAGCAGTGCCATCTCCAAAATGTGTTTTAAACTCTTTATTTTTTTAATTATTATTAGTATTATTTTGAGACTGAGTCTTGCTCTATCACCCAGGCTGGAGTGCAGTGGTGCAATCTCAGCTCACTGCAACCTCCGCCTCCCAGGTTCAAGCGATTTCGTGCCTCAGCCTCCCGAGTAGCTGGGATTACAGGCACCCACCACCACGCCCAGCTAATTTTTGTATTTTTAGTAGAAATGGGGTTTCACCATGTTGGCCAGGCTGGTCTCGAACTCCTGACCTCAAGTGATCCACTCACCTCGGCCTCCCAAAGTGCTGGGATTACAGGTGTGAGCCACCATGCCTGGGCTAAACTCTTTAAGTCTCTAGTAAATGCAGCTAGATTCAAATGGGCTGATAACCAAATTTTAACACATCAGCATTCACCACCAGGTTTACTTTTATTTTCAGATTGGCTCATTTTGTGCAGACCTTAGAGCAAAGTTTCCTTTATGGTATCTGTGTACGTATCCAAACTTCTTTTAATTGTTCACAGATTTTAAAAGCGGTAGCACCACATGGTTGTGTAGATCAGACCTGTGTATTTAGATCAGACCTGTGTATCACGTAAGTGTGTGAGTGCAGTGCAGATGAGCACCATTTAGTTATATGTGCTAGGCAAATCTCCAACACAGTTGATGTGTAGTCTTGTGGTAGATTTGTGCATACTGTAAGCAAATTGCTTAGCTTCTCTAGACATCAGTTTCCACATCTGAAAAATAAGAAGATGAGAGTACACGGTTGTTATGAACAAATGACTTAATGCTTTTTAAGCACGTTGCATGACATCTGGAACACAGAAAGCCCTCAATACATTGAAGCTCTTAGGATTTTCACGATGTTCCTGTCTGCTCAATGCATGCTTTCTTTATTGTTCTGACAGTTGTGTGGTAACAAGCTAATATGCTTCCAGTTGACTTCCAGTCTACCCTGGTGTTAGAAACCGTTTCATCTCTTATTGTAAATTTGAGTGCTTGTTGTTTTTTATATTTGTGATGACTCTTCCAGCAGTTGTTGACAATTGTTAGAGGTTTGACTTTTAAATAATTACTTATTTTTTCTGATTGTGGTTCAGTTTAACTGAAGAATATCCTGAGATTGTAAGAAAAGCATTTTTTAAAAGGTATCACTTGTGATCATTTATCTTTCTAAATTCTATTTTTAATACTGTTCCACCAAAGTGATGCAGTGGTTACCATGACACCCTAATTTCATGTGTTTTTGTATTTATGAAAATAGTTTCATTGTCATTTATTGGCGGTATACAAAGTAAAATGTTATAAATGTGAAGTTATAAAATAAATATATGCTAATAAAATCCTGAGTTTTTCTGTTTCCTATATCGTGGTCTCTATAAAGTACTGCTTGAAGAAGGAGCTTTGTTACTGAAAAATTTTGAGAGATAAGTTGAGAAAATCAAGCTAAAGCCAAAAGGTCTTAGAATCCTGTAGGCAAGAAAACCTGAAAGCAAAAAAATGCTTGAACAAGAATACTTGAACTATGTCTCTGGGGACAAGGGAGAGCTCGGTCCACCCATTATCGATTTCTCTTTTAAAATATACAGAAACAACAGATGGAGGTCAGTTGCCTCAGAGACCCCCCAGCTCATTTGCTTAGGAAAGTAACTGTACAGATAAATTCCCAGACTCTATTCTGCCAAGGGTGAATGACCCTGAAGGTCGAATATTGCTTTTCTGGGCTGAAGTCACCCTTTTTCTTCTTCTTCTTCTTCTTTTTTTTGAGACAAGGTGTCACCCAGGCTGGAGTATAGTGGCACAATCTCGGCTCACTGCAAACTCTGCCTACCAGCTTCAAGTGATTCTCATGCCTCAGCTTCCCGAGTAGCTGGGATTACAGGGGTGCACCACCACGTTCCAGCTAAGTTTTTGTATTTTTAGTAGAGACAGGGTTTCACTATGTTGATCAGGTTGGGCTCGAACTCCTGACCTCAGGTAATCCACCTGTCTTGGCCTCCCAAAGTGCTGGGATTACAGGCATGAGCCACCGTGCCCAGCCTGAAGTCACCTTTTATTCTATGGAGGTATATGGGGGGAAATTCCTCTTGCCTTTGGCCTTCTTGAAATTGCTTCTCCTTCTTTTTTCTAAAGTGCAATGGGGGAGTATCTTTCACTGGGCCATACATCCTGCAGACCAGCCCATTAAAGAGGAATGTCCCAAGGGGGCCCAACGCCATCTCCCACTCACCCAAGCAAACTCTCCAAGGGGTGGTCTCATCCTATACTTCATACTTCTCCAGTCCTGACTCTCAAATACAGGCCCCAAGATTCTTGAATCACTGCTGAGGATAACTTTCCACCAGTGCTGTCTGGTGAAGACTGAGGCCATCAGCCTCCTGCCTTTTTAGGCCTTTGGTGTCACCTGCCATGCACCTGCACCCACCATGTCCACTAGGCCACCCCTCCTCTTGGGTTCTGCTGCCCATCCTAAATGCAAGACTTTGCTCAGCAGCTCTCGGCTTTGCTCTCCTTTCCCAGCTATGCCATGCTTCCAACTTACCTTCTGGACATTCCACGGTATCTATACAAACCAGCCTGAACATCAGAGTCCTTACTGAATACCTTGTCACCATCTTCCTGCACTGAACTCTGGTCCTCCTCCCTGTGCAGCCCCTGGAGGGGAAGGGGCTCAGTCTCCCCCAGCTCAGGAGAGGCTGGAAGGTGGTGGTAGCATTCCTCCTAGCTCATTGTCATTGCAAATACATTTGTTCCTTCCTGGCATAAGCTCACCCACTGTGTCCCACCACCTGCTGTGGAGTGTCCCTGACAGGCCTGGATGATGGCAATGACAAAGCAATGACAAAATGAGTCAAGGCAGAGGGGTCCCTTTAGGGCTGAATGTGGCCTGGTGTTACCTAAAGCAACAAAGACTAGGAAGAAAAATACAATGACCGTGAGACATGTCCAAGGAAGTCCTACAAGACTGAAATAGCAAAGAGGGTTGGAAGCTAGCGTTTTGAAGGAGTGGAGCCTGAAATGAAATGCAGAAGCTAGGTAAGAAGATCTGAGACAAGTGTTGTTGAACGTGCTGCAGGCTTGTTTTATGTTAGCCACCAGCTGAATCTTTGAATGGTCTGAAGGCCCAGGATCAGGGCAGACATCTCACTTACCCCCTGTCTGTTAGGGTGGGCCAGGAATTCCTTGAGTTTGCTCAGAGAAGACTTATGCTCATGGAGATGCTCTTGTGGAGAGAAAGATGGTGCCCATAAGTAGGCTTCTCGGAAGCTAGCCTTTCCAGGCTGGGTGTGGTTGGCTTACGCCTGTAGTCTCAGCACTTTGGGAGGCTGAGGCAGGGGGATCGCTTGAGCCAGGAGTTTAAGACCAGCCTTGGTAACATAGCAAGACACTGTCTCTACAAAAAAATTTTAAAGTAAATTAGTCATGCATAGTGGTGCACACCTGTGGTCCCAGCTACTCAGGAGACTGAAGCAGGATGATCACTTGAGCCCAGGAGGTCGAGGCTGCAGTGAGCCATGATCACACCGCTGGACTCCAGCCTGGGTGACAGAGTGAGATCTTGTCTCAAAAAGAAGAAAAGGAAAGAAAGAAAGAGAGAGAGAGGGAGGGAGGGAGGGAGGGAGGAAGAAAAGAAAAAAAGGAAAGGAGAGGAAAGGAGAGGAAAGGGAAGGGAAGGGAGGGGAGGGGAGGGGAAGGGAGGGGAGGGAAGGGAAAGAAAGCCTTCCCATGTACCAGGTCCTGGAGCTGTCCTGGTCCTAACCTGTGTGACACAACTCCTTTGCTGTATCCAAATGCTCCTTGACCTTCCAGATGGGCACTTTCCTAAAAATTACAGCAACTCCAAAAGTGTATGCCAAAATCAATTTTATCATAAGGAAAAAAGGTGTAAGATTTCAGTCTCACTTTCAGGATAGCAGCTGGAGCTGCCCATTAATCGTCTGGACTGCTTTAAGCAGCAGAAGCAGCAGCTGAGGCTTTTTCCCAAAGTGCCCTCCTCCCACTTGAAGGGAAAATTTACCAAAGGGGAAGAGTTACCAGACTGTGCAGGGTGCTGGGGCTGGGCGCCACTGCGGGTAGTCCCACAGCAGGAAGGGGTCCCCATCCCATCCCACCGGATGCTCCCTGCCTGAAAGTCCCATTGAAGGCCTTTCCTGGCTTCTGGGCACAACAGCTTTCCCAATGAACACAATTAACTAAAATAAAAGCTTTCTGGAACTAACAAGCAGTTGTCGCAAAAGTAAACTTTATATTGTAAGTGAGCATAAGCAAGCCAGTGGAAACCAGGCTGGTGAGTACGGGAGACTGGGTTCTGCTGACCAGCGGTGGCATTGCACTGCCTGGCAACATCCCATACAAAGGTGTCAGCCTCTGATCACGTTTGTGGAGCTTTGCGACCCTGCTCGCTATTCCAAGTACTGGTCAGTGGACATTTCTATGTTCAAAATAAAAATCTTCTGTATGAGCCTAAGATAACTGTAAATGTCTAGAGCTAGGTGTGCTGCCATCTTAGGAATAACATCTGTCAATCTAGAATGGACAAGGCCATTTCCAAGTTCAAGGTGATTTATGGGTCTAAAGCTAAGGTAGTAATTCTTAGGATTCACAAGCCCTGTCACTGGTCTGAGTTTGGCCTACAAATGGCAATGTGGGATGAGAAAGAAAGCTGTATGAGTCTCACAGGCTGTACCCAAGACCTTGTATGGGTTTTCATAAATTACTAAAGGGGCTGCTTGGCAGCCCCCTGGAATCTATAGATCATATTTTTCTACTGGGACCTCCAGGTTTATCAGTAGCTGAACCACTTAGGAGCTATTCCTCCTTGACCAGGCTTGCCCACAAGTTCTCTGATGCTTCAGAATTCATGATGGCATGGTCTGAAATGTATACCTCCCGTAACCAGGATATATTTTGGTTCAACTTAAGACCCCATCAAAATTGTAGTGCAGGGGTAAGGCTGGGCACATCTACTTCCACTATTACCAGGGTGGGGATATAGTATTTTCCAGGAATGGGCAGGTTATACCCAAACTGGGCATCTACTTAGGAGGTGATTAGAGCACTCAGACCCAGGGGTAAGATGGTAATTAATATGGATGAAGGAATAAGAAGAGAGGCAGAGGAGATCATACCTAACACCTTCCCCCAACACTCACTGTGGGCATTTCCACCCTACATCAGAAACAAAAGATCAAGCAACAGAAATTAAAACTTAGGGCCTGGCGCGGTGGCTCACACCTGTAATCCCAACACTTTTGGAGGCCAAGGCAGGCAGATCGCTTGAGTCCAGGAGTTCTAGACAAGCCTGGCCAACATGGTGAAACCCTGTCTCTACTTAAAAAATACAAAAATTAGCTGGGCATGGTGGCTCATGCCTATAATCCCAGATACTCAGGAGAATGAGAGAGGTTGAAGCACAAGAATCGCTTGAACCCAGGAGGCAGAAGATGCAGTGAGCCAAGATCATACTGCTGCACTCCAGCCTGGGCAATGGAGTAAGACTCTGTCTCAAAAAAAAAAAAAAGGAAAGAAATTAAAACTTAAATCAGAAGTGGAATAAGACATAAGATGGGAACAGACAACTCGAAGCAGAATAAATGTGAAGAAAATCACATACAAGCATAGCATAGTCAAACTGCTATAAACCAAAGATAAGGAGAAAATTTGCTCAACTTTTATTTGAGGTTCAAGAGAATATGTGCTGGCTTGTTATGTGGGTAAATTATGGTCACAGGAGTTTGGTGCACAGATTATTTTGTCACCCAGGTAATAAGCATAGTACCTGAGAGGTAGTTTTTCAATCCTGTCCCTCCTCCCACCCTCAAGTAGGCCACAGAGTCTGTTGTTCCCTTCTTGTGTACTCAATGTATAGCTCCCACTTATAAGTGAGAACATGCAGTATTTGGTTTTCTGTTCCTGCATTAGTTCGCTTAGTGTTATGGCCTCCAGCTTCATTATTTTTGCTGCAAAGGACATGATCGTGTGTTTTTTTGGCTGCGTAGTCTTCCGCGGTGTATATATATCACATTTTCTTTATCCAGTCTACCAATGATGGGCACTTAGGTTGATTCCATAATTTTGCTATTGTGAATAGTGCTGTAATGAACATACCTGTGCATGTGTCTTTATGGTAGAGTTATTTACATTCTTTGGGGTATATACCCAATAATAGGATTGCTGGGTCTAATGATACTTCTGTTTAAGTTCATTGAGAAATCACCACACTGCTTTCCACAATGGATGAATTATTTTACACTCCCACCAACAGTATATAAGTATTCCCTTTTCTTTGCAACTTTGCCAGCATCTTTTTTTTTTTAATAATAGCCATTCTGACTGGTATTTCTCTACTGATCAGTGATGTTGAGCATTTTTTCATATGCTTGTTGGCTGCATGTATGTCTTCTTTTGAAAAGTGTCTGTTCATGTCCTTTGCCCACTTTTTAACAGGGTTGTTTGTTTTTTGCTTATTAATTTGTTTCAGTTCCTTATAAATTCTGGATATTAGACCTTTGTTGGATGCACAGTTTGCAAAAATTTTCTCTCATTCTGTAGGTTGTCTGTTTACTCTGATGATAGTTTCTTTCACTGTGCAGAAGCTCTTTAGTTTAATTAGGTCCCATTGTCAATTTTTATTTGTGTTACAATTACTTTTGGTATCTTCATCATAAAATCTTTGCCAGGGCCTACATCCAGAATGATATTTCGTAGGCTGTCTTCCAGGGTTTTTATAGTTTTAGGTTTTGCATTTAAGTCTTTAATCTATTTTGAGTTGATTTTTGTATATGGTGTAAGGAAGGGGTCCAGCTTCAGTCTTCTGGATATGGTTAGCCAGTTATCCCAGCACCACTTATTGAATAAGGAGTCTTTTCTCTATTGCTTATTTTTGTTGACTTTGTCAAAGACTGGATGGTTGTAAGTGTGTGAGTTTATTTCTGGGCTCTCTATTGTGTTCCATTGGTCTATGTGTCTTTGTACCAGTACCATGCTGTTTTGGTTACTGTAGCCCTGTAGTATAGTTTAAAATTTGGGAATGTGATGCCTGCAGCTTTGTTCTTTTTGCTTAGGATTGCCTTGGCTATCCAAGCCCTGTTTTGGTTCCAAGTGACTTTTAAAATACTTTTTTCTAATTCTGCGAAGAATGTCATTGGTACTTTGATAGGGATAGCATTGAATCTGTAAATTGATTTGTGCAGTATGGCCATTTTCAGTTTCATTTTCTTTCTAACCATGAGCATGGAATGTTTTTCCATTTGTTTGTGTCATCTCTGAATTCTTTGAGCAGTGCTTTGTAATTCTTGCGGTAGAGATCTTTCACCTCCATGGTTAGCTGTATTCTTAGGTGTTGTATTCTTTTTGTGGAAGAGAAAACCTTAAAAGCAGCCAGAGGAAAATGACATATTACATACTAAGGAATAACAATAGGAATTAGTGCTCACATATCATGAGAAATATGGAGACCAAAAGACCAAAAGGCAATAACATCTTCATACCACTGGATAAGTAGGGATTATTTGTTCAGTCAAGGTTTAGTAAAAATGTGCTTTTAAAATTATCTGAACTTGGAATATGTGAAAGTAGTTGGTAGAGGGAAGTAGGAAGTGAGCTGGGGCAATTGGGGAGAAACTTCTAACTACTGATTGAATTTCTTGACTGGTGATTGAAGTATTTAGGTTTTCTATCTTATTCTATAATCAATTCTAATAACTCAGATTTTCTAATTTTTTCATTTTATCTAAGTTTTCAAATGTATAGGCAAAAATTTGTCAGTGTTCTCTTCAGATGTTTTAAATTGTTAATACTTCTGTAGTTATGGCTCCATTGTCATTCCAAATGTTAATTATTTGCAGTTTTTCTTTTTCTTTTTTTCTGGGTAAATATATCCAGAAGTTGGACATTTTTTTAAAAATTTTATTTATTTATTTATTTATTTTGAGATGGAGTTTCGCTCTTGTTGCCCAGGCTGGAGTGCAATGGCACACTCTTGGCTCACTGCAACCTCCACCTCCCAGGTTTGAGCAATTCTCCTGCCTCAGCCTCCCAAGTAGCTGGGATTACAGGCATGCACCACCACAGCCAGCTAATTTTTGTATTTTTATTACAGACAGAGTTTCTCCATGTTGGTCAGGCTGGTCTCGAACTCCCAACCCCAGGTGATCCACCCACCTCAGCTTCCCAAAGTGCTGGGATTACAGGCTTGAGCCACTGTGCCCGGCCGAAGTTGGCCATTTTATTTATTTATTTTTTCAAACAATCAGCTTTTAGGTTTTTTAATCCTCTGAATCATTATTTCATTAATTCCTATTCTTATTTTTATTTCTTTCCTCTCACCATGTTTAGAATTAACATACCATTTCATTTCTACCTTCTTGAAGATAGTTCCTTGTTTTCTGTTTCATGATTTTTCAATAAATGTATTTAAGCATAGAAATGTATGTATGTCCAAGTACTATGTTTATTACATCCCACAATTTTATATGTAATATTTTAAATATTTTTATTGTGATTTTTTTTCTTTAAACTGTGAGTTAATTTTGGGGGGGAATAAAGTAGTTAAAATAAGTACTTTATTTTATGATATTTCCAAGGAATTGCATTGTGACGAGAACATATTAATTTTCTGAAATGTGTTGATGCTTCATTTGTTGCATAACATGTGACCAATTTTGTAAATGCCCCATGTACTGTTGAGAAATATCTATATTTTCTATATATTGGTTGTAGGATTCCTAATTGTTAATTTATTGTTCAAATCCTGTATATTTTAATTTTTCACTATTTTACCCATCATTTTCTAATTCAGCTATATTAAAATTCCTTCCTGTAATTGTATAATTGTCAATTAATCCCTATAATTCTTGCCGGTTTTTTCTTAACTCAAGGCAGGAGCATCGCTTGAGCCCAGGTGTTCCAGACCAACCTGAGCAAGATGGCAAAACCCCATCTCTCCAAAAATACAAAAATTAACTGGGCATGGTGGTGCGCATCCATAGCGCCAGCTACTTGGGTGGTTAAGGTGAGAGGATTACTTAAAATCCCAGAAGATTGAGGCTGCAAGGAGCCAAGACTGCACCACTGCACTCCAGCATCAGGAACAGAGTGAGACCCTGTCTCAAAAAAAAAAAAAAAGTGAATTTTCTCATTTATGCATATGAGTATATGAGGAATATTGGTATTTAGTTTTCTTTTTTGTAACATCATTGTCTGGTCTTGGAATGAGAGTAATACAGACCCCACAGCATGAGGGCAGGTAGTATCTCCTATTCATTTTTCTGGAAGTGGTTGGTTATTATTTCTTTCTTAAATGTTTCCTAGAATTCAGCAGTTCAGCCTTCTGGGACTGGAGTTCTCTTTATGGGAAAAGTTTTAAGTATAAATTCAATTCCTTTAATACATATAGGGCTACCTTGATTATCAATACCTTCTTGAGTAAGTTTGGGGGTTTCAAGGGTTTTTTCCACTTAATCGAAGTTGCCTAATTTATTGGCACAATTTTTGGTAATTTCCTTTATTGTTCCTTTAATATCTGCAAAATCTGTGGCATCACCTTTCTTGTTCCTCTGTCTCTCCTTGGTAATTTGTTCTCTTCTCTCTTCCTGACCAGTCTAGCAAGAGGCTTATCAATTTTGTCACTCTCCTCAAAAAACATCTTTAATTTCGCTAATTTTTGTTTCCCCTTTTATTAACTTCTCTTCTAATCTTTCTGACTTTTTCTTTCTCTTCTGCTTACCTTGAGTTTTGTTTGCCCTTCTTTTTTCCTTTTCTTGAGGCAGAAAGATCATTGAGGCTTGTCTTCTTTTATAATATAGCTGCTCAGTGCTATAAAATTTCATCTCAGTACTGCTTTAGCTGCATCTCATAAATGTTGATGTGTTGTATTTTGATTTTCATTCATTTCAAAATCTTCCTAGTTTCCCTTCTGATTGTTTTTCTTTGATTCATGGGATATTTAGAAGTGTGCTGTTTCATTTCCAAATATGGGTGTTTCTATATATCTTCTGGTTTGGGTTTACAATTGAATTTCTTTATAATGAAAGAACTTTATGTGATCAAAATAGTTTCAGATTTATTAAGATTAGTTTTATGTCCCACCACATATAAATGTTCCATGTGTTCCTGAAAAGAATGTGAATTCTGCACTTTTTGAGTGAAGTGTTCTATAGGTGTCAATTAAAGTAAGTTAGTTGGTAGTGTTCAAGACATCTCTAGCCTTGCTGAATTTCAATCTACCTTTCTATTAATTTTCAGAGAGTTTAAAAAATATTTTTACTGAAATTGTACATTTATCTATTTCTCTTTACAGTTCTATCAGTTTTTGCTCCACATTTTAAAGCTCTGTTATTAGATTCATGCACATATAAGATTGTCTTGACTAATTGACTACTTGATCATTATAAAATTATTGTCTTTATTTCCGGAATTATTCTTTCCTGTGAAATCCACTTTGATCCAGTTTTCCTTTGATAAGTGCTAACGTAGTATATCTTTCTCCATCCTTTCACTTTTAATCTATTGCATCTTTTTATTTAATGTATGTTACTTACTAGTAGACAGCATATAGTTGGATCTTACCTAATCTAGCACTCTCTACCTTTTAATTAAGGTGTTCAGACATTTAATGTGATGATCACATTTAATGTAATTATTGGTATTGCTATTTGTGTTTATTTGGCCCATCTGTTTTCTGTTTCCCTTTCACTCTTTCTCTGCCTTCCTTTGGGTTTTTAAATGATTCTATTTTAGCTCCTTTGTTGGCTTATTATGTGCAACTATTGGTTGCATTATTTTAATAATTGCTTTATGGTCTATAGCATCCATCTTTAACTTACTACCCTCTACCCTCAAATATTACATTATTTCACATATAACTAAAGTATCTTGCAATAATAATGGGCTTCCATTTTTCCCTCCTAGCCTTTGTGCTATTGTTATCATATGTTTTACTTCTACATATGTTATAAACTCAAAATATGTTGGTTTCTGTGGTTGTTGTTGTTTAAACAATCAGTTATTGGTGCTATAATAGAATACTTTAAATTCAAAATTAAAAAAAATTTAAACGGTCAATTATTGTCCATGCGTGGTGGCTCATGCCTGTAATCCCAGGAGCTAAGATGAGAAGATCCCTTCAGACCAGGAGTTTGAGGCCAGCCTGGACAACGTAGGGAGACCCCATCTCTAAAAATAATTTTGAAAATTAGCTGGGCATAGTGGCATGTGCCTGTAGTTCGGGCTACTTGAGAGGTTGAAGCAGGAGGATCACCTGAGCCTGAGAAGCCAAGGCTGCAATGAACCATGATTGTGCCACTGCACTCCAGCCTGAGTGACAGAGCGAAACCCTGTCTTAAAAACAAACAACAAACAATTTAGTCAATTATTGTTGAAACAATTTAAACAATTTTAAAATCCAACATATTTACTCACGTATTTAGGGCACTTTTCTAGCACCCTTTATTAATTTGGAGATTCATATTTTCACCTAGTATCATTTTCCTTCTGCTTTAAGTCTTTTAAAGACTTTGTTTATTATTTCTTGCAGTGCAATTCTGTTGGATGAGTTCCGTTAGCTATGTCTAAAATTTTATTTCACACTCTTTTTCTGAAAGATATCTGTGCTGGGTAAAAAATTCTTGGTTGACAATTTTTTTCTTTCAGAGCTTTAAAGATGTATGCTCTCCTGTCTTCTAGCTTGCATTGTTTCCAGTGAGAACCCTGCTGTCATTATTTTATTTGTTCTTTCATACATAGTGGGTCTTTTATCTATGGATTCTTTTAAGAGTTTTCTCATTAGCTCTGGTTCTAAGCAATTTTATTACTATGTACCTTGGTGTAGATTCTTCTTATCTCTTATGCTTGGAGTTCATTGTGTGTCTTGGATCTGCAGGTGTATAGTTTTCATCATATTTTGAAAAATTTTGGTCATTATTTCTTTAAATATTTTTTGTTTCCTTTTTCCTTTGGTGACTCCAATGACATGTATATTAGGCTGCATAAAGTTATCCCACAGGTCACTGTTGCTCTATCTTTTTTTTTTATTAATTGTTCTTTATCTTTTTGGTTTATTTCTATTGCTATGTCTGAGGTTCATTAATACTTTATTCTACAACATCTAATTTGTTATTAATCTCATTCAGTGTATGTTTTCATTCTGACCTTATTGTTTTCTACTTCAAGAAATTTCATTAGGGTCTTTTTTTACATCTTTCATGTGCCTACTCGGTTAATCTTTTTTCTAGCTTCTTAAACATATAGCATATAATACATTGCTCTTTCCTCTAGCTTCTTAGACATATGGAATACAGTCATCATAACTGTCTTAATGACCTCTTCTACTAATTCTGCCTTCTGAGTTGCTTTTGGCTCAGTTTCCATTTCTTTTTCTCCTCATTACAGGTGATATTTTTCTACTTCTGTGCATGCCTGGTGATTTTTGCCAGATATTGTGAATTTTGCCTGCTAGATTTTAAAAATCTTATAAATATTCTTGAGTTTTGTTCTTTGATGCAGATAAGTTACTTGATAACAACTTTACGCTTTTGATTTTTGCTCTTAAGCATTGTTAGAGACCACAAATATGAATTTAATCTAGGCCAAATTTTGCCCCAATACTGACTCACAATCTTTGAGTACTCTACCCAATGTCCCATGAATTATGAGGCTTTCCACTCTGGCTGGTGGGAACAGGCACTATTCCTAGACCACTATTCCAAGCTTCCTAAATCTTGGCCAGAACAAATTCATTAATTTATTTAGAAAGATTTATTAAGCACCTTCATGTTAATAGCACTAAGGACTGTTCCCTCTCATCCTTTTAAGTGGTTCTTTTCCCAGCATTATGTATCTTCTTCATACGCTGGAGCCAATCAGGAGTTAGCTGAATACCTGAAGGGACCTTCTGCAGATCTCCAGAATTCTCTCAGTAAAACCTCTCTCATCTCCAGTACTCTGCCTGTGAACCCTAGCCACCTTGTGAACTCTGGCTATCTTGGCCTTTTTTAATTCTCTCCTTAACTCAGGGAGACCTCTGATTTCTACTAGGGTTCCCTCTGTCTGCACTGCAGTCTGGAAATTCTCCCTGGGGAGTAAAGTGGAGCAATCAGAGGGTCAGTTGAATTGTTTCCTGATTCTCAGAGATCACTGGCCTTTGTTGCTTCATATTCAATATCTTTTAAAGTGTTATTTAATTTACTTTTCTAGTTGTTTTAAACCCCCTAAAAATGTAAATTCAATCCTTGTTACTCCATCTTGGCTGAATCCACAAGTCCTCTGTCTTCCATTTTCTTTTTAAAAGATTAAAAAATGAGAACAAATGTCTTTTATATTTACTATTTCTTGCACTCTTCATTTTTTGTGTACATTTGAGTTTCTATCTAGCATCATTTTCCTTCAGTCTAAGGAAACCCTTTAAATAATTTCTGGTAGTTCTAGTCTTCTGGCAATGAATTAGCTTGTTTGTATGAAAAATGTTCTTATTTTATCTCTACTTTTAAAGAATGTTTCTACTGGATATAGAACTCTAGGTTGGCATTTAAAAAAATCAGCATGTTAAATGGCATTCATTTACCTTCTGGCTTGCACTGTTTCTGACAAAAATTCTGTGTTAATTCTAATTTTTGTTCTCTTATATACAGTGTATCTTCATAGTTTCTTTAAAATGTTCTCTTTCTCAGTTTTTTTCAACAATTAGATTATAATGTTATTTGATGTGATTTTTTTAATTGTTGCTGTCTCTAAGAGAATATGTTTAACTCCAAAGGTGAGTGTTCTTTCTGATCTCCTGTATAGACCTATGGGTCTATACACAGTTGCCATCTATATTAAGTTTACTGAATGGCAGAGCAAAACATCCTGAACAGGGATTCAGGAGACCTTGGTTTTGGTCCTGGTTTTGTCTTAGCATGCATGCCTCAGGCAACTCACTTCACTTCCCTGAGATTTTGTCTCATCCTCTGCAAAAGAATGTTAGGAACAAAAGATCAGCAAGCTCTCTTTTAACTTTAAATCTGAAGCTTCCTGAATTTTGGCCAGAATAAATTCATTAATTTATTTAGAAACAGTTATTAAGCACCTTCATCTTAAGCACTGATATGGTTTGGCTGTGTCCTCACCCAAATCTCATCTTGAATTGTAGCTCCCATAAATCCCATGTGTCATGGGAGGGACCCAGTTCTCATGACAGTGAATAAGTCTCACAACATCTGATGGTTTTATCAAGGGGAGTTCCCCTGCACAAGCGCTCTCTTGCCTGCCGCCATGTAAGATATGCCTTTTGCTTTCCACCATGATTGTCAGGCCTCCCCAGCCACATGGAACTGTGAGTCTATTGAACCTCTTTTTCTTTTTACATTACCCAGATTTGGGTATGTCTTTATCAGCAGCATGAAAATGGACTAATACAAGAACCTTCCCAGTGGCTGAAATACAAAGAGACCCAAGATAGCATCCTAAACCTCAGGGAAACCTGTTATTGGATGGCACAAACATTAAAAATACCTGATATTCAACATCCTTTGAAGTGTTATTTGATTTACTTTTCTAGTTGTAAAAGTGGGCTGGTGGAAGAATCAAGGACGCATCCACTGATGCCTCCCACGCCCCACTAAGGGGAATCTCTCAGATCTGTCTTTGCCTTTTTCTGCTGTAGATGGTGGATGGCTGGGCCTCCATCAGTGACTTCCCAGAATGCTGTGAGTATCCAGTGAGAGAACAGATCCCCAGGCACGTCCAGACACAAGGGTATCCCACAGCAAGAGGTGAGGGGAGTGGGTTTGGCCAGCTTGCTTGGTTCACCAAGCCCAACCCTCTCTGAATATGACCACAGAACAGCATCATTTCAGGCTCTTTCTGGAGCCTCAGCCTGACAAAGGGAGCCTCTGCAGCCCAGAGGGGAGCTCTATTAGTCAGCTCAAGCTGCTGTAACAAAATAGCACAGACGCAGTGGCTGACACAACAAAAATTTGTATCCTCACTTTTCTGGAGGCTGAAAGTCTGAAATCAAGGTGTTGGCAGTTTTCTCCTGAGGCCTCTCTCCTTGCTTTGTAAATGGCTGCTGCTATAACTGAATGTTTGTGCCTCTCCCAAAACTCACGTGTTTTGGGGGAGTTTGTTCCTTCTTTTTGTTTTGTTTTGAGACAAAACTTTACTCTGTCACCCAGGCTGGAGGGCAGTGGTGTGATCTTGGCTCACTGCAACCTCTGCCTGCCGGGTTCCAGCGATTTTCCTGCCTTAACGTCCCAAAGAGCTGGAACTACAGGCATGCAACACCACGCCCAGCTAATTTTTTTGTATTTTTAGTAGAGATGGGGTTTCACCATGTTAGCCAGGCTGGTCTTGAACTCCTGACCTTAAGTGATCTGCCTGCCTCGACCTTCCAAAGTGCTGGGATTACAGGCGTCAGCCACTGTGCCCAACCTGTTACTTTGTTTATAGACAGAGGGTCTAACTCTTGCACTGTCACCTGGACTGGAGTACAGTGGTGTGCTCATAGCTCACTGAATTCTGAAATTCCTATGCTCAAACAATCTTGCCACCTCAGTTGGTACTACAGATGCACTCCACCATCCCCAGCTAAGTTTTTTCAATATTTTTTTAGAGATGGGGCCTCGCTATGTTTCCCGGGCTGGTTTCAAACTCCTGGCCTCAAGTGATCCTCCTGCCTCAGCTACCTGAGTTGCTGGGATTACCAGCAGTATCCACCAAGCCCAGCTCTCAGAATTCATGAATTGAAATCTAATCCGCAAGGTGATGCTATCAGGAGAGGAAGCTTTTGAGAGGTGATTTGGTCATGACAGCGGAGCCCTAATGAATGGGATTAGTGTCCTTATAAAAGAGGCCAAGGGAGCTCATCACCCTTCCACATATGAGGACAGCAAGAAAGCTCTGTCTATGAACCAGAAAGCAGGGCCTCACCAGACACTGAGTCTGCCAGCACCTTGATCTTGACTTCCCAGCCTCTAGGACCCCGAGAAATACATTTCTGCTGTTTATAGTATATTTTTAGTAGAGACAGGGTTTCACCATGTTGGCCAGGCTGGTCTTAAACTCCTGACCTCAAGTGATCTGCCTGCCTCAGCCTCCCAAAGTGCTGGGATTACAGGCATAATATTACCCAGTTCATGCTATTTTGTTAAAGCAGCCTGGACAGACTGAGACAGTCCCCGCCTTGCTGTGTCTTCACAGGTTCTTTCCTCTGAGCGTGTGCACCTCTGGCGTCTTTCTGTGTGTCTTCATCTGCTCTTCTTATAAAGACACTAATCAGATTGGAGTAGGGCCTACCTTAAGTACCTTATTTTAACATAATTATCTCTTTAAAGGCCTTTTTCTCCAAATACAGTCCCATTCTGAGAGACTGGGGTTTAGGACTTCAACACAGAAACTTGAGGAGCACAGGCCAGACGTGGTGGCTCACGCCTGTAATCCCAGCACTTTGGGAGGCCGAGGCAGGCAGATCACTTGAGGTCAGGAGTTTGAGGCCAACCTGGCAAACATTGTGAAACACTGTCTGTACTAAAAATACAAAAAATTAGCCGGGTGTGATGGCAGGCGCCTGTAGTCCCAGCTACTTGGGAGACTGAGGAGGGAGAATCACTTGAACCCCGGAGATGGAGGTTGTAGTGAGCCAAGATCGCGCCACTGCACTCCAGCCTGGGCAACAGAGCGAGACTCCGTCTAAAAAAAAAAAAAGAAAACGAAAAGAAATTTGAGGAGCACAGTTCTGCTCATAGCAGAAGTCAAGCCTGGGACTCCCACTGCTTACCACAGTGGGGACAAGGATGAGAGGCAAGGGACAAGGTCCACTCCTGTCTGAGGGAAAAACTCTGCCCATGTGTCACAGCTGACACCAAACAAGAGAAGGAAGCCGGCAGCCTCCAGGGCAGGCCCTGCCGCTCAGAATGTGCAAAAAGGGCCCTTTTCCAAAATTAGCGCACTCTGTGCTACTGCGTTGCTCTAAATAGCGCCTGTTGACGCAGCCGTCAGTTTTTCTCAGACCTCTTTCTGGTGTATTTTAACCCCTTGGTGAGCACCAGCGTGCCCCTGAGGAGAGGGCTCTAGAGTGCTGTCCCCACCCTTGAGCCAAGGAGAGCCCCCTGCCCGCCCGCTGGCTTCCTCTCGGATGTTCTCTGCTTGTCGCATCTGTCTCATTGTCAACACTGGCCATTACTCCCAAGAAGAGAGAGGTGGGGGTCTGGTGCACCAAACAAGACATTCTTTCAAAGAAAGACTGTTGCCATGGGAACCAGTTGTCAAACGCTTTTCTGCGCGGGAGGTGTCAAGAGCGGGGCTGCAGGTTTTGTTAAGTGCTGTTTGCTTTCCTCTTCAATCTGTGACAAGAACAATGAATGATCAGAGATGGGGGCAGGGAGGAAAGCACTCATCTGTTGGAAATTCGCCCTGAGAGTGGGCCCCTGGCTTAAGGGATGGTCTGTGCTCATGGAGCCTTCAGATGCAGTGCTCAGCATTCCCGAGGCTGTTACTATGTGCTCGGCCCTGTGCTAGGTTCTGTGGGTTTGCTAAAGTTCAGCATAATCTGTAGCTTTGGAGAGCTAACAAGCTCTTTGGGGAAGTGGAACCAACACACACAGAATAAGAGAAATCATACAAGCCAACGCGCAATATGGATTTGTGCAGCTACTATCAAGATGCCCTTGTCTACGTGTGCACTCCTGCCTAGGATGGATGTAGAATCTCATGCAGAGATTCTGCATTCTTGAGGGAGTGTTCCCCTTTGCTTGGGACCAAAGCTAGCACAGCAGGCATGGGAAGGCACTGCTTAGACCCTCCTTGAGAGGGTCTGGTCCAGGCTTAATTTCCAAAATAGATAAGGAACTCAAACAACTCAACAGCAATAAAGCAATAACCCCATTAAAAATGGACAGAAGGGCTGGGCACAGTGGCTCACACCTGTAAATTCAGCACTTGGGGAGGCTGAGGCGGGAAGATCGCTTGAGCCCAGCAGTTTAAGACCAACCTAGGCAACATAGCAAGACGCCATCTCAAAAAATTTTTTTTAATTAGCCAGGTGTGGTGGCATGCACCTGCGATCTCAGATACGTGGGAGGCTGAGCTAGGAAGATTGCCTGAGCCTGGGAGGTCAAAGCTGCAGTGAGCTAGGATCACAACACTACACTCTATCCTGGGTGATAGCAAGACCCTGTCTCAAAAAAAGAAGATAAAAAATGGCCAGAGGAATGGAATAGATATTTTTCAAAAGAAGATATGCAAATGGCCAACAGATGTATTTTTTAAATGCTCAACATCACTAATCATCAGGGAGATGCAAATCAAAATTATAATGAGATACTACCTCACACCTGTTAGGATAGCCATTATCAAAAAGAAAAGTAATAACAAGTGTTGGCAAGGATGTAGAGAAAAGGGAATGTTTACACACTGCTGGTGAAAATATAAATTAGGACAGACACTAGGGAAAACAGTATGGAGATTCTCCAAAAGATTAAAAATATAACTTCCATAAGATCCAGCAATCCCACTTCTGGGTATTTATCCAAAGGAAATAAAATCGGTATGTCAAAGACATATCTGCACTCTCATGTTTATTGCAGCACTATTCACAATAGCCAAGTTATGGAATCAACCTAAATGTCCACAGATGGATGAATGAATGAAGAAAATTCATTGTATATACACAAAGGACTATGATCCAGCCTTTAAAAAGAAGGAAATCACGTCTGAGCCCAGGAGTCCCCCTGACTGTGGCATGATTTGTTTCTGGATGTACAGCCTCTGAACCTGGTTCTCCAGCCCTCCTAGAGAGTCAGCAAGCTCCCCATTTTCCCATACTCAATTCCCTTTCTAATAAATTATCCCAAGATGGTACCTGTTGTTTTATGACTGAGAACCTGTTATAATTTGGGAATGGCCAGATGCGGTGGCTCACGTCAGCCCTAGCACTTTGAGAGTCTGAGGCAGGAGGAGTGCTTAAGGTCAGAAGTTTGAGAACAACCTGGGCAACATAAAGAGACCCCATCTTTACAAAAAAGAAAAAATTAGCTGGGTGTGGTGGCACATGCCTGTAGTCCCAGCTGGCCGGGAGGCTGAGATTGAGCCCAGGAGTTTGAGGTTGCGGCTAGCTATGATAGCACCACTGCACTCCAGCCTGGACAACAGAGTGAGGCTCTGCCTCAAAAACAAAAAAGACAACAATAACAACAAACATTCAGGAATGAAGGGACTTTGGATTACAAGAAGTGAATTTTTCTCATGAGGTGGTAAGGAACTTTGAATATGAAAAGCCATTTTTAGAGAAAGCAAGGCCCAAAGAGCACTGTTCAAGTGCAACATTATTAATCATAGAGAAGCCTGCAGTAATTAGAATAGAAGGAGGTCTAGTAATTCATTCATTTCTAGTGAAAGTGTTCAAAGCCAATCCCTGGCAAGCATCTTTGAGGAAGGAAGCATCTGAATGGCCCGATGTGTGCCTAGGGTCCTTCTTTGTTCCTGTCCTTCCCCAGCTTTCTGAGCCAGAGTCCCCACCTACTTTTCCTTCTGACCCAGAATTCGTACTTGCTTTCTTCAGAGCCTCCCAGTGAACATGGATGGATAAAATTATATGCTTATATATTTATATGGTATATACTTTTATATTTATATGGTATATACTTTTATCCTTCTGTGCACTGAGACTCAGGGAAGTGGAGCAATGAGATTATTCAGGGAATAAGAGAAACATAAATTATCAATTAAATGCACAGAGGAGGAGAACTTCACCTTACTTTTGCTGGCTGGGCGTGTCTTTTCAACACACTTTTTCCCACATACTTTATTTCATTAAGTTCCTTCATAGGAACCTCGTGGTTGCCTATTCTCTTACAACTGAATAGAGCACAGGGGAGTCATGAACATTCTAAGGTGCAGAAAACAATTTATCTATGGGGACCAGCCAGAAGCTGGGGGGATCTCACTCTGCTTTGGAGTTGTATTAGTCAGGGTTCCCTACGGACACAGAACTAATAGGATATATATAGAGAGATGTGTAGATATATTATAGAAATTGACTCATGGAATTATGAAGGCTAAAAAGTCCCACAATCTGCAATTGGCAAGCTAGAGACCCAGGAAAGCTGGTGGTGCAGCTCAGTCCAAGTTCAAAGGCCTGAGAACTGCGGGAGCCGATGACATAAAACCCATTCCAAGGGCAGAAGAGGAAGAGAAGAGATGCTCCAGCTCCCAGCAGTGAGGCAGTAAAGAAAGGAGAGAATTCCTTCTTCTTTTTCCTTTTGTCCTATGCAGACCCTCAACAGATTGGATGGTACCCACCCATACTGCAGACGGCACTCCTTTACTGAGTCCACTGATTCAAATGCTAATCTCACCTAGAAACATCCACACACCCAGAAATAATGTTTAGTCTGGGTATCCGTTGGCCCAGTCAAGTTAACACATAAATTAACCATTGCAGGTTCCATTAGAAGGAAGGTGCCATTTTGCAAGTAACCCTGGGCCCCAGATAGCAACAGTTCCAGGTCACAGGCAACAGTTGGCAACAAGTGGAAAGGGATGGGAATCTGAGACAAAGTATAAGGGAAGGAGACTAATAGTTAGCTCTTTCCATAGGCCAAAGCTCAGTGCCAGGAACTTTGCACATATTTCATTTATCCCTCAAACAGCCCTATGAGATGTTTCCAATTTACAGATGAGGACATCAAGATTCAGACGTCACTCACCGTGGCAAATTACAGGGATAGTTTTGACCCCAGATCTTGGACTCAAAGCCCACAGTCTTGCCCCACCATACTAAAGCATCCGAAAGGCAGCTGAAAACAAGGTCCTGGGAACCACAGGGGCTCCACAACAGGGCTCCAATCTTTAGCAGGTGGTGTAAAAAGATCTATTAGTCCATTTTTGCGTTGCTGTAAATAAGTACCTGAGACTGGGTAATTTATAAAGAAAAGAGATTTAATTGGCTCGCAGTTCTGCAGGTTGTACAGGAAGCATGGCTGGGGAGACCTCAGGAAACTTACAATCATGGTGAAAGGCAAAGAGGAAGCAGGCACATCTTCACATGGCTAGAGCAGGAGGAAGACAGAGAGCGAAGAGGGAGGTGCCACACACTTTTAAACAGCCAGATCTCATAAGAATTCACTCATAATCAAAAGAACAGCACCAAAGGGGAAATCCACCCTCATGATCCAATCGCCTCCCACAAGGCCCCACCTCCAACATGGGGGATTACAATTTGACATGAGATTTGGATGGGGACAGAGACCCAAACCATATCAAAAGAGAAAGGCTGTTCTCCTCTTACTATGGCACCAAAGCACTCGGGAGTCACCAAGGCAGGAAGTAAAGGGCTGACCATTAACAAAAACATCTTGACAGTTGAGTTGTAACAGTTGGAGCTTGAATCTTTTCAGCCTTGGATCTGAATCCATCTGTAATTTACACTTCTCCCACTATTTGTCTTCTTTGCTGGGCTGTGAATTCCTTTCGTGTTCTTCATGTCCCCAACTGGTGGTACAGTCCCTGGTACCAGGTAGGTGGTCCATAAGTGGTGGTGGAATGTGGGAATGAATGAATGAATGAATGAATGAATGAACCCTTAGCTAAGGAGCAAACTGCCCCAGCTCTGGCACGAGCTGCATTGCAGAGGCTGCTAAGTCAGGTGGTGACTGAGCAGACAGGTGTCAGAGAGACGCCTGGAGGAACCCAGCAGCACCTCACTAGAATTCCTTCCTAGAATTCTTTGTACTCTCTAAGCATGTTGACAGACATAAATCTTTTGAAACCCCCCACTCACATTTGGTTTGTTAAATAAACACATGGGATTTTCCTTTTACATATTAAAAGCCGCATGGACCTAATTTCTCATTTCAGCTGCTTTTTGTAAGCAGTGTTAGAGAAGGTAGAGGGAAGGTTCTGAGATTTTCAGAAACATCCAACGCATTGTTTACCCAAGGCCACATAGAGCCTGGAATCCGCATCCTCCTCCTGAGATGTTACCATGGAAACCAGGCTTGTGCTGCTCATCCAAAGGGCAGCTTGTAGCACAGTCAGCCCTGGCTCCTGAGAGAATGTGGGGCCTCAGGTAGGAACCTGCAGACAAGGCGTCAGGAGGGAAAAGCAAACTGCCTGCCCCCTACAATCAGAACGCACACCATCCTCCTCCTCCCTCCTGCTCCCATCTCCCTCCTGCCACCCACAATGGGAAATATGTCAGCCCCTCAGTCACTTGAGCACAGACCTCTGCTGCTCTGAGTGATGGGTCAGACTGGCATCTGCCTGCGGAGGTTAGAATGTTAATTTCACCTTGTCATGTCAGAGAAGGAAATGATACAAGGCTGAGGGGCAGAGAAGGAGTTTTCCACAGGGCAATGTCTTTGATGCATTCTGCAGCGTGGACAAACAATGACCAGGTGTAACCAGGACAGGAGACACAAATGCTGCTGCTTCCGTGGACAGGGACACGATGGCCACTCCAGCCATCCCCCCACTTCTCATCGGCTGTTCAGTCTGGGCCAGAGCCACTAGAGTTGCTGTGTTTGCTTCCAGTGCCAGCTCCACATCCATTTCCATGTCACTTACTAGCTGTCTGACCTAGAAACTAGAGACATTGGCTGACCTCCTGAGCCTCTGATTCCTGTCTGTCAAATGAGGATAATAAGATATACCACAGAAAGTTCTTATAATTCAAAAGAGAGGTGCTCCCTGGGAGGTTCCTAACACAGTACCAGGCACGATTCAGCCAATGGCAGGGCCTGCTTCTCTTTCCGTTTACACACCGACTTCCAGTGTGTCAGGAAAACTGGCATTTCTTCCTTAGAAATGTCTCTCCCCAGGGACTTGGGAGGCCAAGGCAGGGAGATCGCTTGAGGCCAGGAGTTCAAGACCAGCCTGGACAACATAGTGAGACCTCATCTCTACATAAAATAAAAGAATTAGCCAGACATAGTGGCACACACCTGTAGTCCCAGCTACTTGGGAGGCTGAGATGGGAGGATAGACTGAGCCTAGGAGTTCGAGGCTGCAGTGAGCTATGATCACACGACTGCACTCCAGCTAGGCAACAGAGAAAGATCCTGTCCAAAAAAACAAGCAAAGCAAAGAAAAGAAATGTCCCTCAATGCACCCCTTCTCCCCACCTCATCTCTGTCTCTGTTTGCATGCAACATGCTCCAGCACACATTAGAATCCACTGGAAGGATTCAGGGGTATCTCATGGAATATCAGGGTAGGAAACACATCCAGGCCTCATAAGGGACTGGAATCCAGAACTAGAAGGCCAAGGACTGAGGTTATGCTCTTCACCTTACTGCGACCCAGTGGTCTCCTTGTACTGTAGCCTGCCTGTCTCTCTGCATGTCAGCCTGCCCTGTCTCTCTGTCCATGCAGAAGGAAAGATCATGCCAGCCCTGACTCCAAGTGGACTCCTGACTTGTCTACGAGAGAGTCTCCCTGCCAGCCCATTCCAGGAGGATCATCTCATTTACCTGCAGTCCATGGGTTGTCCCGCCATGGTCCCGTCAACTGTGACCTGAGATGGTGCTAGCTGAGCCCTGCCCTTCTGCAGAAGGGATTCTCAGGAGAAGGGGGCATGAAGTGAGCAGGCACCTAAAAATATTACGTCGTTCCCCAAAGCTGCCCTTAATGGATTTGTTTCAAAGTTTGGAGGCAGATGACTCAGCAGGAGGGTCTGTGGTCCAAACATGCTCCCAGTGCATGCCCTGTCCTGGATGAGACAGGCTGTGGGCTCCTGGGAGAAACAGAGGTCCCCATCTGAGCCCATCATATGGCGACCTGATCCACATGGGAGAGGAGGCTGCCACTGCCAAGTCCAGGCACTTTCCTCCTGTGAGTCACGTAAGTAAGGTGCAGAAATTCAAACCTCACAAATGTGTCCAGACTTTGGCATCTGAAATACCGAGAGCTTTGCTTGAGCTCTAAGGAAACGGGGATGATGTCAAATACAAGCTGGACTTTGGACACAGCCGTGTGCTGGGAGAAAGAAACACTATTTCCTTGTACTGGATCCTTTCCCAGAAAGTCAAAAACCATTCTTTTTAGCAGAGTCTAATAGGATTCATCTGTGTTAGACTCACTCAGGTTTTCAGGCTATTTTTTTCTACAATTTGCATTATTTTGCCAGCCTCAGGAGAAGGCGATGGGGAGGGTCAGTCCTGTGTCGAGGGCCCCATAGCAAAGTGATTTATGTAGTCACCAATTCATTCGACAAATATTTATTGAGTGCCTGTTATAAGTCTGACAGTGTTTTAAGTCCTGGGGATAAATGGTGAGCAAAAGCAGATATAATCTCCAACCTCGTGGAGCTCACAATTTAATGGTGAAAGCGGGCACTAAATGCAAGGCACATGCTGTATAAAATTGAGACTGTGACAGACGCTTCACAGGAGAAAGAGCCTGTGCTGTCATAAGGAGCTTTGTCCCCGCCAGGGAACAGCTTCCTTGCTAAGTGATGCATGAGTCCAGATATGAGGACTGAGCAGGCACTGCTAGGAATCGAGGCAAGGCTGAAGGATTCTGGCAGGAGGACACTGAGTGTGCAAAAGGTCTGTGGTGTGAGGGGACACGGAAGGTAGGAGGAGCCAAATAAGGCCAAGGTGAATGGAGCAGAGTGAGTGGAGGTGGTGCAGGGGCCACGCTAGGGGCGTTACCTATTCTGGAAGCAGGAGAATGACATGAGATTTCCGCGTTGATGAGGTCACTGCCTGCTGTCCCATTTGCAGTAGTTCAGGTGAGACAAAACAGTCTGAACAAGGTTGCTACTGTTTTTGGTGGTGATGGTGGCCATAGAGGGAAGTGAACAGATTTGAGAAACATTTTCGAACTAATATTGATGATACTTGGGTAAGGGGATGAGGGAGAGGAGTGGTGGAGAATGGCTCTGAGCATCTGGCTTGCCCATCTGGATGGTGAAGGAGACAGAGGCTGCTGGAAGAGGACCAGGACTAGGGTCAAAGTCAGGAGTTTGGTTTGGAGCATGTTCACATTGAGGGAAGCTCTGAGCTGTTCAAAAGGGTGACACTGACCTGGAGTTCAGAGAACAAGTTGGGCCGGAGACAATTTCTACATCATCTGTAGTAGACAGATTATAGACGTGACTGAACAAGATGGGCTTAGGAGACAGCATGGAGAGATAGGAGAGCTTAGGGCCCCCACCCCTTGAGGAAAAGCAGCATGTGGTATCCAAGCAGAGGCAGCAAAGCCTGAAGGAACGTCTCCATGGCTGGCAGTCCAGGAGACCAAGCTCTGGATTACTGAGGTCAATGGAAAGAGACTCTCAAGAAGGGAGGTTGAGTGGTCCATAGAGTTAAATGCAGCCAAGAATTCAAGTCCGATGAGGCTCAAGTACGAGTTGCCATTAACAACGTAGGGATCACTGATGAATTTATCAGAGGCTGTTTTGGTGGCATGAGGAGCAGAAAGCTAGACTGAACTTGGTTAAGAAATGTGTGGAATAGAAGGAAACACACAAAAAGTGTAAGTGATGCTAATTTTTATGTATTTTAATAGAGGTGGGTTTTCGCCATGTTGGCCAGGCTGGTCTTGAACTTCTGACCTCAAATGATCTGCCTGCCTCAGCCTCCCAAAGTGCTGGGATTACAGGCCTGAGCCACTGTGCCCAGCCAATTTGGCTTAGCTTTTTATTAAATATGTACTGCTCACTAATTTTGGCCCAAAACTCTCCAATACAACTTTCAAACTCCTCTCATTATGGTCCAAGATATTTAGAAACCTGTCACATGTATGTTTTGTTTGCTCTAGACACACCCTGCAAGCTCCTCCTCCTGGCTTTCCTCTGGGCCTGCTTCATTCTCCTGGGAAGTCCCCTTACCTCGTTCATGTAACACAGTCCCTGTTTTCTTCACCTTTAACTGAGCAAATCTTTCATTTACTTCCTGAGATAAGATAATGGGAAGTCCCTTTTTTTTTTTTTTTTTTGGCTTTGCAGGTATCGAAGTGTCTTTATTTTCCTCTCCTACTTGATTGATAGTTTGCCCGACTATTGAATACTGTGTTTGAAATAATTTTCCTTCAGAATTTGAAGGCATTAATATTTACCAGTGTTGTCAAGAAGTCAGTTGCTTTTGTGATTCCCAAATCCTTTGCTATTTGACCTGATATTTTTTCAGGAAGCTTCTGGGATCTTTTCTTTAATCCCCAATGTTCATGAAGATGTGCCCTGGTATGAGTCTGTTTCTCTTCATTCATTATCCTGGGCCCAGAGTGGTTTTTTGTAGTTGTCGGTGGGTTTTTTATTTGTTTGTTTGTTTGTTTTTTGAGACAGAGTCTTGCTCTGTGGCCCAGGCTGGAGTGCAGTGGTGCAATCTCAGTTCACTGCAGCTTGGACCTTCCAGGCTTAAGCAATCCTTCCAGCTCAGCCTCCCAAGTAGCTGGGACTACAGGCGTGCACCACCAAGCCCAACTAATTTTTCCATTTTTCAGTAGAGACAGGGTTTCACCAAGCTGCCCAGGCTTGTCTCGAACTCCTGGGCTCAAGTGATCCTCCTCTCTTGTCCTCCCAAAGTGCTGGATTACAGGAGTAAGCCACCATGCCTGGTGCTATTTCTTTGATAATTATTTCCCTCTTATTTTTCTTGTTCTTTATTTGTAGAATTTCCACTACACACAAATTATTCTCCAGGACTAACCCTCTCATTTTTTTATCCTTTCTCTCTATCTTTTGTTATACTTTCTGGAAACTTCCTTAACTTTCTCTTCTAGCATTTTAAAAAATTCCTGCTCTCATATTTAAATTTCCAAAACCTCTTCTTATTTCTTTTAAGTCCTCCTGGTTTTGTTCCATGAATTTGATCATTCCTTTTGTCATCTGAGGAGGTAGGTAATTTTTTATTTCTTTGTCTTTTCCTCCGAGTATTGCTTCTTTTCCCTCTGAGTCCCTTTTCTTTGTTTGTTTTGGTCTCTGTTTTTCATGCCGGATGCATTCTGCAAATATCCAGAAATCTTGACCTTCTGTATGTACCATTTAAGAATGAGGCACAAAAACACTGACTGAATGTTCTGGTGCACTGCCGAGACCTGTTGACTGATGGGCTTCACCGTGTGGAACACAGAGGGAACCCAGCCAGTGTCAGGATTTGGAGCTCTTTTTCCTCAAACTGCCCCCTTCCTCCAAAGAGAGAACCTTTACTCTCTTGCCTTGGGATGGAGCCAGGCCAGAGAAGGGAGATTTCAGCAACACAAGTTTATTAGTCAGGGCTCTCCAGAGAAACAGAACCAACTGGGTGTTGCCTTAGTGCTGCTGTAACAGAATACCACAGACTGGGTAATTTATAAACAATAAAAATGTATTCAGCTCACAGTTCTGGAGGTTGGGAAGTTCAATATCAATGTGCCACAATCTGGCAAGGATCTTCTTGCTGTGTTGTAACAGAGCAGAAGGTTGAAATACAAGAGAGGGTTAGAGCAAGAGGGGGTTAAGCTCACTTTTATAATAAATGTACTCTCGAGATATTGACATAAATCACTTCTTAAAGGTCCCACCTCTCAACACTGTTGCATTGGAGATTAAGTTTCTAACATATGAACTTTGGGGACACATTCAAATTATTGTGTGTGTGTGTGTGTGTGTGTGTGTAGAGAGAGAGAGAGAGAGGGAGTTTGATTTTAATGAATGGCAATTCCTTCACATGATTGTGAAGACTAGCAAACCTAAAATTTGCATGGAAGGCATATTAGTCCGTTTTCATACTGCTATAAAGAACTTCCCTGAGACTGCGTAATTTGTAAAGGAAAGAGGTTTAATTTACTCACTGTCCCACATGGCTATGGAGGCCTCAGGAAACTTACGATCATGGAAAAAAAAGAAGCAGGCACCCTCTTCACAAGGCAGCAGGAGAGAGAAGAGCGAAGGAGGAACTTCCGAGCACTTATAAAACCACCAGCCCTCAAGAGAACTCACTCACTATCATAAGAACAGCATAGGGGAAACCACCCGCATTATCCAATCACCTCTCACCCTTGACGCATGGGGATTACAGATCCCTCCCTCAACACGTGTGGATTACAAATCGAGATGAGATTTGGGTGGGGACACAGAGCCAAATCATATCAGAAGGCCAACCGGCTGGCAGGCTGTAGTCCCAGGGAAGAGGTGATATGGCAGCTCAATTCCAAAGGCCATCTGGAGGCAGAATTCCTTCTTCCCCAGGTCCTCAGTCTTAAGACCGTCAACTGAGTAGATCACCCACCTTAAACGAGGATCATCTGCTTTACTCAGGTCCACTGATTTAAACATTCATCACATCTAAAAAAATGCCTTCACTGCAATATGTAGAATAAAGTGTTGAAGCAAATATCTGGGTACTATAGCTTGATCAGGTTGACTCATAAAGTTAGCCATCCAACAGAATATATCCATATTCCATTGCCCCGTACTGGTGGTAATCTCTCTGAAGTGCCCGTTCATGTCTCCACTCCTCTGTTTTCCCACATTTTTTTCTGCACTTGGCATTATCCCATTTACTAGTTTACCAGTCTGATGACTGTGAAGAGGCATTCATTGTTGTTTTAATTTGAATTTCTGATTACTAATGAATTTATGCATCTCTTCACAGACTTGTTAGTCATTCCATTTTCTCTTTCAGTGATTATTCTCTTCATAAGCATTGCCCATTTTTCTATTTGATTTGTCTTTGATCTGCAGTTTGCTTATATAATCTGGATATTAGCCTTTATGTTTTCAATGTTAGAGATAACTTTTTCAGTCTCTTATATTACTAATGCCTACCTATGTTGTCCTTTGCTTAAAAAAAAGATGTTATTTTTGATGTGCTTAAATCCATCAATGTGTTCACTTATAATTTGTGCTTTGGGGTTTTGGTGGGGTGTGGGCTCTGGATTGGTTGGTTTGCACATGAAAGGCCTGCTTCTGAGCAGGAGTCCTTTATTATCTCTGGGAACTGGCTAGCTCTGGGAGGGGCAGTCCCCCAAGTGTCAGCAAGGCCCCAAGATGTCAAAGTATCAGGAGAGAAAAACATGCTTTAGTGCCCTTCTTCCCTCACTAACTGGTGACTACCCCTTGCCCCACACCCTGCTCTGAACGTCCAGCCTTCCCGATCAACAAAAAGCCGGATGCAATCAAAGCCCCTCTGGGAGGGACTAAGACCCCACACCCCAGCTCTACCCCAAATCAAGTTCCTGGATGCAGTAGTAAAGAACCCAGACTTCCCACTGCTTCCTGGCTGTGTGGACTTGGAAATGTCAATGACCCTCACAGCAGCAGGAGATAATGACAGCTACTGCCCTCCCAGGTTTTTGGGATAAAAGTGGGTTTCCTCCTGAAGGAATTTAGGGGCATAGTGAAAAGACCTCTAGCTTCAGAGTAAAAAAGACTTTGTTCATGTCCCAGCTTTGCCACTTAGAGTTTTATAAGCTGGGAAAATTCATCGAATTTTCACAGAAATTCACCCTGATTTTCTTTTAAGAGACAAGGTCTCGCTCTGTCACCCAGGCTGGAGTGCAGTGGCACAATCATACCCACTGTAACCTCCAGCTCCTGAGCTCAAGCAATCCTCCCATCTCAGCCTTCCAAGTAAGTGGGAGTACAGGTGCATGCCACCGAGCCCAGTTAATTTTTTCATTTTTTTGTAGGGGTAAGGGGTCTTCCTATGTTGTTTAGGCTGGTTTCAAACTCCTGATCTCAAGCGATCCTCCCACCTCTGCCTCCTGAAGTGCTGGGATCACAGGCATGAGCCACTGTACCTGGTCCCCATTCTGATTTTTAAAATGGGATAATACCTGCCACGCCTATCTGAGACAAGGTTATTGCCAAGTCTAAATGAGATAGTGCAGGGAAGGCATTTGTAAAACACTCAATATTTAACATGTGTAAAGAATGTTAAGTATTAAAAATTCATCCACTGCTATGAGTCTTTCCTTGTCTAATCTAGTCTACATGTATCTGGAATAGGCATTAGCACCTTCACAGAGCTTGGAATAAGGAATTTAATAAATCTTATCTGATTTTCAAGGGGCTGGAAGACCCCAGCTGTTACCTAGGTTACACACTTTTTGAAAAGAGAGCAACAGATGGCAAATAAGCATATGAACAGATGTGCAACACCATATGTCAGGAGATCATTGCAAATGAAAGCCACAGTGAGATACCACTGCACACGTATCAGAATGCTAACATCCCCAAATATGACAATACCAAATGTGTACAGAGCAACAGGAACTCTCATTCATTGCTGGCAAGGAGTACAGAATGGTACAGCTACTTCGGAAGACAGTTTGGCAGCGTCTTACAAATTTAAACATAGTCTGATTGTACAACTCAGCAATTGTGCTCCTAGATATATACCCAGTTGAGTTGAAACGTACACCCATACAAAAAGCTACACACAGATGTTTATAGCAGCTTCATTTGTAATGGCCAAAAATTGGAAACAACCAAGATGTCCTTGAGTAGGTGAATGGGTAAACTGTAGCACATCCAGACAATGCAATGTTATTCAGGGCTAAAAAGAAGTGAGTTGTGGTTGAGCATGGTGGCTCACGCCTGTAGTCCCAGCACTTTGGGAGGCTGAGGCGGGCAGATCACGAGGTCAGGAGATCGAGACCATCCTGGCTAACACGGTGAAACCCCGTCTCTACTAAAAAAAACAAAAAAAAATAGCCGGGTATGGTGGCACGGGCCTGTAGTCCCAGCTACTCAGGAGGCTGAGGCGGGAGAATTGCTTGAACTCTGGAGGCGGAGGTTGCAGTGAGCCGAGATCGCGCCACTGCGCTCCAGCCTGGCAACAGAGTGAGACTCCATCTCAAAAAAAAAAAAAAAAAAAAAAAAATGCGCTCTCAAGCCACGAAAAGACACAGAGAAACTTTAAGTGTGTGTTGCTAATTGAAAGAAGCCAATCTGAAAAGGCTACATACTGTATGATTCCAACTGTATGACATTCTAAAAAAGGCAAAAGTATGGAGACAATAAAAGTATCTGTAGTTGGCCAAGCACGGTGGCTCACGCCTGTAATCCCAGCACTTTGGGAGGCCGAGGCCAGCAGATCATCTGAGGTCAGGAGTTCGAGACCAGCCTGACCAACGTGGAGAAACCCCATCTCTACTAAAAATACAAAAATTAGCCGGGCATGGTGGCGCATGCCCGTAATCCCAGCTACTCGGGAGGCTGAGGCAGGCGGAGGTTGTGGTAAGTCAAGATGGCACCATTGCACCCCAGCCTAGGCAACAAGAGCGAAACTTTGTCTTAAAAAAAAAAGTATCTGTGGTTGTCAGGGATGGAGGGTGGGGAGAAGGAGGGATGAGTGGACAGAGCACAGAGGAATTTGAGGGCAGTGAAACTGTTCAGTGTGACACTGTATGTTGTATGATGTAGGCATGACATTCCGCATTTATCAAGACCCATAGAACAGTATAACACAAAGTGACCTTGGTATAAAGCATAGAATTCAGTTAATAATAGTGTATCAATATTGGCTCATTGATGGTGACAAATGTACCACACTAATGCAAGATGTTAATAAACAAGGGAAGCTGGTGGGAGGAAGTACGTAGGAACTATCTGTACCATCTGCTCAATTTTTCTATAAATCGAAACCTCCCAAAACATAAAATCTATTAATTAACTGGTCACAGCCAGCCCCAGGGAAAGGCAGTCTCCCAACAGATACCTGATCCTCACGTGAAACTGACCTTCAGCTTCCCAGTAAGATCTCAGGAGTGGGGAGAAGTGACGCAAGACCCCAGAAATATGCCAATGTAGAAAACCACGAGTCAAGAGGTCACGCCATGCACTTGTTTGCTTGGTTTCTCGAGCTGCTCACTTGGTCCTCTTCCTAGTGCACTTTCCTTCCTTTCTTTCCTTTCCTTCCTTTTCTTACTGTTCTAAAACTTTTTAATGAACTTTTACTCCTGCTTTGGAAATTGTTTTATTAATTTTATGTTTTATTTTATTTTTTGTTAAAAAAAGACAGAGCAAACTGACAATTTTTTTTCTTTGTGATGGAACTATGAGTGATACTCTTTTGTTTCTATTTGGCTATAACCCCAAAATTCCAACAGTGAGGTTTTATTTTTGTGTTTTCTAAATTTTTTTAATTACATGATTGATACATAAAAACTTCCTTATTGAAAAAATTCAGAGGCTCTGTGCAGTGGCTCAAGCCTGTAATCCAAGCACTTTGAGAGGCTGAGGCAAGAGGATCACTTGAGCCCTGGAGTTCAAGACCAGCCGGGGCAACATAACATGCATCTCTAAAAAAATAAATAAATAATGAAAACAATAAATTAGCCAGGAATGGTGGAACGTGTCTGTGGTCCCAGCTAGTTGGGAGGCTAAGGTGGGAGGATCGCTTGAGCCCAGGGGTTTGAGGCTGCAGTGAGCTGATTGGACCACTGCACTCCAGCCCGGGTGACAGAGCAAGCCCCTGTCTCAAAAAAAAAAAAAAAAAAAAGAAAGAAAGAAAGAAGGAAGGAAAGAAAGAAAGGGAGGGAAAGAGGGAGGGAGGGAAGAAAGAAAGAAAAGAGAAAGAAAGAAAGAAAGAAGAAAGAAAGAGAAAGAAAAAGAAAGAGAGAAAGAAAGAAAAAGAAAAGAAAGGAAGAAAAAAAAGAAAGGAAGAAGAGAAAGAAAGAGTCAGAATACTATAAAAGTATTTAGAGTGAAAAGGCAATCCTATTTCATTCCTGAGTTGTAGTCATATACAATTTGGTGTGAATTGTTACAAATCTTCTCTATGCATTTACATGGATGTACCTATACCAATAAGGGGTTGTATCCATTAGAAATGCGTTCATCTAGAATCTTTTACTAAAAGTGACTTAAATAAATGGTGTTTTTATTTGACTCACAATCCAAGAATTCTGTACATAAATAGGTCTGAGAGTTAGCTCAGAGGCTCAGTGACATTAGGTGGCCCCACTGTCTTAGTGATTGTTTTTTATTTTTTGTTATTTATTTATTTATTGAGACAAGATCTCACTTTGTCACCCAGGCTGGAGAGGAGGGGCGCGATCTCAGCTCACTGCAGCCTCGACCTCCTGAGTTCAAGTGACCCTCCTGCCTCTTTCCCCCAAGTAGCTGGGACTACAGGCATGCACCTCCATGCGGGGCCAATTTTTTTATTTTTTGTAAAGATGGGGTTCCGCCATGTTGCTCAGGCTGGTCTCAAACTCCTGGCCTCAAACCATCCGCCTGCCTCGGCCTCCCAAAGTGCTGGGATTTCAGGCATGAGCCACCATGCCCAGCCTGTCTTAATGATTTTCAGGGGCTTTCCTTTGTGTTCTTGACCTTGAGGCTGCAAGATGGCCCCTCCCACAGTCCACCTGCTACATTCCTGTGTGTTCAATGTAGGAAAAAGAGGAAAGGGCTGCTGTATTCAGCCTTTCATCAGGAAAATATTTCCCAGAAGCCCACCAACAGACTTCCATACATTTCATTTGCCAGGTGTGTCCCATGGCCACCTCTAGATGCAGTGGAAGCTAGAAAGGCCAGTGTTTAACTCTTTCAACCACCAGAAGGAACGACATCAAAGAAGGCAGTTGACAATTGCTTTTCAGACAGCCAACAGCTGTATCTGACAAAACATCTGTTTTTTCATTTCTATATGTTTTCAATTAACAATATATCTTACATAGTCTCTGTCAGTACATTGATATCATTCTTTTTCATTCCACATGGTATTCCATAGCATAAACAGACGAGAATATATGTTTCAAGTTGATAAACATTTAGATTGCTCCTAATTTTCTGTGATTTCAAACAATGCTGCCCCAAATTCCTTGCACAAGTTTCTTCAAGCAGATGTGGAACTGTTGCTCTAGAATTAACAGAATAACGATAAGTGTAGTTATTTGTCCAAGGATAAGTGTATTTGAAACTTTGGTAGATTCTCCAGAATTGCTCTCAAAAATAGACCAATTTAACTGGGTGTGGTGGCATATACCTGTAACCACAACTGTTTGAGAGGCTGAGGTAGGAAGATCACTTGAGCCTTAGAGTTTGAGACCAGTCTGGGCAACCTAGTGAGACCCCCATCTCTATTATATATATATAAGAACTAAAACTTTTAAAAAGTTGACCAATTTATATCTCCACCGACACTATATTCAAGTGCCTGTTTCCCACATCCCTAGCAACAGTGGAAAATCTAAATTTTGTCTAAATAAGGAGCAAAGGTATCACTTCGTTTTATTCTTATTTACTGGACTACTGGATGTTTCCATTGATTCTCTACGTTGTGTTTATAGTAGATAATTGTAGTAACTGCAAATAATAGTCATCTCTTTTTGATGTTTGTACCTTTTATTTGGATTGGCCTTTCTTTAATTTGGGGAGGATTTTAAAAAGCTGTTTTCAGTTGAATGCTTAGTTCATTTGTGTTTATTACTGTCTAATCAGTACCTTTGAAGCTGCACGTTTATCCAGGCTACTGCTTTGTCATCATCCACAGGCTTTGCTATATAATGGTTTTTATGACTTTATTTCTAAACTATTTATTTTTTCAGTGTTTTTTTTTTTGTAAATTGGAAAAGGGAGCTTATTATATATTCATTTGTTACTTTGTATACCTGTTACCTTAAACAATTGAAAATTACACACTCAGTAATACAAACTTCAAGCAGGTTGGGCACCATGGCTAATGCCTGTAATTCCACCATATTCGGAGGCAAATGCAGGTGTATTGCTTGAGCCAGGAGTTCAAAACCAGCCTGGGCAACATGGCAAAACCCTGTCTCTACAACAAATAAAAAAATTACCCAGGCGTGGTGGCACACGCCTGTAGTCTCAGCTACTTGGGAGGGTGAGGTGGGAGGATCACCTGAGTTTGGGAAGTCAAGGCTGCAGTGAACTGGGATTGCACCACTGCACTCCAGCCTGGGCAACAGTGAGACCCTGTCTCAAAAATAAATAAATAAATAAATAATAAAATAACATAAAAACTTCAAGCAAATACTTCATACATGTGGCTAATTGTAAAAATTCCATGTTCACCCCCACTCTCTTCCCCAGAAGTAATCACTACTAATAGTTTTGGATTCTCTTTCTTAAGTTACTATATGCATAATTTCATTTTTTATTTCCTCTTTTGCAGTCATTTTTGTTGTTGTGGACATCCTGCAATTTTGGATTGCGGCTTTTCTTTATGGCCTGGTCTCTAGTTTTTATTCTTGTACCTTAAGTGTGTAAAAATAATGTAGTCTCTTTTGGGAGCTATAAAATTCTACATAGAGTTATTTGTAAAATGTGTTAATTGATTTGAACCCTACATATTCTCACTTAAATTTTGTTTATTTGTCAATATCTGAGAAAGGGGAATTTTTTAACTCTTCCCACCATGATTATGAATTCATACATTTCTCTTTGAATTTCTATCAGTTTATGCCTTATTGTTTTGAAGCTGTTATTAGGTACATAAAGATTTGTAACTACAGTCATGCACCACATAAGGACATTTTGGTCAATGACAGACTGCATACACAGAATGGGCCTCATGAGATTATAGTGGATAATATAACAGAGCTAAAAAATGTCTACTGCCAAGTGACATAGCCATCATAATGTTGTAGCACAATGCATTACCTCTTCTATGTTTAGACAGATTCAAATACACAAATACCATCATGTTACGATTGTCTAAAGTATTCAGTACAGTAACGTGCTGTACAGGTTTGTAGCCTAGGAGCAATAGGTCATACCATATGGCCTAGATGTGAAGGAGACTATAGCATGTAGTTTTTGGAAGTACACGCCATGATGTTTGCATGACAAAATCACCTAACAGCTCATTTCTGGAACGAACCCCCCTTGTTAAGCAATGCATGACTGTATTATAACTCCTTGGCAAACTGGAACTTTTATAACTAAGAATCACACTCTTATCTTATGATAAGTTTCACTTTGAATTTTATTTTTTCGATACAAATAATGCTCTATGTTCTTTTTATTATTGTTTAAAATATATTTTTTTCAAATTTTTTAAAGTTTTATTTTATGTTTAATTGATAAATAGTAATTGTATATGTTTATGGGATACAATGTGATGTTTCAATACATGTATAAATCATGGAATTGTTTTTTTTTTGTTGTTGTTGTTGTTTTGAGACAGGATTTCACTTGGTCGCCCAGGCTGGAGTACAGCGGTACAATCTTGGCTCACTGCAACCTCTGCCTCCTGGGTTTGAGAGATTCTCCTGCCTCAGCCTCCCCAGTAGCTGGGATTATAGGTGCCTGCCACCACACCCCTAATTTTTTTCTATTTTTAGTAAAGATGGGGTTTCACCTTGTTGGCCAGGTTGATCTCGAACTCCTGGTCTCAAGTGATCCACCTGCCTCAGCCTCCCAAAGTACTGGGATTACAGGAATGAGCCACCGCACCCAGCTGGAATTCTTTTTTCATGTTTTTTTGTTTTTCTTTCTCAACTCTCCTATAACATTTTAGTTTAGGAAGATCTCCTATATACTGTGTATTCTTGGATTTGAGGGTTTTTTTTTTCTTAACCCAATCTGAGGGACATTTAATAGAACATTTAAACCCATTTTATTTATTGTGAGTAGTGGTGTACTTAGATTTATTTCTAATTATCTTTTATTCCTAATTTTTTTTTTTTACCATGCTTTCTTATTCTTTTTAATTTCCAACTATTGGATTGCAGTTGTTTTCTAATGATTTGGGAATTCTACATTATGATCCTATTTTTTTGTGTGTGATAGCCTTTAAATTCATTTTTATCTGTTAAAATCTAGTGCTAATCAGAATACACATTATTCCACTGAATACTCTTAGTCTGGGTGGTGGGCAACTGACGACTTTGAGCTTGGAGGGCCTCCTTATTAAAGATGTATTTTCTTTCATTTTACGGGATTTGGGGTGGGAGGAGAAACAGGTACATGATGTCTTGGTTGCCAATTTGATCCAATCTCGATTCTGTTATTATAAGGGGAAAGTAACTGGAAAAGCTCATTTTAAAACAAAAAGATGAGAGGATCATTTTGGGAGATCAAGGTGGGTAGGTCACTTGAGGCCAGGAGTTCAAGACCAGCCTGGCCAACATGGTGAAACCTTACCCAGGCATGGTGGCACGCACCTGTAATCCCAGCTACTCAGGAGGCTGAGGCAGGAGAATCGCTTGAGCCGGGGAGGCAGAAGTTGCAGTGAGCCGAGATTGCACCACTGCACTCCAGCCTGGGTAACAGGTGAGACCCTGTCTCAAAAAGAATAAGGAGAGGGTTATACTCAAGGAAAAGGAATTTTGTTGTGGGAAGTTTTCAGGCATCAGAGTCCAGTTTATTTGGGGTCTTGGAGAGTTCTTAGGCCAACTCAAATTATAACACAAAGGTGAACTTCTCTTCCAAGCATGAGTTCAGCTCTGCTTGTTGTGTCCGGTTTGACACTTAGACAGAGAGGAATGAACGAAGGGAGCCTGCAGAGTCAGGATATGAGGAAAGCAGGAGTCTAGGAGAGCCAGAGAGACACCATTTTACAATCAACTCCATCTTAAAGCTAGTAAGGCACATCCTTGCCAGTCACATGGTCATAAGATGTTTACAGCTGAGAAAACAAGTCAAAGACACCTGCAAGGACACACCCCTATAACAACAGAAAGTCCACATGCCCCAATACCCATAGCAATATGTGCTTGTAAGATAATTACAGTTATGCGGCTGGGCGGGGTGGCTTACGCTTGTAATCCCAACACTTTGGGAGGCTGAGGCGGATGGATCACGAGATCAGGAATTCGAGAGAAGCCTGGCTAACATAGTGAAACCCCGTCTCTACTAAAAATACAAAAATTAGCTGGGTGTGGTGGCATGTGCCTGTAGTCCCAGCTACTTGGGAGGCTGAGGCAGGAGAATCGTTTGAACCCGAGAGGCAGTGGTTGCAGTGAGCCGAGACCGTGCCATTGCACTCTCTGAGCAACAGAGCGAGACTCTGTCTCAAAAAAAAAAAAAAAAAAAAAAAAAGATAATTAGAGTTATGCTTTGATGTACTTACACTCTTAAATGTCAAGGGTAGTTTTCTTTAAGTCAATAGAAGAATCCATTTTGTCATGCTGTCTGCCCATCTGCACCTAAACACAGCTTAGCTTTAGTCTCTACTTAGACAAGACCCTCTATGAGAAAAACTTAAAGATGGTGCGTTCCTCCGCTTGCTCTCTGAGGTCACCCTGCTCTGCAATGGAGAATTTCTAATAAACTTGCTTCTTTCACTGCATTCTGTGATTCACCTTGAATTCCTCCCTATGTGAGATCTGAAAACCCTCTCCTGGGGTCTGGATCGGGACCTTTTTTCTGTTAACAAGATGATAGCTTCACTTTCTGGCTAAAGAGTCAGGGCCACGGACAAGAAGCCAAGTCCCGTTGTAAGTTTGAGTGGTCATTACCAAGATTTGAGCTGAAGAGAGGTCAAAAGTTGTTGCAAATTACACCCAGGATTTGTTTTAACATGCAACATGAAAATTGCTGTCATGAGGGAAGAAGTTTTTTATATTCACAGACCCCTAGAAAGAGGAAGTACGGCACACCACGCAGGGTCACATGGGGAGGCACCAGGGTGGGTCAGGAGGGGGAGGGAGAGAGGCTGGAAACACCAGCAAGAGCCTTTATTGTGGTTTCCATGGTAACGGCCAGGCAAGGCAGGGCGAGCAGGCTGAGGACTGCCAGTGGGCTCTGCAGCATAGGAGCTGCCCCTAGTTTCCTCATACCTGGCCCTAGGGTAGTTAGGGCAGAGGCCCGGAGTTTCATCCTCTGTCATAGAGACAGGTGGGGGTGTGGACCTTGGATTGGCTGGTTTCCAATATGGAAGGCACACTTGCAGGCAAGTGGTTACCATCTCCAGGAATTAGCTGGCCCCGGGAAAGGTGGTCTCTCCAAGATCAGCAAGGCCGCAGATGCCAAATCATCAGCAAATACAGAAAATAAAACAACGTGAGGAATACAAAAGTTTCAGTTCAACATGGGAACTGAGGATCATGAAACAAGGATAGTCAAAGTGCTGGCAAATTGGAAGGGAAGAAATGGTTATATGGGAGTTAGCCAGACATGGTGGCACACACCTGTGGTCCCAGGTACTATGGAGGCTAAGACAGGAGGATACCTTGGGCCCAGGAGCTCAAGGCTGCAGTCAGCTACAATCACACCACTGCACTCCAGCCTGGGCAACAGAGAAAGACCCTGCCTTTAAAAAATAAATTATAAAAATAAAATAAAATAAATGGTTATATGAGGACCTACTAGTTCTTTAACAAGGACCTCTGGGGATGCTTTAAGGCTGCCCACAAACAGGCTGACTTTAGCCTTCTAGTGTCTTATGTCTAATGTCTTAAAGGCAAACCTTCATGTAGTTTAGAAACAGAAAATGGTCTTCCCAGCTAGAACATTTTGTCTCCCCAGCTCATGGAACACAAAAATAAAGGCAAATGTCTGTGCAAAGAATTTTTTTTTAATGAGTGAATTTATGTGAAAAACTTGACAAAGATATACAATTTAAATCACATTTAACTGGTACATTTAGCAATTCATCTCCATTCCAATGAATAAAATAACAACCATCTGAGCTATTCCAGAAAAACCCTGCAAGGCAGCCTGCTCCTCTGCGTGCGGGGACGTCTGCTTTCCATTAGGTTGAGGATAGATCCAGCTCCCCCTGCTGATGCACTTCCAAGGAAAAGGCAGACGAAGGGAGAGGCTGCCAGGCTGGCAGAAGGGCACATGTACAGGATGGCCATGTGCAAATCCACCCAAGTGGACCAGCCATATTCCCTGCAATCTCTGATGCAGCCAAGTCCAGCTGAGACATTAAACAGAGTCCGTGGTGACAGGAAGCTGAGGCTGCCTAGAGCCAATGCGTCTGGTGTAATTGAAAAGGTCTTTGGCCAGTGGCACTGGGGGCAACAAGTGCCGTCCTCTGAGATGGCTGAGGCCATTCCTCCACCCCCTTCCTCTGCGGTCTTGGCAACTGCACTTGCTCCAGCACAAAGAAACGCTGAAGCTGCAGGACGGTAGTGACCCAAAAGAAAGAAGGGTACCGTCAATTCCTTCTCAGCTTCCCATCAGGACAGAGGCATCGAAGCCACTGGCTATGGGTTCCCATCCATTGTTGTAACCATCAAACATGAGCACACTCCCTCCAAGCCAGGAACTGGGCAACGTGCTGTGTGCATAACCCAGCTATGTGCTGGTGATGCCAAGAAAAACCCCAGGCTGCCCTTTCATAAGGTCAGCACCCAAGACCCGGGCGAAGAAGGAAGGAGAGCAAGGAGTCTCCCAAAACCAGCAATCACTTCTCGCTGGTTGGACCGGACAGTGCTGGGAGTGGAAACAAGACACATCCTCTCCACTCTCAGGAATTCAGTCTAGTGAGGAAGCCAAGGAAGGAATGCAAACAAACACTTCTGAGCCGACGTGGTGTGTACAGTGAGAGGAGTGTGGATTTAGCATAGAAATAGCACAGTGGGGCATTTGAGCTGCATTTTAAAGCATAGAAAGGATTTCAGCAGAGCAGGGAGGAGAGAGAATTGATGATCCAGCCAGAGGAGCACAGTGTGCACAGGCAGGGAGGCAGATGCTCAGCACACGCTCAGGAGAGGCAGGGGGCTGACTGCGGCTGGAGGGAAGAAATGCAGGGGCCAAGAGGGTCCCTCTTAATAGTCAGAGGGACCAGGGGGTGGGAGGCCCTGGAAAGCCAGAGAGGAGGTTATGTGCAGTTGGTTCATCCATCAGTCATTTTTTTCTTTTTATTAAAGACGGAGTCTCACTCTGTCACCCAGGCTAGACTGCAGTGGCGCAATCTCGACTCACTGCAACCTCCATCTCCTGGGTTCAAGCAATTCTCCTGTCTCAGCCTCCCAAGTAGCTGGGATTACAGGCACGCACCACGATGCCAAGCTAATTTTTTGTATTTTTAGTAGAGATGGGGGTTTCACTATGTTGGCCAGGCTGGTCTCGAACTCCTGACCTCTGGTGATCCACCTGCCCTGGCCTCTCAAATTGCTGGGATTACAGGTGTCAGCCACCGTGCCCAGCCCATCAGTTATTTTTGAATTAGGGGCATGAGGTCAGAGCTGCACTTTGGGAGATCTCTCTGGCCACATTGGTGAGGTGGGGCAGGAAACTCCAGAGGCAGAAGACGGTCAAGGCCTTGACAATGGTCACACGGGAGGGAGGGACTCCTGCCTAGAGGTGACGGCCCAGGAAATGAGGGCCATGAAAGGAAAGAAGCAGCCAGACTTGGAGCAGGAAAGGGGAGGCCATGGAGAGAGAAAAGCTAGATATGACTTGAGTTTCCAGCACAAAAGACTGAGAAAAGAGTGATTTAATAAGGAGAAAGGAAAGAGGAAGGCAGAAAGGAGGGCTGCTCACAGAGAGGTTCTGAGTTCTGAGAGGTGCCCAAAGGTGGGAGGTTACTGGTAGATGCAGGGCTGGTGCTGCGAGGAGAGGTCACGGTAAGGGACAATCATGACATCCATTGGGACAGCACTTATTTACATGGTCCCCTGGATGCTCCTGCTCATGACACCTGGTGAGGTTGGCTCAAGCTGGTGTCATTTCCACCAGCTGAGCGATAAGAAAACAGGAAGAGTCCTGCTAGAATTAGAGCCTGGGTAAGTGCCCGAGTCATTTACCCAGTGAGCTGAGATCACGCCACTGCACTACAGCTGGAGCGACAGAGCAAGACTAGGTCTCAAAAAAAAAAAAAAAGAATTTGTCAAACGGATGAATAACTAACTGGACCCTCCATGGCGTTCTTCCTTTCCTGAGCTAAGGAAGTTTGTCTTGGACCCCATGGACGGTCCAGTTAGTCATTCACTCATTTGACAGATTTTTTTTTTTTTTTTTGTGAGACAAAGTCTTGCTCTGTCACCCCAGCTGGAGTGCAATGGCATGATCACAGCTCCCTGGAATCTCAACTCCTGGGCTCAAGCAATCCTCCCACCTCAGCCTCCCTAGTAGCTGGAATTACAGGCCCATGCTACTATCACTGGCTAATTTTTTTTTTTTTTTTTTTTGAGACAGAGTCTTGCTCTGTCGCCCAGGCCGGAGTGCAATGGCACGATCTCAGTTCACTGCAAGCTCTGCCTCCTGGGTTCACGCCATTCTCCTGCCTTAGCCTCCCGAGTAACTGGGACTACAGGCGCCACCACCATGCCTGGCTAATTTTTTATTTTGTGTAGAGGTAGGATCTCACTATGTTACCAGGGCTAATCTTGAACTCCTGGGCTCTTTTCCTAATATTTAAAACTTAACAAAAGTCTTTGTTCTTCACTAAGTACCAACAATTGATGTCTATGAAGGAGGTTTCCAATACACCATGTCCATGGCAGCCTCATTCACAATAGCCAAAAGGCAAAAGCAACCCTAGGTCCATCAACAGATGAATAGATGAACAAAATGTGGTTTACCCACCCAATGGAATAGTATTTGGCCTTTAAAAAGGGAGGAAATTCTGACCCATGCCACGACATGGGTGAACTTTGAGGATATTATGCTAAGTGAAGTCAGCCAGACACAAGAGGATGAATATCAAGTGATTATACTTACATGAGGTCCCTAGAGAAGTCAAATTCATAGAGGCAAAAAGTAGAGGCTGGGTGTGGTGGCTCACATCTGTAATCCCAGAACTTTGGGAGGCTGAAGTGGGAGCGTCACCTGAAGCAAGAGGTTTGAGACCAGCCTGGGCAACATAGTGAGACCCTGTCTCCACACACACACACACAAAAATTAAAAAACTAGCCGTGTGTGGTGACACACACCTGTAGTCCTAGCTACTTGGTTGGCCCAGGTGGGAGGATTGATTGAGCCCAGGTGTTCAAGGTTGCAGTGAGCTATAATTACACCACTACAGTCCAGACTGGGCCACACAGCAAGATTCTCTCTCTTTCTCTCTCTCTGTGAAGAAGAAGAAGAAGGAGAAGGAGAAGGAGGAGGAGGAGGAAGGAGAAGGAGGAGGAGGAGAACGGAGGAGGAGGAGGAGGAGAAAGTAAAGTGATGGTTGCCAGAAGCTGGGGGGGAGGGGAGGTGGGTATTATTTAATGGGTACAGAGTTTCAGTTTAGAATGATGAGAAGCATTCTAGAGATGGTTAAAAATGGTTATCCAGGCATAGTTGCTCATACCTGTAATTCCAGCACTTTGGAAGACTGAGGTGGGAGGATCACTTGAGCCCAGGAGTTCGAGACCTGCCTGGGCAACATGCTGAAACTCCGTCTCTACAAAAAATACAAAAATTAGCCAGGCAAGGTGGCGTGTGCCTGTGGTCCTAGCTACTTGGGATTCTGAGGAGGGAGGATCGCTTGAGCCCAGAAGGCAGAGGTTGCAGTGAGCCAAGATGGCATTCTAGCTTGGGTGACAGAGAGGGATTCTGTCTAAAATAATAATAAATAAAAATGGTTGCAAAGTAAATAGTGACTTTTATCTTAAGTGTGTTTTACTGCAGTATTTTTGGACAGAGGTTTCCAGGCCACCAGCAGGAAAGAGCAAATCTCTTCCCCTGTCTGGTCCTCAGTCTCGTCATCTTTAATAAGAGGGGCCGAACTAGAGGCTGCTGGGTCTGCAGTCTAATGTTTCCATGGTAACCACAATAGGCAGTTGCCTGGCAGGCAGGATCTCACCTGGCCTCCCTCCCATCCACTCCATTCTCTAAGCCGCCACACAGAGAACAAACATCAGCATCTGGTGCCTCTCTCTGCATCTCACGCCACCACTTTGCGATGCTGAAGTTCAGATCTTCAAGCGGGCCCTGCCCTGGTTTATTTCCATGCAGTCACACCTCACCCCCTCCTCTCCACTCTAGAACGCCTTCTCCCCCTTCTCATACCCACCCTCAACCTTGCTCATTTTTGAGCTCCTCCCCTTCCTGCACATTCTTTGTGGTTCAGCTGGAATGTCCCTTCCTCCAGGAAGCCTTCCCTTCCTGACTGCCTAGATGACGTTACGACCTCTGTTCATGCACCCATGGCACCCCGCCTCCTCCCAAGGAAAGATGGTCATGCAACAAAGCCCCGTAAGGGTGAGAAATTTCAGACAGCAAGACAAGGAAGAGTCTTCCCCGATGGCTTTTATCTACATTAGAGAGGGGCTTGTGAGCATGGGCTTTGGACTCAGAACCCACAGGACTGGAAACCCCAGCTCTCCAGCAGCTGTGTGCCCTTGAGCAAGTTGCTTCACTGCTCCTAGTCACCCTCCTCTCTGTAAAGCTGGGATCAAATTTCCTACCTCTCCAGGGTCTTGAAAATGGAGGGAAGTGGCTGGCATAGGAACAGACCATATCCATGTGGCTTTGGACTCCAGTCATTCCCCCACCAGTTAACGTCCTCCCTTCTTCTTACCTAGACCCTCCAGTTCTTACCTGTGCCCTAGTTTTTCTCCAGTTCATTTCCTAACAGCCAGGTTGGCTTTCTAAAAGCTTTTTTAAAGCTTTCTAAAGTTTTCTGGGACAGAGTTTTGCTCTGTCGCCCAGGCTGGAGTGCAATGGCACAATCATGGCTCACTGAAGCCTTGACCTCCCAGGTTCAGGCAATTCTCCTGCCTCAGCCTCCGAAGTAGCTGGGACTACAGGCACATGCCGCCGCACCTGGCTAATTTTTTTTTAATTTTTAGTAGAGACAACATCTTAATATCTTGTGGGGCTGGTACTGAACTCCTGGCCTCAAGCGATCCTCCCGCCTCAGCCTCCCAAAGTGCCGAGATTATAGGCGTGAGCCACCATGCCCAGCCTAATTGCACTTTTTGTGTGTGCATTTACATTTTTTTCATTTTGGTTTTAGCAGATTTATTAATGTATAATTGACATACAGTAAACTGCACGTAAGTGTACAGTTCTACACATTGTGACACAGACACACACCCATGAAAAAAATCACAATCAAGATAATGAATTTATCTATTGCCCCTCAAAACTTCCTTGTGCCCTTTGGTAATCTCTTCCTCCTTCATTCCCCTCCTTCTTCTCAGGCAACTACTGACTGGCTGTCACCATATACTAGTTTGCATTAAGTGTAATTATACAGCATATACTCTTTTTTGCCTGCCTTTTTTCATTCAGCATAATTATTTTGAGATTCATCTGTAGAGTGGCAACAGTTCATTTTTTTAATCGTTAAATCATTTTTGAAATCACATACGCATATATGCTGTATGCATATACCAGAGTTTACCTGTTTTTTTGTTTTTGTTTTTGTTTTTGTTTTTTTTGTTTTTTGTTTTTTTGAGACAGTCTCACTCTGTCACCCAGGCTGAAGTGCAGTGGTGCCATCTCAGCTCACTGCAACTTCTAACTCCTGTGTTCCAGCACTTCTCATGCCTCAGCCTCCCGAGTTGCTGAGACTACAGGTGCCTGCCACCACACCCAGCTAATTTTTGTATCTTTAGTAGAGATGGGGTTTTGCCATGTTGGCCAGGCTGCTCTCAAACTCCTGACCTCAAGTGATCCGCCTGCCTCGGCTTCCCAAAGTGCTGGGATTACAGGCGTGAGCCACGGCGGCTGGCCAGTTCTTTATTTTTATTTTTATTTTTTGATTGTTGAGTGACATAGTGCTGTATGCATATACCACAGTTTGTTTTTTTCAGTTACCTGTTGATGGACATCGTGTTCCTACCAAGAGGAACTTCCATTTCTCCTGGGTAAATATCTAGGAATGCAATGGCTTGATCATAGGGTAGTACTGTTTAACTTTTCAACAAAGTGCTGAATTATTTTCCAAAGTGGTTGTACCCTTTTACATTCTCACCAGCAGTGCATGAGAGTTCTATTTGCTCTGCATCCTTGTCATCAGCTGGTAAGGTCAATCTTTTTTCATTTCAGCCATCGTGAGAGGTGTGTCATGGAGCCTTCTGATGGTTTCATGACTAAGGATGCTGAGTACCTTTTCACGTGCTTGTTTGTTATCCGTGTATCTTGTTTGGTAAATTGTCTCTTCAAAAGAAGTTTCAAAAAAAAACAAACTGCAAAAGCTAAATCTGTTCTGTAAATTTTTCCATGAGCTTAGTTTCTGTGCTTGATTTCACTATCTAAAGCTATTATGATTTTTTCACATTAAAAAAATCATGGTGCTGTATATGTGTGTGTGTGTGTGTGTATATATATATATATATATATATATATATATATAAACTTTATCATTTTAACCTTGGCTAAGTGTACAGATCAGTGGCAATTAAGAACTGTAGGAGAGGAGAAGAAATTTTTCTCTACCCTTCATACTTCTTAGTTGCGGCTGACCCCTGAAAAAAAAGACAGATTATTAAGAGAAAAGCAAACAAAAGTTTAATAACGTGTACTTTCTGTATATATGGAAGATACACAAAGAAATGAGTGAATATCAAAGAGATGGCTTAGAAAATCAGGCCGAGATTATCATCTTCAACTGAAACAAAGAAAGAAGGGTGTGGAGAAGGCTCATTAGAAGAAGATGTTGGCTAGGCGCCCTGGCTTATCCCTGTAATCCCAGCACTTTGGGAGGCTGAGGCGGGCCAATCACTTGATCTCAGGAGTTTGAGACCAGCCTGGCCAACATGGTGAAACTCTGTCTCTACTAAAAAAAAAAAAAAAAAGCCAGGGGTGTAAGCGTGTATCTCTAGTCCCAGCTACCTGGGAGGCTGAGGTAGAAGAATCCCTTGAACCCAGGAGGCAGAGGTTGCAGTGAGCCTACATCATGCCACTGCACTCCAGCCTGAGCGACAGAGCAAGCCTCCATCTCAAAAAAAAAAAAAAAAAAAAAAAAAAAAAAAAAAAAAGATGCCCAGGAAAAAGTACAGTAAACAAGGATGAGATTTGTGATGCAGATTTAAATCCACATCTTGGCCATTGATAAGAGTCTAGTGATTTAGAATTACCTGTCACCTGTCTCTTCCGGGTACTGAGACACCCTTACAATAAAGATTTCCTTTATAGATGTAAATTCCCCTTACAAAGAGTAACTTCTACTCTGTTTTCAGAATTTCTCCTGTGTCTGCAGTTTCTCAAAATAATCAGCTCAAAATAATCCTTATGTCAAAGAGGCATATTTTGGGATAGCATATTCTGGTCTCCTATCATACACCCGCATCATGCAATTATCACTCCCACCCATCTCCAGAACTTTTATCATCTCCCCAAACTAAAGCTCTGTAAACATTAAACAACCATTCTCCACTACTTCCCATTGCTACCGGTAACCACCTTTCTACTTTCTGTCTTTATAAATTTGACTCCTCTAGGCACTTCATATAAGTGAAATTTCACAGTTATTTGTCTTTTTGTGACTGGCTGATTTCACCTAACATAATGTCCTCAAGGTTCATCCATGTTCTAAGTAGCATGTGTCAGAATTTCCTTTCTTTTTTTATTTATTCATTTTTTTTTTTTTGAGACAATCTTGCTGTGTCGCCCAGGCTTGAGTGCAATCATGGCTCACTGCAGCCTTGAACTCCTGGGCTCAAGCCGTCCTCCCACTTAAGCCTCCTGAATTGCTGGGACTACAGATGCACACTACCATGCCTGGTTATTTTTTTTTTTTTTTTCCTTTTGTACAGCCAGGGGCCAGCTATGTTGACCAGGCTGGTTTCAAACTCCTGGCCTCAAGCGATCCCCTGCCTCGGCCTCCCAACGTGCTGGGATTACAGGTGTGAGCCACTGCACCCGGCCAGAATTTCCTTGGTTTGTTGGGCTAAATACCATTGCATTGTATATCTAGATTGCATTCTGTTTATTAATTTATTTGTCCGTGGACACTTGGGTTGCTTCTGCCTTTTGGCTATTATGAAAAATGTCGCTAGGAACATAAGTGTACAAATATTTGTTCAATCCCTTATTAATTAATTTTTAATTCATTGCATTTTAATTGTCTCTCATTGCCTACAGCAGTGCCTGACATATAGCAGGCATCTAATACACATGTGTGAATTTAACAACCAAATGAATGAAATAACAAATCCCAAACTGGATACCAACTCAGACACAGAGCTATATCGTTTGCCCTGTGGGTGCCACTCATGGTCTCCTAATGCAAAGAGGCTGAGTCAGCTAAGCAACTGATGTCTTTGGATCCCGCTCAAGAAGTTAGGAAAACAAACACTTCCTCTGCCTGGTTTGTCACCCTTGCCTCAGATTGTTGTCCCACGGGAGGCCCAGCTGCCTGCAATCTTTGGGTGAATAATAGGATAGTAATCCAGGAGGCAGCATAGCTGAGGCCACTCAGAGAAGGAAGAATTCTTCCTCTGAGATACCTGAGCTGAGGAAGGTCTGGAACAGTCACTACATTCCAGACCTTCCCATGCAATAACAATACTATTGTAGCTAATATTTCTTTCTTTCTTTCTTTTCTTTTTTCTTTTTTATTTTTTTTGAGACAGAGTCTCACTCTGTCGCCCAGGCTGGAGGGCAGTGGTGCGATCTCGGCTCACTACAACCTCTACCTCCCGGGTTCAAGTGATTCTCCTGCCTCAGTCTCCAGAGTAGCTGAGACTGCAGGCATGCACCACCATGCCTGGCTAATTTTTTGTATTTTTAGTAGAGACAGGGTTTCACCGTGTTGGCCAGTCTGATCCCGAACTCCTGACCTCCAGTGACCCACCCACCTCGGCCTCCCAAAGTGCTGAGATGACAGGTGTGAGCCACTGCACCTCACGTAGCTAACATTTTTGTGTACTTATGTGTGCCGGGTACTTTATAAGCAGTATCTCATTTAATTGCTAAATTAGCCTGAATTAGGCACTGTAAGCTCCTGTTTTACAAAACAAAAAGCAAAGGCACAGAGAAGTTAATTAACTTGTCCCTGATCACCCCAGTTGGTAAAAGGCAGAGCCAGGGTTTGAATCCAGGCAGGAGAAAAAGGCACCACCAACTGCTGAGGTGCAGAGCAGTTTTCAATGAGTTACACTGAATTTAACCAGCGTCCTTCTAAAACAAAATTTTTTTCCTAAATTTGAATAATATTCATTTCATAAATTTCAGAAAACACATAACTTTTTTAAAATCACATAATCCCACCAAAAGAGATAACCACTCTTAACATATTAGAGTGTTTCCTTCTAGTTGCTTCTCTATACTTATATATTTTAACTTAGTCAATATAATGATGAGTGTCTTCATTCTCTTAAGAAAGAGGCATCAGCGTCCTATCTTTTTTTTTTTTTTTTTTCAAGACAGAGTCTCACCCTGTCGCCCAGGCCAGAGTGCAATGGCACGATCTTGGCTCACTGCAACCCCTGCCTCCTAGGTTCAAGCAACTCTCATACTTCAGCCTCTCTGGTAGCTGCGATTACAGGTGTGTACCACCACACCCAGCTAACTTTTTGTATTTTTAGTAGAGATGGGGTTTCACCATGTTGGCCAGGCTGGTCTCAAACTCCTGACCTCAGATGATCCACCTACCTTCGCCTCCCAAAGTGCTGGGATCACAAGCATGAGCCACCTCACCCAGCCCAGACTCCCATCTTGATATATCTACCACTCTCACCCACTCCTCCTGGATTACTCTGGTCCCTGGGTCTCTGATACATTTCTGCCAAATGACAAAATAAAAATGCAGGTGTTGGGCTGAGCACATGGCTCACTCAGCACTTTGCAGGGCCGAGGTGGAAGGATCTCCTGAGCTCAGGAGTTCAAGACCAGCCTGGGCAACAAAGCGAGATCTCATCTCTACTAAAAATAAAAAAATAAATCAATAAAGACAATGCAGGCATTGGTTTATAATAATGGTGATGGCAGTTGACACTGTATGGTCACCATGTGGCAGAGGTACATTATGTCACATAGTTCTCATGGCAACCATATTATGCAGAAACCATGATGACATTCATTTTACGTTAAGGAAACCGAGACTTCAGATGTAATATGTTGCTCTTCCTCTTCCCTTCCTGAACGACTTAGTCCTAAAGTCATTTTGTGAGGCCTGAAAAGGTAGGTGTCCACATGAGGGCATCTAGAGTGGGGTGCTGGGATTGCAGGCATGAGCCTCCATGTCCAGCTCAATACATGTGGATTTGTGTTTTCACCCGGGGAGCCCCCTAAAGTTCACATGCCACCCCAGTCGCTGAAACTGAGGGTATTATGGCCTTGGCTTCCTGGGCCAGGAAGAGAGAAATTTCTGGCACCGTGTGATGTTCCAGCTCCCTGAGGTCCCTCCAGAGTTGACTCTGGAGATAGCTGCATTGTGTCTGCAAGGTATGCTGGAGAGAGTTGGTCTCTTCCCATAAGACGGGCCAAAGACAGAGGGGCCAGGCTGCAGAGGAGAGAGAAGGGCTGAGCACCCTCAGTTGCATCTGAGAGTTTAACTTTCTGATTCTCAGGTATTTGGATGAGAGAGAGTTTTTGTTGTTGTTGGTCCTGAAGAGTGTCGGTTAACTATTTTGTGATACAGTATTGTGATTTATAATAAGAGCTACACACTTGGTCTTCAACCCTGTACTGGGCACAGAGCTCGTAAAACGCTTGGAATTTCCTAAGTGATTCATAACAAGCCCCTTTCAACCTGAGTTTCTGCTGATGAGGTGGCTCTTGGAGGATGGGGGTGCTGGTTGCCAGAGGAACCAACCATGTGATCAGAGGATGGGAACTTTCAGAACTGCCCCCCAATTATCACCCCCTGGGGAGGCTGGAGGAGACTGAGGGGCTGGAGATTGAGTTGAATGGCCAATGGCCAACGATTTCATCAGTCATGCCTGCATCATTAAGCCTCACCAAAAAGGTGGGATTCAGAGAGCTCTGGGATGCTGAACACATGGAGGTGCTGGGAGGGCAGCAGGCCTGCGGGGAGTATGGGGGCTCCAAGCCCTTCCCCATCCCTTGCCCTGTGCTCTCTTCCCTTCGCCTGTTCCTGAGCGGTGCCCTTTATAATAAACATGCAAACGTAATAAGGTGTTTCCCTGAGTTCTATGAGCCATTCCAGCAATGATAGAATCTGAGGATGGGGTCATGGGAACCTCTGATTTGTAACTGGCCCATCAGAAGCAGAGGTAACAGCACGGGCTTGCAACTGGCGTCTGAAGTGGGGGCAGTCTAATGACAGTCCCATTAGACTTCAACCAGTAGGGGCTGTGCCAACTCCAGGTAGTGTCAGAATTGGATTGAATTTCAGGACTTCCAGCTGGGGTTGGAAAATTGGTCAATGTGGGGAAAAAGTTCACACATCTGGTTTCAGAAGTGAAGTATTGAGAGTAGTTGAGAGTACAGAGAAAATCATTACGTGTGTGGGAATTTTCTTCCCCTGTATTTAGTTTTGTTTTGCTTTGTTTTGAGTTAGGGGCTCCCTCTGTCACCTAGCAGGAGTGCATTGGTACAATCATGGCTCGCTGCAGCCTCGAACTGCTGGGCTCAAGTGATCCTCCTATCTCAGCCTCCCCAGTAGCTGAACTACAGGCGCATACCACCTTACTCGGCTAATTTAAAAAAAAAAATGTTTTGTAGAGACAGGGTCTTGCTTTGTTGCCCTAGTTGGTCTCAAACTCCTGGCCTCAAACAATCCTCCCACCTCAGCCTCCCAAAGTGTTGGAATTACAGGTGTGAGCCACCATGCCTGGCTAGTACATGTGTTTTCATTACACATCTAAACACAGCTCTTCTGACAGGATTTTCTATTAGAAGAAAATTCGTTTTTTTTTTTTATTAAAAAAAAGTTTTTTAGAGACAAGGTCTCTAAAAATTTCCAGCTATGAGGAAATTCTTAGTCTCTATCAGGACACTAGACTGGATGCAGTGGTTTATGCCTGTAGTCTCAGCACTTTGGGAGGCCAAGGAGGGAAGACTGCTTGAGGCCAGGAGTTCAAGACCAGCCTGAGCAAAATAGCAAGACCCCGTCTCTACAAAAGAAGAAAAAAAAAAAAAACAACAGACAATTGTTTAACCTATGCCCCTACTGGATAGAAATTGAGAAGGTAAACGCTATTTAATCAGAAATAAAAGCATTATAGCCTGACACAAAAACCACAGGATGGCACCAAACAGTTGCTGACTTTTCCTGTGGACTCACCTCTTGGTCCACACCCAGCCTCCTCTGGGGCATCAGGCAGCCTCATCTCTCTCATCTCATCTTCCTTCTCCCTCTTATCCTCCCATGGACCCTCAGTCTCTCTACAAACCAGTCGGAATCATGAGCCCTGGTTTGAGTCCATCAGTTCCACCTGGTCTTCAGGCCAAGGAGCTGGAGGAGGTGTGGACCTGGGAAGCTGGGGGTTGGGGGATTGTGTAAAGGCACAGGGACCCTCCTGGGCTACTTCAGGAAATCTTAACAGATGTGCCTCTCTCCGTGAGGTAGGCTGTCTCAAAAAACACCCACAACAATCCTTCTGATCCTGCAAGCCTTGACGCAGTATGACTTTGCCACTCCTCGTATAAATCCATGGACCCCACGGCCCTCCTGCAGGGCCCTGGCTGGCCCAGTGACTTGCTTTAGTCAACGGAATGCAGTGGAAGTGACAGTGTGTGACTGTCAGACATTGGCAAGAAAAGGTTTTGTCTTGTTGGAACCCAGCTGCCCTGCTGTTAAGAAACAGTCTTGGCCCAGCACAGAGCCACTGTCATCCCAGCACTTTGGGAGGCTAAGGCGGGCAGATCACTTGAGCCCAGGAATTCGAGACCAGCCTGGGCAACATGGTGAAACCCCGTCTCTGTAACAAAATACAAAAAAAATAGCTGGGCATGGTGGTGTGCACCTGTAATCCCAGCTACTTCAGAGACTGAGGTGGTAGAATCACCTGAGCCAGGGAAGTCGAGGCTGCAGTGAGCCGAGATTGCATCACTGTACTCCAGCCTGGGCGACAGAGTGAGACCTTGTCTCAAAAAAAAAAAAAAAAAAAAAAAAGTCTGTCCCATGAAAATGACTGAGAGGCCGCTCCATGGAGGAGACCTGGGGGCCTCCCACTGCCGCCAGCATGCTGCCCACCTGAAGGAGGCTGGCTTGGACCTTCTGGCTGAGGTGCCATCTGACTGCAACCTGTAAGTGGCCCAGGCAAGAACGTGCAGCAAAACCACCCACATGAGCCCAGGCCAGATGGCAGACTTACGGGCAAATAAACGGCTGTTGTTTTAAGTCACTAGGTCTTGGGGGCTGGGGGTTGTTACCTGCAAGGTCATTCAAAATCTTGCTAAAGCTGACTCCTTTAGCCCAACTGTAATGTGTTATTATACTAACCCCCTTTCTCCATCTTACCAGAAACTTGTCTATCATCCCAGCTTGGCATGAGCCAGGGCCCCAGGAAGGGGTGGAGATAAATGTCCCATCTCCGGAATGGGGTGAGAGAAGAACGAAATGAGCTCAACCCAGCACACTGAATTACCAGAAGTAATTCAACCTACCAGTTTTATTTCTAAGTATTGAGCGAGAGCCTGAAATACCTTCCACATTGTTTTGGATTCATCAGAAGTACAAAGATATATCTCATAGCATATCTGCCATCAGGAAACTTAGGTTCCAGAAGAGGAGTTAAGACTCATAAACCACTGGGCTCTGTGGCTCATATCTGTAATCTCAGTGCTTCGGGAGGCCAGGGTGGGAGGATCACTTGAGGCCGAAAATTTGAGACCAGCCTGGGCAACATAGTGAGACCCCATCTCTAAAAAAAATTTTTTTTAATTAGCTGGGCATGGTGGTGTAGTCTCAGCTACTTGGGGTGCTGAGCGGGGAGGATCGCTTGGACCCAGGAGTTTGAAGCTGCAGCTAGCTATGATTGATTACACCATTGCACTCTAGCATGCTCAACAGAACAGCACCCTGCCTAAAAAAGAAAAAAAAAAAAGACTCAGAACCTAAAAATGACAGGCAACTCAAGACCATTATGTGTGTGAAATGACTCTGAATGCTATGAGCTCAGAGAAAAATCCTGAAGCTGTCGGGGAGGACGGAAGATAGAGGTGTGGCTTGAACGAGATGTTGAGGATGAGGAAGATTGATTGAAATGAGAAACATTATTTTTAGGTCCCCTGAGTGTATGTATAAAGACATAAATAAGCTTGCTGAGGAGACAAACAGCGGAAATGCTGAGAGAATTTCCAAGGGCAGCAAACACACCAGCCCAACCAGATGACGAAGGGTCTCCCAAGCCATTGCTCTCACTCAATGCTGCCCTGAGAGTTCGTTGGGATGTTTCAATGACAGTAAGAGCCCACACCATCAAAGCGTTCTTGGCGTTGCATTACGTAAAACTCTGCAGGAAGACAGTACCTCTAGGAATGCACCTGTCATCAAAGCAGGGCCCACCCAGTTAGGAAACAAGGCCGGGCTGGTCCAGAAGGATGTGGCTGACTATTGCACTCACCAGGAAAGAAGGTGCACACTTGCTGGCATTTGTGGTTGCATTGTGGTTCAGCAATGATTATTCCACCAACTAAGCCACTTCCTAAAGCACAGTTCCACGTATGGCATAAAGGGCGGCTTCAACTGCCCTGGCTAATGTCTGGAACATTCACAGAGCCACACACTGCCCCTGGGGAATGCCAGTGTCATGAAGTCTCTCTGGGAAGGGTCGGCCACACCTCTCCAGCTTCCCTCTTCCCTCCCTTTGGGGGATGCCACCCTTCCTGCCAGGCTGCCTCCTGGCCTCTCCATGTCACTTCAGCCATGCCAGGGCACTGATCTCACGGGAAGGCTGCAACTCCTCCATCCCACAGAAATGACAGTCACACCCACCAACTGCCTCAACTTGGAGAAGCTATTTTAAGACCACACCTACCCTAAGGGAAGTTAAACAGCCAGTATATTTGCTCCCAATTTACCCATGGAGAAACTGAATCAAGATCTGACTTACCAGGGCAATCTCAACAATTCAGTGACTCATTGAGGTCAGAATTCCACAAAGCCTAACCAGAGCCTGTGTGCCCTCAGACACGTCACCCTCTATGCTGTGTCGTGGAGGTAGGACCTGCCTGGTTCCAGCAGTTTTGCCCACAGCTCTGCTGTAGATCCCGCCTCTCAGACCCTATTATGTTTCGGTCATTAAATCTGTAATCCTGAATCCCACACAGACTTGCAAGTCAAGGAATTCAGGCTGAGAAGGGTTCTCTCTGCTTATGAGAGAAACACTCCCATGAAATGTGCATCTGTGTGTGTCTGTCCATTCGGATGCAATCAATGGCAGTAAATTCTTTGTATTGTGATAAGAATCCCTAGCAAAGAATCAACAAGTTGAGACCTTAAGTCTTAATGCAGATGCAATCTGTAAGGGTATTTTTTTTTTTTTTTTTTGAGATGGAGTCTCGCTTTGTCACCCAGGCTGGAGTGCAGTGGCAGGATCTCGGCTCACTGCAACCGCCGCCTCCTGGGTTCAAGCGATTCTCCTGCCTCAGCCTCCCAAGTAGCTGGAATTACAGGCGTGCACCACCAGTCCTGCTAATTTTTGTATGTTTAGCAGAGACGGGGTTTCACCATGTTGTTTAGGCTGGTCTCAAACTTCTGAGCTCGTGATCCCTCCGCCTCGGCCTCCCAAAATGTTGGGATTACAGGCGTGAGCCACCCACCGCACCTGGCCTGTAAGGGGATTCTTATTCATCCCCCAAACGGAGGCCAGCTAGGCCAGGCACCTGTTCTGTTGAACTCTGAGATGCCTCTTCTGTTTGATTCCATTTGACGCTTACCTGTGCTAGGAAAGTGCCCATTAGTGAGAAGCCTCTGGGTTGACTTCCTTCCTCCAGGAGGGAAAGGGACTAAGTTTATGAAGCAGCCACGCTGGGAAGGCCACTATACAGCTTCCCATATGTTACACATGTTCATCACCCTCAGAGATTGCCCCACTGGCATATGTGGACAAGTCAACGCTCAGAAAGGTTACCTCGACGCGTCACACATAGGTGAGGGCAGGGGTGGCCTCGTACCTGCACTTGGCAGGCTGCAGGAGGTGCTGCTCGCTGGCCCTGCCTGAGGCCTTCCCGGCTGCCTCCCGCCCCTCCTGTCCTGGACCCCAGCTAGCCGCGCGCCCGCCTCCACCACCTCGGCCCCCCTTTCTGGGGCACTCACGTCTCTATCGGCCAGATCTCCCCCATCTTTCCAGGCCCAAGCCTCCCCCGCGCTGACGCTCACAAACCCCGCAGTCAGACCCTCTTCAAGGACCCCCTACAGCTGCCCCTCTCTCAGGGTCCTTCGGGTGACCATGTAGTCGCACCCAGCAGGTCCTCGCTGGGGGGTCCATGAGTGTCCCCACCCCGCCGCCCCGCCCCTGGGCGCCGGGGACTCGGCTCAGACGCGCAGAGGGAAGGCAGGGCGGCTGCAGAGAGCAGAGCCGAAGAGGAATCGAAAGCTTCAGAAACGCGGTGTGACCAGCGTCCTCCTGGACAAACCTCCCCGGTCCCCGCGCCATCGCCGCGGCCACGAGCAGCGCCGCGGGTCGCCCCGCCCAGACCTCCGCGCCCGGAGCTCAGGCTCCGTCCTCTTCCCCAAGGAGCTGCTAATCACGCCCCAGGGACGTTGGCCTCTGGGGGAGGGGAGGACCCTAGGCCTGCGCCCGACTGCTGGGAGGCGCCCCGCCCTCCCTCCTCCTGCTCACCCCTCTCAGCTTCTCTCCCTTTTCTTCTCCTCCCCACTCAGCTCCGTTTTCTCTCCACACCCAGTCCCTTGTCCCCTCTTCGCTCACTCCACCCCACTTTCCTTCTTCCCTACGCAGTGGGTCCCTCTCCCCCTTTCCTCTCCCCTACAACCTCCCTCTCCACTCCCTACCGGCCCTCTCCCCTCCCCCACCCCGTACCCTCTGCCCCGCCTCCCCATTCGGGTCACCCCGTCCCAGTCCCCTCTTCTCCCCTCCTCCGCCCCTCCCTCCTTCTCCTCTCCCCTCTCCTGTCCCACTCCGTCCTCCCCCCTCCTCCGCACCCCGCCCGTCCCCTGGTCCCCGCCCCGCAGTGTCCTGGCGCCGGCGTAACCGCTCGTCCCACCTCCCTCCCAGCCAATCGCTCCTCTCCTCCGCTCGGGGACGCTCCCCCGGGGAATCCTGTGGCTGGAGATGCTCGGTCGAGTCCCTGGTATGTGGTCACCGTGCGGGGGCCGCTGCGGGTGCGGAATCCAGACCCGGGGGTGTAGCAACCTCACAACTCCCTGTGCAGAAGAAAGCAGAAGATCGGGGCGCGGGTCCAGGGTGGTCCGCACAGCCGTGGTTTAGCCGAGGGCGGCGCGCTACACTTAGTCTCTTGTGCAGTGCTTTCTGGCCACAGCAGCTTCCCTAGAAGTGACCCCACTTGGGTCAGAACCACCCAGCTGGGCCGCTGATATTTCCCCCTTTCGCAGAGGGAGCAGCGCGCGTCGGGAGACGCAGTGACTCGCCAGGGTCAGACCCAGAGCTTCTTCCCCACGCAAGGCCGAGGGCAGGGTGAGCACAGGGGCGTTCTCCGTCTGCCCCGGCTCGGGTGCACTGGCCTGGACGCCTCTGTGCAGGTTCCATGGTGTAGAGAGACGGCTCGAGTGCAGGCGGAGTTTAAGGGAAGGGGGTTTTGACTGCGGGAGCCGACAGAAAGGACTAAATCCAAAAGGTCCTCTTGGACCTGAACCTTCTGCTACAAGCCTGACCGATAAAAGGGGACTCTGCATCTTTTTAAGCCCAAAATAGAAAAGCCTTGGGAGTTAGAATGGCAGAAACCCCAGACCGACGGCGCTGGAAGCGCGCAGCTCGGTGCATTCCCCGGCCGCACTGCCCTGCGGGGCCGCGCACGTTCCAGCGCTCAGGGACGGTGCCGCAGGACACACCCCAAACACAGAGCACAGACGAGGTAAAAACGAGCCGGCTGCACCAGGGACCACGCTGCCCCTAGCTGGCTCTGCCCCAGCCTCTCTGAACAGCAGGTCCCTGCGTCGAAGCCCGAGGGTCTTCGCATTTGCTGCTGTGGCTTCTCCCGGATACCCACCCCCTTCAGATCTTACAGAAGGGCCTTCTTCCAAACCAGACCTTCCCTGTTCCCTGGCAACTGGTTTTAAAATCACAGCACCTCTGCTCCTGCAATTCACAGTCCCTCCTCAGTCCCTTCACTGCTTAGTTTTTTTTTCCTTAGCCCTTGCCGCAGTCAAACTCGAATGCGTTTGTGAATCACCTGAGGACCTTCCTACAACACAGATGCGAATTCACTTGGTCGAGGGTGGGTCCCCAAGTTTCTAACGCGTGTCCGTGATATTCTGCTGCTCCCCACCTGCCTGCGGATCTGCGAGGACCTTTGACTTACAAAGGGTCCAACATGCAGATAATACAAAAGTTTATTTTTCCTATGTATTTTGGTTTACCATCCCCCGAACTTGAATGTGAGTTCCACCAGGATAGAGCTCTGGTCTGTTTTGTTTGCTGCTATATTCTCTGTACCTGGAACAGGCCTGGCACATAGTAGGAGCACTATGTTATTTCCAGAAGGAAGCAGTGAATGAAATACAAACCAGAAAAGACAGCAGAGGTGATAAACCTAACATTATACAAAGTGAAAGTCAAGGTGCAAATTATGAACGAAACAAAGGTTTTACACTCATTTTTAAAAGGGAGAAATAACAGTCACAAGCCCTTAGGTCCTAAAGTAAAAACTGTCTCCCCAAAAAAGGAAAATTGCAAATACTACATTGATTTTAGAAAGGTTAACTCCCATCTTGGTCACATCTCAGAAGCAAAAAGTGACGTAAAAGACTTGAATAAAGAAATTAATGGCCAGGCGTGGTGGCTCATGCCTGTAATCCCAGCACTTTGGGAGGCCGAGGTGGGCAGATCACTTGACGTCAGGAGTTTGAGACCAGCCTGGGCAACATGGGGTAACCCCGCCTCCACTAAAAACGTAAAAATTAGCTGGGTGTGGTATCAGGCACCTGTAATACCAGCTACTCAGGAGGCTGTGGCAAGAGAATCAGTTGAACCTGGGAGGCAGAGGTTGCAGTGAACTGAGATTGTGCCACTTCACTCCAGCCTGGGCAACAGAGTGAGACTCGTCAAAAAAAAAAAAAAAAAAAAAAAGAATAAACAGGACCTGTGTATTTACTAGTTTATTGTTGTAAAATATGCATAACATAAAATTTACCATGTTAACCATTTTAAGTGTGCCGTTCAGTGGCATTAAGTACATCCACATTATTGTACAACCATCACCACTGTCCATCTCCAGGACTTTTTCATCTTCCCAAACTCTATATGATTAAACAATAACTCCCCTTCTCCTTCCCTCCAACCCGTGGTAATCACTATTATACTTTCTGTCTTTGAATTAGACTACTTTAGGTACCTCATATAAGTGGAATCATATACTGCTTATCCTTTTGTGACTGGCTTATTTTACTTAGTATGATGTCTTCAAGGTTGATCCATGTTGTAGCATGTATCTGAATTTCATTCCTTTTTTTTTTTTTTTTGAGACAGAGTCTCGCTCTGTCAACCAGGCTGGAGTGCAATGGTGCGATCTCAGCTCACTGCAACCTCCGCCTCCGTGGTTCAAGCAATTCTTCTGCCTCAGCCTCCCAAGTAGCTGGAATTACAGGTACCTGCCATCATGCCCGGCTAATTTTTGCATTTTTGTAGAGACGGGGGTTTCACCAAGTTGGCCAGGCCGGTATTGAACTCCTGACCTCAGGTTATCCGCCCACCTTGGCCTCCCAAAATGCTGGGATAACAGGTGTGAGCCACTGATCCTGGCCTCATTCCTTTTTTATAGCTGAATAATAACCCATTGTATGTATACACATTTGTTTCTCCATGCATCTGTTGATATACACTTGGGCTTCTTCTACCTTTTGGCTATTGTGACTAATGCTGCTATAAGCGTGGGTGTACAAACAGCTATTTAAGTTTCTGCTTTCAGTTTTTTTGGGAATATACCCAGAAACCCAGAAGTGAAACTGCTGGATCATATGTTTCATTTTTTGAGGAACTCGCATACCGTTTTCTGTAGCGGCTGCACCATGTGAACTAAGGTTAAAATGAATGTTTCGCCGTTGCTGGACTAGTTGTCCTAGGGTTTTTTCTAGCTCTGCTGGCCTGTGGTTAGAGAAATGTGAGGATGAACAACAGGGAAGGGAAGTGGATTGGAAGGACACGGGCAGTCTTCCAGCTCAGATGCTGGAAGTGGTGGTGGTGAGGGTGGGGGAAGGGTGTTTATGAAGTCATAATCCAGTCACGGACCTCAGGACATTTGGGCTGGGAGAGGTAGACCTAGGCCAGTTTGGAGTACTAGGCAATGGGGGCGGGGGGGTCCCTGCACCTCAAAGAGGCCTGAGAAAGAAGAACCTCACATGTATCAGGGAGTCCCAGAGAAAATGGTGCAAGGAGCAATGCCCAGTGGCCAGCCATCCTCAATGTCATGGCCCCGGAGGCCAGAACAGTAGAGAAATTCAAGGTGCGGAGACCGGCTCCCTCACATGGGCAACCTGGCCCACTGGCTCTTACCATTCATATATCTGTGAACATGGCCTTATTTGGAAATAGTATCGTAGCAGATCTGATTATGTAAAGATGAGGTCCTTTTGGATTAGAGTGGGCCTCATAAGACAAGGGGGTTGGGGCGCACAGACACACACCTGCCCTGTGGGCAGGTGAGGAAACTGGAGCAAATGCCAGCTCCCTGAACAGAACAGAGTGAGCCTGACAGTTGGGCATCTGTCCAAACCACACGAGCAGGCCCGGCAGGAAAAGTACCTGTCCAGTGGACAAGCGGCCCATGCAATCAGGACAGCTGGGAAGAGGCTGATGCTTTCAGCCACGCTTCATCTCCTTGTCCTCATTTGGGCAGAGGTAAAGAAAGAGCACTACTGGCTGCACATGGTGGCTCACGCCTGTAATCCCAGCACTTTGGGAGGCTGAGGCAGGCGGATCACTTGAAGTCAGGAGACCAGCATGGCCAACATGGTGAATTCTCATCTCTAACAAAAATACAAAAATTACCCGGGTGTGGTGGCACATGCCTGTAATCACAGCTCGGGGGACTGAGGCAGGAGAACTGCTTGAACCCAGGAGGCAGAGGTTGCAGTGAGCCGAGATCTTGCCACTGCACTCCAGCCTGGACGACAGAGCGAGACTGTCTCACATACATACATACATGCAAAAAATATTTTAAAAATAAAAAAGAAAGCGCACTGCCTAGCATCACTTTGGCAGATTCATCTCCACAACCTGTGATCATCCTGTTCAGTTGTTATGATTTGGACTAGGTGGGCCCATGGCTCAAAGGGTGGGAGTGTGACCCACGCTAGCCCATCAGGATACCACGAAGCCCTGGACACAGCAGTGGGGTGAGGCGTGAGCATGGGCCTTGTGTAAGCAGGAGTAGACTCCTAGTGGAAGGGTTGCTGCGGACTTTGGGGGAGACTGTTTCTTCTGGGATTGTCTTCTGTAAGCCAGATGCAACCAGGGTGGGCAGAGAGTAATCGTAGCCACCTCACAGTGAGATCCTTCCTGAGAATGAAGCAGGACATGCTCTCTACCAAGGACAGTAAAGCCACTCCACTCTACTTCAGACATTGCAAGCAGATAGACTCCCTGTTCCTCCTTTAAGCCAGAGGTTCTCTGACACTCTCAACTAGAGCTGCCCTCAAACACCTGTTGTGAGTTGAATCGGGTCCCCCCAAAAGATATGTCCAAGTCCTAACCCTAGGTATCTGTGAACATGGCCTTATTTGGAAACAGGATCTTAGCAGATCTGATTATGTAAAGACGAGGTCCTGTTGGATTAGAGTGGGCCTCATAAGACAAGGGGGTTGGGGCACACAGACACGCACCGGGGAGGATGCCACATGAAAACAGAGGCGGAGATGGGGGTGACGTGTCTACAGGCCCAGGAACACCAGGGATTGCCAGCAACTACCAGAAGCTGGGAGAAAGCCATGGAATTCCCCTCAGATTCTCTCAGAACCCCCAGAAAAAACCAACCCTCCTGACACCTGATCCTGGCCTTCCACCTTCCAGAACTGTGGGGGGAAAAATGCATGTTGTTTCCATCTGCTTTGTGGTACTTTGTTACGGCAGCCCCAGGAGACTAATGCAACACCTCACGTATGTGCTGAGCATGGCGACATCTCCCACCTCTTCCTTCCAGGAAACACGCCCAAGAGGCCTTTATGAAGGGGGAACTATGGTCTGCCATATTTACCTGAAGATGCAGTTTGGGCAGCTGTTTCCATCACATGCGGGGCCTCTGGGCTCTCCTGCCCGACTCTTCCCCAGTAGCTATGCTAAAAGCAATCTTAGAGTAGGCCCTCCTGATATCTGGCCTGGATTGCTGTAAATCATCTGCCTTCTGATTCTCTCTTGACCCATCCTCCACACCGCCTCTGTTTCCCAAATGGATTTTTATCATTCCTCGGATGAAACCTCTCTATTGATTACCTACGTTCTATAAGAAAATTCCAAGCTCTTCAACATGTCATTCAAGGGTCTGAAGAGTCTCATCTCCACTTCTCTGTGTCTTGTCTGCCCACACTTCTCTGCCACATGCCCTGTAATTTGATGATATTAAATTTTTTGATTGTAGGCTGGGGGCGGTGGCTCACGCCTGTAATCCCAGCACTTTGGGAGGCTGAGGCGGGTGGATCACTTGAGGTCAGGAGTTCAAGATCAGCCTGGCCAACATGGTGAAACCCCGTCTCTACTAAAAATACAAAAATTAGCCAGGCATGGTGGCAGGCACCTGTAATCCCAGCTACTGGGGATGCTGAGGCAGGAGAATTGCTTGAACCCAGGAAGCAGAGGTTGCAGTGAGCCAAGATCGTGTCACTGCACTCTAGCCTGGGCGACAAAGCAAGAATCTGTCTCTAAATAAATAAATAAATAAATAGCCTGTAAATGTTCCACACACTTTCACAGCTCCATGTTTTTGCAAATGCAGTTCTATGCAAAATGTTCTGCCTGCTAGTTGGCTCACACAGGATTCAGTCTAGCCCCCTTCACCTACCTGCCCTCCCATATACAGAAGAAGCTGGAGAAGTGAAATCCTCTCTTTCCTGGCTCCCTTGCTGCTAAGGATAGCCACATGACCCAGTTCTGGCTAGTGGGATATAAGCAGAAATCCACAGGAAGGTTTCTGCTTTCCTGATAAAAGGGGAAATCATAGCTGGCCTCCCCCTTTCTCCTTTCAGTGTGGACACGATGCCTGGAGCTGCTGCAGCCAACCTGCAGCCATGTCTTAGAGGACAAGAGAATTTTAGAAACCTTAGTCCCAACACCACTGAGCCAATGTACCACCTTTAGTGCCTACCTCTGGGCTTATTATATGAGAAAATAACCTTCTATTTGTTTAAACCTTACTAGTCATGTGTTCTATGACTTGCTGCTGAACGCATTTCTAATCAATACACTGGTACTGTTCATCTTTCTAGATCTTTCCAGGTAGCTTGTTGCTTCCTATGAGAAGTATTCCCAAACTTCCTGGTCAGACTATGACTTCCTCCTGGAAGCATCCATGACACTGTGTACTTACCTGGGTTGCAGTACACATCACGCTGTAACTAATTGCTTACTTCCTGCATAGGCTGTGAGCTCTGATATTATTCTTTGTGTAGAATAATATCATGCATGCTGGGACCTAGCAGAGTGGCTCACACAGAGCAGCGGCTCCTAAAATGCATCGCAAGTGAAGAATTCCATTTCCAGGAGGATATCATGCTATATTATAACCTCTGGCTAGGCTTCTCACCCTTTGAAATCTACAATGGCTGACTAAACTTGCTAACTCATTTCTATAGGCAGAATGTGCTCTGCAAGCCAATCTATCCCCCAGATATTTGTCGAGGTCTCAGGCACAAGCTGCTATGGTATGCTCTGTACAGGATAAAAAAAGAAAGAGAATATTTTAATATGGAAGTTAATGTTTCCCTTGCATGTCTTTAATAACATAGCCAAGGGTGGCCAGGCGTGGTGGCTCATTCCTATAATCCCAGCACTTTGGGAGGTCGAGGTGGGTGGATCACTTGAGGTCAGGATTTCAAGGCCAGCCTGGCCAACATGGTGAAACCCATTCTCCACTAAAAATAAAAAAGTTAGCCAGGAGTGGTGACACATACCTGTAGTCCCAGCTACGTGGGAGGCTGAGGCAGAAGAATCTCTTGAACTTGGGTGGAGATTGCAGTCAGCTGAGATCACGCCACTGCACTCCAGCCTGGGTGACAGAGTGAGACTCCTTCTCAAAAACAAACAAACAAACAAAACATAGCCATGGGTGTGGAAGCAAGACATATTTGTAATATTTGCTTAGAACGGTACTTCTCAATCCTGGCTATGTTAGAATGACATGGGAGCTTTAAAAACTACAAATGCCCAGGTCCTATTTTCAGAGAGTCTGATTCAGCTGGTCTGGTCCCCTCTCCCTAACCCCTAATCTTATTTTTTAAAGCTTCCTAGGTGATTGTAACATGTAACCAGGGTGTGCACCCCTGATTTAAAAGAAGGATAAGTGTGGACTGGGAAGATTTCTTGGAGGATGTGACCTATGGGTCTTGAAGTACAGGGGACATTTGGACAACAGGGAGAAGAGGTATTTGAGGAATGAGGATTGCTGAGTGAGGAGAGGCAGGAATAAAGCTTCAGTGTGGCTGTCAGCCAATCAGCCACACTGGGGGATTTTTAAATTTCTACTAAAAATTGAAAAATAAAAAAATAAATTAGGCAGGCTTGGTGGCATGCATCTGTAGTCCTGGTTGTTTGGGAAACTAAGGTGGGAGGATCACTTGAGCCCGAGAGGTTGAAGCTGCAGTCAGCCCTGATCACGACACTACACTCCAGCCCAGGTGACAGATTAAAACCCTGTCTCGAAAAAATTAAAACTAAAAATAAGTTCCAGCGGGCAGACAGCAGAAGGAGACGATCTCAGGAGGCAGCAGAGGCAGCGGACAGTTGGGGAAACAGCCCCAGCCCCGGGCTCAGGAGCCCTGCACTTCCGCCCTGATTTCATCCCCACTCCACTGTGTACCCTTGTGCATGGCATCCGCGGGGTCTGTCACTTCCCTACCTGCAAACCAGATGCTTCCTGCCTCCCGTGATCTTCCCGGTCTGATTTTTCACATTTGTGTTCTGAACACCAGGCCAGGCCTGCGTGAGTCAGGACAAAAGTTAGATGGCTGCCTCCCCTGTCCCGCCTGCCCCTTCCCCCACAGCCGCTACAACTATGGAATTGGCAACCTCGCTGCACTGTGCAATGCAGAGCAGGAGGCAGAGGAGGGAAGTTGGTGGGAAACGGCATGAAAGACACCGGGCGAGCAGACAGCACTGTGCGAAGGAGGAGCTGTGCCGGACCCAGGGCCCCACTGCCAGGCCACTGCGGTGAGGGGGGCTGCCCCTTGCCCAGGATGGCCTTGCACTGAGTGGAGCCACCTTGCTCCCCACAGCCAGGACTGACTGATACCAGGAGGCAAGGCCCTCGCCTCAAGGTGTGACATCACAGCTCTGCGGTGTGGCTTATGTTCCAGAACCGTCCCCGGTGGATTAAGCCAAACATAAGCTTTACTTGAGACCTCATCTTTGCTGGGCCCAGCTCTTCCCCGTATCTGTCCGCTTACCTCTCTCCAGTACAGCTTTTCCTGCACAGCGCTCGTTCAATTAACCACATTCATGTTTGTCTCAGGTTCTGTTTCTCAAGACTTGATCTAAGACACGGTGCTTTCAATAAATAAAAGAAAATGCCACGGACAGATAAAACGTGTATGGGAGGCGACCACAAAACAGGGGCTAAAGGAAACTCCCAGATTCATTTTAGAAAAAGAAGAAAAGAGAGTTACAAGAGTCTGATTGTGGGGGAGGGAAGCAGAGAAAGAGCAGCTTCCTGTTTGTGTCTGGAGTGCAGCACACTGAGCAGTGTTTTGCCTGGTTTATTTCCAAAGTATTGCAGGGCAGCTGAGAGCTTCCACAGTAAGGATCAACCCATCTTTTTGACCAGCCCCGGTCAATGAATTACCTGACTCATGCAAGTCAGTAGACTCCACCTGTTCTTTGTTTTTCGGTTTTCGTTGTCTTTTTTAAACAGAGTCTTGCTCTGTCACTCAGGCTGGAATGCAATGGAGTGATCTTGGCTCACTGAAACCTCCGCCTCCCGGGTTCAAGTGATTGTCCTGCCTCAGCCTCCTGAGTAGCTGGGATTACAGGCACGTACCACCATGCCCAGCTAATTTTTGTATTTTTAGTAGAGATGGGGTTTCACCATGTTGCCCAGGCTGGTCTCAAACTCCTGGCCTCAAGTGATCTGCCCGTCTCGGCCTCCCAAAGTGCTGGGCTTACAGGCGTGAGCCACCGTGCCCAGCCAGTAGATCCTTTATGATGTACCTCACTTAAAAGCTACATTTTAAACGGAATAGTCAAACTCCAATAATGACTGTGGTCTTTTTCCTTTTAGAGACCAGACTGATCTACTAATAGTGTAATTCAAAGATGGCTACAAAGGCCAAAACTAGCCAAACCCTCCTGGCCCACTGTGACCACTAAGGTTCCACCTACAAGGACCTAGTGAAAGTCTAATAAAAAGCTGCCTGGCTGGGTGCAGTGGCTCACACCTGTATGTAATCCCAGCACTTTGGGAGGCAGAGGCGGGTGGATCACTTGAGTCCAGGAGTTCGAAACCAGCCTGGGCAATATGGCAAAACTCTGTCTCTACAAAAAAATACGAAAATTAGCTGGGCACAATCACACACAACTGTAGTCCCAGCTACTCAGGAGACTGAGGTAGGGAGGATCGGTTGAGCTGGGAGGTGGAGGTTGCAATGAGCTGAGATCTTGCCATTGCACTCCAGCCTGGGCTATAGAGTGAGACGCTATCTCAAAAAAAAAAAAAAAAAAAAGATAACAGCACTGGGGTCGTCACCAGATCAGAAAGCCAGGAAGAGGGTGCTGCCCAGACCCAGGGTGCCTGGCACTGGCACCCAGCCCCAAGCTCAGCCCAAGCACCTCCTGCCTCTCAGGGCTGGCTGGAGTTTGCTCCCTGATGGGAGACCTGGATTACCCAACCGTCCTCAGACCATATAATACCTAAGTACTTGAGGCACTTCTGACTATTGTCAGCTGAGTCTTGGCTCAAGTTTTGTCGACAAAACGGATTAATTTATAACTAAGGTTAAAAACTCTTAAGTGAAAGTTAACTGATTCTGCCCATTTTCAGGGGAGAATGAGAGACACCTCAGAAGCAACTATGGTGGCTACTGGAGGGTCACATGAGGGATCATGTGGGGACAAGCCCAGATGGTGGACTCTTAGGGACAATTGTTTATAAAATGAGCCAAGCATGGTGGCTCACCCCTATAATCCCACCACTCTGGGAGGCCGAGGCAGGAGGATCACTTAAGACCAGGAGTCCAAGACCAGCTTGGGAACATGGCAAAATCCCGCCTCTACAAAAAATACAACAAAATTGGTGGGGCATAGTGGCACATGCCTATAGTCCCAGCTGCTCGGGAGGCTGAGGTGGGAGATCACTTGGGCCCAGGAGGTCAAGGCTATGGTGAGCGGTGATCACACGACTGTATTTCAGCCTGAGCAACAGAGTAAGACCCTGTCTCAAAAAAAATAAACATAGAAATAAAATGAGTGTGCATCTTACTAAGGTGAATGTGTTTAGAGAACAATCATAACTGACATTCACTGAGCACCTGCTGCTTCTGGACACTGCCCCATACTCTACACGTATCAGCTCAGTTAATCCTCACAATAAACAGATACTATTATCATCCCCCTCCCTTTTTATTGTGGTAAAATCTACATTACATTTGCCATCTTAACCATTTGTAAGTGTACAGTCCAGTGCCAATTAAATGCACACAAATTGTTGTGCAATCATCACCACCATCCACCTCCGGAATGGTTTCATCTTGCAAAACCATAATGCTATGCCCATTAAGCAATCATTCCCTCCTCCCCTTCCCCAGCCTCTGGCAACTCCATCTACTTTCTGTCTCTATGAACTTGACTCCTCTATGTACCTCATATAAGTGGAATCACACAGTACTTTCTTTTTGTGTCTGGTTTATTTCACTTAGCATAATGTCCTCAAGCTTCACCCGTGTTGTGTGTAGCATGTGTCCAAATTTCATTTCTTTTTAAAGCTAGATAATATTCCCTTGTACATTCAGCCGCCATTGTTTATCCGTTCATCCTTTGACGGGCACTTGAGTTGCTTCCACGTTTTGCCTATTCTGAATAGTGCTGCTGTGAACACAGGTGGGCAAGCATCCCTTCCAGCCCCTGCTTTCACTTCTTTGGGGGTAGCCAGAAGTGCAACTGCTGATATTATTTACAGAAGAAGAAGAAATCAGGTGCAGGAGATTAGGCGACTTGCCTAAGTCTGTGTGACTAAGTGTCAGAACCAGGATTCCTCCCGAGCAGACTGGCTCCAAGCTCCTGGCTCCGGACCACCGTGCTCACTGCCTCTCACTTTCTGAGATGACTGCACCTGGAAGGTTACAAACAGTGGCCATGCTGACCAGCAGAGGGCATGCCTCAGCCTCTCACGGGGTCCCCCATCTTCTCCGCCCTCCACATCTGTGGCTTGCAGAGATCACTCACTGACATGATGAAATGTCCTTTAGAAGGGCCGGGTGTGGTGGCTCATGTCTGTCATCCAAGCACTTTGGGAGGCCGAGGTGGGTGGATCACTTGAGGCCAAGAGTTCAAGACCAGCCTAGCCAACATGGTGAAACCTCACCTCTACTAAAAAAAAAAAAAAAAAAAAAAAAAAATACAAAAATTAGGCAGGCATGGTGGCGCATGCCTGTAGTCCCAGCTAATCGGGAGACTGAGGCAAGAGAATCACTTGAACCTGGGAAGTGGAGGTTGCCGTGAGCCAAGATCATGCCACTGCACTCCAGCCAGGGCAACAGAGCGAGACTCCATCTCGAAAAAAGAAGGGAAATGTCCTTTAGAGACTGGATATTCCACTTCTCTCCACGCAGCTGTAAAACAGAAGCTGGTTCACTCCCTCCCCTGCCAAACCTGTCATTGTGTCCCATTGCTCTTAGAGATCAATATCTCTAAGATTATTATGGTCCACCCTGGTGTGATCCTGCTGCTTCTCCACCCCATCTTTGCTTCTCCCTGACATTCATATGTTTCCATCAGATCCCACCTTCTTCCTATCCTCAGCCATGTGATCATAGGCTGACTAATGGCCACCCAAAGATATCAGGGCCTAATCCCTGGAACTTGAAAATATTAAAGTGGTGCAAAAGTCATTGCAGTTTTTGTCACTACTTTCAATGGCAAAAACCTCAATGACTTTTGCACCAACCTCATACTACCTAATAAGGAGAAAGGGCCTTTGCAGGTGTGATTAGGGTAAGGATTTTGAGATGAGGTGCTTGTCCTGGATTAGCTGGGAGGGCCCTAAATGCCACCGCAAGTGTCCCATAAGAGAGAAGCAGAGGGAGATCAGACACACAGAGGAAAAGGCTACGTGAAGACCAAGGCTGAGGTCACAGTGATGCAGCTACAAGCTGTGAACTCCTGCAACCACAATGGCTACCTCAGGGCCTCTGCACTGCATACTTGCCAGTCTCTACCTCTGCAAGGCTGGCTTCTTCCTGTCTTCAGACCTCAGCACAAGTTTAGGTCTTACCCCCTTAGAGAGACCTTTTCCGCCTTCCAGACCTCCCTAGCAAGCCTCCATCACGCTCTATGACCCCACCCTATTTATTTTCTTCCTACCCTATCACTACTATTATTTATTTCCTTCTATCTTATTTGTGTCTTACTATAAATAGGCATTTCTAATTTGACATAAATATAAATATAATAAATAAATAAAGGTTTATATTAGATCTTATTTTTTTGCCTCCTGCTTTAATCCATCAGAGCAGGGACTTTCTCTGTCTTCTTTGATGCTGAAACCCCAGTGCCTGGAACACTGCTGCATTTGCTAAGGATACCACAACAAAGTACCACACAGACTGGATGACTTCAACCATAGAAATTTAACTTCTCAAAGTTCAAGAGGCTAGAAGTCCATGGCCGGGGGCGGTGGCTTACATCTGTAATCCTAGCACCTTGGGAGCCTGAGGCGGCAGATCACTTGAAGCCAAGAGTTCCAGATCAGCCTGGCCAACATGGTGAAACCCTATCTTTACTAAAAATACAAAAACAATGGCCCGGCTCAGTGGCTCACACCTGTAATGCCAGTACTTTGGGAGGCCAAGATGGGGCGGATCTCTTGAGGTCAGGAGTTCGAGACCAGCCTGGCCAACATGATGAAACTCCGTCTTTACTAAAAATACAAAAAAGAGGCCAGGTGTGGTGGCTCACTCCTGTAATCCTAGCACTTTGGGAGGCCGAGACAGGTGGATCACGAGGTCAGGAGATCGAAACCATCCTGGCTAACACGGTGAAACCCCATCTCTACTAAAAATACAAAAAATTAGCTGGGCTTGGTGGCAGGCGCCTGTAGTCCCAGCTATTCGGGAGGCTGAGGCAGGAGAATGGCGTGAACCCGGGAGGCGGAGCTTGCAGTGAGATGAGATTGCACCACTGCACTCCAGCCTGGGTGACAGAGTGAGACTCTGTCTCAAAAAAAAAAAAAAAAAAAAAAAAATGGTGGTGCATGCCTGTAGTCCCAGCTACTCAGGAGGCTGAGGCAGGAGAATTGCTTGAACCCAGGAGACAGAGGTTGCAGTGAGCTGAGATCACACCACTGCACTCCAGCCTGGGCCACAGAGCGAGACTCTGTCTCAAAAAAAAAAAAAAAATTACCAGGGCATGACGGTGGGCATATGTAATCCCAGCTACTTGCCAGGCTGAGGCAGAAGAATCACTTGAACCCAGGAGGCGGAGACTGCAGTGAGCTGAGATCATGCCACTTCACTCCAGCCTGGGCAACAGAGGGAGACTCCATCTCTAAATAAATGCATAAATAAATAAAAGAAGTCCAAGAGCAAGGTATCAGTGGATTTGGTTTCTTCTGCGGCCTCTCCCCTTGGCTTGCAGAGAAGCAGCTTTCTGGCCGTGTCCTCGCGTGGCCTCAGTTCATGTGCATCTGTGGTGTCTCTTTCTGAGCGTCCTAATCTCTTCTCGTAAGGACATCAGTCAGATTGGATTAAGGACCAGGGTAACCACTTCCTTCTAACTTAATCACCTCTTTAAAGGACCTGTCTCCAAATATAATCCCAGAGCTTCAACAATGGTGAATTTGGGGAGGGCGCGATCCAGCCCCTAATAACCACCTCACATATGTTAATCCTGGGCATGCAGCAACCATGCTGTTAGGTGAATGCTAATGCTATGATCACACCAACAGAAACATAAATGAAAGAGGGAAGTTGGAAAGCCACAAAAGAAAAGCTCAAATGGACAGAAAACATAAAAATATGTCCAATCTCATTAGACTCAAAGAAAATACATATTAAGGCAACAATGAGATACTATCACTTGCCTAACAAAATGGCTGAGATTTAAAAGAATGGACAATAGTTGCCTGTAGGAGTGCAGACGTGGAACACACCTTCTGCAAAACAACTTGACATGAAGCACAAAGTACAGAGTTCCATGGGATGGGCAGTCTCCCTTAAAGAAGTGACCTGAAGGTAATTCTTAGTCAAGTGAAGAGAGAGAGAGGAACAAATGAGGCAGAAAGAACAGTCTGATTACGTCTCAAAGCCACAAAGTACAGTGCCTTCAAAGAGGTAGGAGAGTCCTATTCAATATAGTACTGGAAGTCCTAGCCAGGGCAATCAGGCAAGAGAAATAGATCAAAGGCATCCAAATTGAAAAACAGAAAGTCAAATTGTCCCTGTTTGCAGATGACATGATCTTATGCCTAGACAAATCTAAAGACTCCACCAAAAATCTTAGATTTGATAAATGAATTTAATATAGTTGCAGGATGCAAAATCAATATACAAAAATCAGTGGCATTTCTGGCTGTGCTTGGTGGCCCATGCCTATAATCCTGGCATGATTGGGATGCCAAGCTGGGAAGACCGCTTGAGGCCAGGAGTCTGAGACCAGGCTGGACAATATAGGAAGACCCCATCTCATTTTTTTCAAAATTAAAATTTCAGAAATGAGGCAAAGGAAAGCACGAGGAGCCGCTGCCGCCACCAGCACAGCAGTGCCTGGAGCCGGGAAGAGATCCGGGCCGCCACCCCTGCATCCCGCCACCAGCCGCCTGCATCCCGCCACCAGCCGCCTCTGTCCTCGGACCAATACCAACAATCTCTTAAAACACGGTGGATGACTAGGAAGTTCTCGGTGTGCAGAGACATGCCTCACCGGAGGATGTTACAAAGGCATATCAGAAACTGGCCCTGAAGTGGCACCCAGATCAATAAAGAAGAAGCAGACAGAAAACTCAAACAAGTAGCGGAGGTGTTATGAAGGGCTGTCAGATGCTAAGAAACGGGACATCTATGACAAATGTGGCAAAGAAGGATGCACTGGTGGAGGGGGAGGTGGAAGTCATTTTGATGGTCCATTTGATTTTGGCTTCACATTCCGTAACCCAGATGATGTCTTCAGGGAATTTTTTGGTGAAAGGGACCCATTTTCATTTGACTTCTTTTGACGACTTTTTTGGGAATTGAAGGGGTCCCTGAAGAAGCAGACGCCGAGGGATGGGGTCGTTTTTCTCCACATTCAGTGTATTTCCATCTTTCGGAAATGAATTTTCTTCTTTTGATACAGGATTTACTTCATTTGGGTCACTAGGTCAGGGAGACCTCACTTCATTCTCTTCTACATCATTTGGTGGTAGTGGGATGAGCAACTTCAAATCGATATCAACTTCTACTAAAATGGTTAATGACAGAAAAATCACTACGTTTCCTAAGGCCTCCCCAGCCATGCGGAACTGTGAGTCAATTAAACCTCTTTCCTTTATAAATTACACAGTCCCAAGCATTTCTTTATAGCAGTATGAAAATGAACGAATACACTCTCCTTTCTTTTTCACTTCCCCTTTATCCCTCACAACTCCCGCTACTGCCCCCTCCCAACGAACAGGGATTCTCACACAGGTCCTACGGCAGGACCCATGCTTACCAGGCCTCTGGCTCTTTCTCCCAGCTCCAGAATCCCTAGGTCTCATTTTGGAAACAAATTTATGTCTAGCTATTAATAGATAATATTTCATAGCATTACCTCTTTTATGTAATATATTTGCACTTAAATTTGACTTCGAGAGACTGCAAAGAGAATTGTCGAGAATGGTCAAGAAAGGGTAGAAGTTGAAGAAGACGGCCAGTTAAAGCCCTTAACAGTAAGTGGTAAGGAACAGCTGCTGCGCTTGGGTAACAAGTAATTCAATGCATGCTCTTAACAGAAATGTTAAACTGTAGCAAGCATCATTTGAGGATTAACAGGAACTTTTTTTTTTTTGAAGACTTCAAATGAACTCCACTTTCATTATCATTATACCTAATCTAAAGAATTTATAAACAACCCATCAGAACCTCTATTTGTCATAGACTTTTGAGTTTATTGTTGGGACAACATAAAAGGACCATTTTTTTGTCTTTAAAATTATTGTAAATCTCTGTATGCTCTTTGTTTTTTTATTAAATGTACTCCAAGGTGACCCTGACTTTAGTGTAGGAGAAGATTGCACACTAACACCAGCATGGATCTGCTTTTCCATTGTGTCTGAAATGTGAGCTACGTAGTGTCGGTCTGCTGTGAAGTTAACATTGCCAGGACAAATCTTCTACAGAAATAATTTCAATGTTTTTTCAGTATTTAGTAGTGAAAGATATTAATGCATTAATGGTAATACATTTCTGGTTTAATATAAATTAAAAATGGCCGGGCGCTGTGGCTCATGCCTGTAATCCCAGCACTTTGGGAGGCCAAGGCGGGCAGATTACTTGAGGCCAGGAGTTCAAGTCCAGCCTGGCCAATATGGTGAAAGCCCGTCTCTACTAAAAATACAAAAGTTAGCCAGGCGTGGTGGCGTGTGCCTGTAGTCCCAGCTACTCAGGAGGCTGAGGCAGGAGAATCACTTGAACCCAGGAAGCAGAGGTTGCAGTGAGCCAAGATCATGCCACTGTACTCCAGCCTAGGTGACAGAGCGAGACTATGTCTCAAAAAAAAAAAAAAAAAACCTGCACTTGTATGTTTATCACAGCACTATTCACAATAGCAAAGATACGGAATCAACCTAAGTGTCCATCAGTGATGAATGGATAAAGAAAATGTGATACATATACACCATGGAATATTATTCAGCCATTAAAAAATAATGAAATCACGTCTTTTGCAGCAACATAGATGGAACTACAGGTCATTATCTTAAGTGAAACAAGCCAGGCACAGAAAGTCAAATATCACATGTTCTCACTCTTAAGTAGGTTCTAAAAAATGTCCACACATGCAAATTAAGAGTGGAATGATAGACCACGGAGACTGAGAGGGTGCGGGGGGAAGGGTAGATGGTGAGAAATTAGTTGGTGGGTACAACATATGTTATTCAAGTGATGGATACCCCAAAAGTTCTGATTTGACCACTATGCAATCTATGCATGTAACAAAACTGCACATAAACACCATCAATTTATACCAAAAATAAAGGTGGGAGAGGAAGGAGGGGAGCTGCCTGGCTGTGCTTTCTCTCATAGACCGGGGTCAGCATGAATGTCATCTTCCTCCCCAAAATCCAACTATACTAACATCTACACTCACATCTAGTGCATCGCACTTTTATTTTCTTGATTGTACTTATCTAAAATGACCTTTATTATAGAATGTATCAAAATATCTGCTTATATATTTGTTTTCTGCCCCACTAGACAAGAGCAGGAGTTTGGCCTTTACACTAATAGTATCAGTAAGCCACTGAAAGGATTTAAGCAAAAAGTGATATGATCGGCTGGGCACGGTGGCTCACACCTGTAATCCCAGCACTTTGGGAGGCCGAGGTGGTGAATCACCTGAGGTCAGGAGGTCGAGACCAGCCTGGCCAACATGGTGAAACCCCGTCTCTTACTTAAAAATACAAAAATTAGCTGGGCGTGGTGGCAGGCGCCTGTAATCCCACCTACTTGGGAGGTTGAGACAGGAGAATTGCTCGAACCCATGGGGCGGAGGTTGCAGTGAGCCGAGATCACGCCACTGCACTCCAGACTGGGCGACAAGAGCGAAACTCAGCCTCAAAAAAAAAAAAGAAATAAAAGTGGTCTGATCAGATTTGCATTTCAGAAAGAGTATAGTGACCAAACCAAGGGAGGAGCAGCAGGAAGACAGGAAAGTAGAAGGATGCTGGAAAAATAATGGAGTCAGAGTCAACAGACCGGTGACACAACAGACCTGCAGGGAAGCGAAAGAGAAGGAAGTATAGGTCCCGCCCAGCTTGGGGCTTGAGCAGGTGAGTGGTGGCAACTTTCCAGGGGAGATAAGGAACAGGAGGAGGGGCTTCAGGAGAAGAGACTGGCATGTCTTATGCTAGACAGGGTGAGACTGAAGTCCTAGGAGAGATCCTTGGGAAGACCCAGCAGGCAATAAGCATATAATGGTATTATCTACAAGTCAAAACGGGAAGCCAAAACCTATGTTAGGGAGAGATTGCCCAAGTGGGGTGCCCAGGACCGGTCCACCCCGCCCCAACCTCATAGCCGTGACCAACTATTACTGCATCAGTTTGCTACTAAAGCATCAGGAACTAAGGTAGAGGCCATAGGCCTGCCCAAACATGGACATGTTACAAGCTCCAGGGTGTCCCGGCAGCTTGGAAGTTGAGCCCTGTCTCTAGATAAGGCTGATTCTGGGAGAAAGGCTTTCATAGACATTTTATAAGATCCAAAAATTATAGCAGAGTGTCTTCTGTAGAGGGTCTTCCCCACACTGTCAACACTTACCTGCAAATTAGGGCAGGGGGAGGGTGCCTTCTCAGAAGACACAATTTTTCTCTTTACCGTAGGTGTTGGCAAACCTTTTCCCAATTTATCATTTATCTTTTGACTTTGTTTATGGTATTTCTCATACATAAGTTTAATTTTTTTGGTAATCAAATTTATTTTTATTTTTTATTTACTTATTTTTTTAAAATAGAGTTGGAGTCTAGCTATGTTGTCCAGGCTGGTCTTGAACTCCTGGCCTCAGGCCATCCTCCTGCCTCTGCCTCCCAAAGTGCTGGTATTACAGGTGGTAATCAAATTTAAATAATCAAGTATTTTCCGTAGGATTTCTGAGGTTAAGCATGAGGCTCCTAATGTTCAATAAGGTCCCCTTTTTCTTTGTTTTTTTTTATGAGTCAATTCTGAGAATCACACAAGATCTTGAACTCACAAGGACAAGATGGGATCAACAATAACTTAGGCAAAAGATTCTATTTTCTGCAGTAGCCAGGCTGTGGTTTGCCGACTTCACTGAATTTTTTAAAATTCAGTGTTATATTTATTTTAGGGATATTGTTGAGAACGTGCCCTTTTTTTTTAACACCTCTAAGGAAAAAATATTTTTTCAGGCATCACTGATCAAAACTATGCAGTCAGCTTGCTTTCAGTTTTTTGGGCTGTGTGTGTGTGTGTGTGTGTGTGTGTGTGTTTTCTTTCAGTTTTTTGGACTTTGATGGATTGAATTATGTTTGCCTCTTTGCACTGGACACCAGGATGCTCAGATCAAAGTTTTGTTTAACCCTTCCTTTAACAAAAGCTCTCGTCATAACATTTGTGTTTGGGGAATTAATATTTGCTCAAACTTTACATTTTTCTTCTATACTTTTTTGCCTTTCCTTCCAATTTATCTTTTAATTTTTTTAAAAAAATTCAACTTTTATTTTAGATACAGAAGGTACATGTGCAGATTTGTTACATGGGAATATTGCATAATGCTGAGGTTTGGAGTACGAATCTCATCACCCAGGGAGTGAGCATAGTACCTGATAGGTAGTTTTTTTTGTTTGTTTTTTGAGACGGAATCTCACTCTGTCGCCCAGGCTGGAGTGCAGTGGCGTGATCTCGGCTCACTGCAAGCTCTGCCTCCCGGGTTCACGCCATTCTCCTGCCTCAGCCTCACAAGTAGCTGGGACTACAGGCGCCTGCCACCGCGCCTGGCTAAATTTTTTTTTGTATTTTTAGTAGAGACAGGGTTTTACCGTGCTGACCAGGATAGTCTCGATCTGCTGACCTCGTGATCCGCCCGCCTCGGCCTCCCAAAGTGCTGAGATTACAGGCGTGAGCCACCGCGCCCGGCCCCTGATAGGTAGTTTTTTAACCCAACTGCCCTCATCCTTTAGTAGTTCACAGTGTCTGTTGTTCCCATATTTATGTCCATGTGTGCTCAACGTTTAGCTCTCACTTATAAGTGAGACCATGCAGCATGTGGTTTTCTGTTCCTACACTGATTTGCTTAGGATTATGACCTTGAGTGCCATCCATGTTGCTGCAAAGGACATGATTTCATTCTTTTTTATGGCTGCGTAGTATTCCATGGTGTATATGTGCCACATTCCCTTTATCCAGTCTACCATTGATGGGTACCTGGGTTGATTCCATGTCTTTGCTATTGTGAATAGCTCAGTGATGAACATACAAGTGCATGTGTCTTTTTGGTAGAATGATTTATTTTCCTTTGGGTATAGACCCAGTAATGGGGTTGCTGTTCTTTTAATCTTATCTTTGATATGGCAACATGAAGTCCTTTTTGAAAGGGGATGGGAAAGAAAAAGATGGAGAAAGGGTGGAAGAGAAAGAGACAGAAAGAAAGGAGCTAACTATTGAAACATGTAGTTAGCAATCAGATAAATTATTTGTATTACAAAATCACATTTAACTTCACCATGGGTTCCTTTATGTAGAGTTCCCAGAAAACATTACGGTTTTATTTGCTTCATTACAAAACATTCCCCACAGGCACAGTATCTCTTCAACTCATCTGCTGTGCAAAGTGAACTTTATCTGTATTTTAGAATAAAGAAAACGATTCAGCAACATCTGCAAAGTAAAGAACTCAGCTACCTGCTGAACTTGGCAATGACCTAGCCCCGCCCCTCTTGTTGTCTTATTTATTCCAGCTGACATTTTAAAATTAAGTGTTTGATACATGCCAGGCCCACTTCTTTTACGTGTATATTTCTTTTAATCCTCACTAGGAAGAGACTGAGACTCAGAGAATTTACATGCTTCCCCAGAGTAACCCAAGTCAATGGCAAAGTAAAAAATTTCTGTCTCCACTCCCTGGGTGTCTGCCACTATGTCACACTGAATCCTTCATTCCCAAAGAATTCCAGCTATATTCTCAGGACTAATTAGCAAAAATATGCACTTTATACCTGCACAGTCTCCCTCGTTTCTCCTCTCTCCCTCCTTCTTATGTGTGCACACACACACACACACACACACACACACACACGTGGCTTTTAACTATGATGTTTATCTTACTAGGTATAAATCATGTCAAGGTCAAGATTACAAATTTAAATCTTGATCATCTCACACCCATTAGGATGGGCCCTATAAACGAAAACAAAATGACAGTTGTTGGTAAAGACATGGAGAAATTGAACCCTTGTGCCCTATTGGTGGGAATGTAAAATAGCGGCCGCTATGGAAAACAGTTTGGAGGTTCCTCAAAAAATTAAACAGAATTATTGTAATGATTCTGTAATCATCCTACTTCTGAGTATATATCCGAAAAAAATTTAAAGCAGGATCTCAGAGATATTTGCACACCATGTTCATAGCAGCATTATTCACAATAGCCAAGAGGTGGAAGCAACCCAAATGCCCACTAGTGTTCGAATGAATAAAATGTGGTCTATCCATAAAATGGAATGTTATTCAGTCTTCAAAAAAAGATGGAAATCTTGTCCTATGCTAGAACATGGATAAACTTCGAAGACATGATGCAAAGTAAAAGAAGTCAGTCACAAAAAAACAAAAACTCTGTATGACTTCACTTACATGAGATGTTAAAATAGTCAAACAAAGTACAAGAGTGGTCGTAGAATAGAGGCTGGGGAAGGGGAACAGGGATTTGCCATTCAATAAGTGCAGTTTTGCAAGATGAAAAAGTGCTAGAGACCTATTTTACAACAGTGTGCTTATAATTAACACTAGTGATCTGTACACGAAAAATGGTTAAGATGGTAAATTGCATGTTATGCTTGTTTTACCACAATTTTAAAAACACAAACAAAACAAAACACTTCTACAGTCACAGAGACTAATCAGTGCATTAATTTGAGACACTCAGAATTTGACTTTCATGAGAAAAGATTTAAAAATTTGTGTTTGCAAATATAATTAATTTCAATAAAACCACATATTAGAGTAAAATAAATTTAAATCCTGATGAGTTAGATCCTAGTTCAAAAAACTGACTTTATGCAGTAGCTAGGTCAGTTTGCCTGAGACATTAAGCTTTGAAGGGATCATTTGTCCCATCTGTGTGTCTCTCTCTCTCTGTGAAGGGCCTCACCCTGCCTTCACCCCTCCCTTTGCCTCTGCCTGCCTTTGGCCATGATGCTGAGCCAGAGTCAAACGGAACTCCTGCCAGGCACAGGAAGATACAGGGAGAATTCTTCTGGGGGACTTGAGGATCGCAGCAAGAATTGACGTCAGAGCAGCCTCATTTTGTTTGTTTTTTTAAAATTTTTTTTGGAGATGGAGTCTCACTTTGTCACCCAGGGTGGAGTGCAGTGGCGCGATCTCGGCTCACTGCAACCTCTGCCTCCCGGGTTGCAGCAATTCTCCTGCCTCGGCCTCCCGCGTAGCTGGGACTACAGGCGCGCGCCACCACACTCTGCTACTTTTTTTTATTTTAGTAGAGACGGGGTTTCACTGTGTTGCCCAGGCTGGTCTTGAACTCCTCAACTCAGGCAATCCGCCTGCCTCGGCCTCCCAAAGTGCTAGGATTACAGGCATGAGCCACCAAGCCTGGCCCAAAGCAGCCTTGTTTTAAGCAGAGCCCATCAGGAGAAAGTGAGCCCAGCAGCTGCTGGGCTCCAGCCCTCACTGCAATGTGAGGAGACGGTGAGATCATACTCCTCTTGGCATTCTTCTTCCATGATGTGCTGAAATCTGCTGCTGCTCCTCTTCCATTGTCTTTATAAGGATCAGTTTATTCTCTTTTTAAGTTCCTTTACCGTAATTTTGGCAGGGTCTCAAGAGGGAGAGGAGATGAGTGTTCAGAACTCTGCTTTTTCTAAAGTTCTGGTTCTCCTTGATGCTCTGTGTCTGTGCGCGCACGTGTGTATATGTGTGTGTGTGTGGAGTGTATTTCAGGATAAGAGCCTCATTTGATAGGCAAGTGAGTTGTCCCAGAAGCCACTGAGAAACACTGCGTTTTAAAGGCGAAAACCCAACCTTGCAATTAAAGCGGATTGTCCATGAGGTGGCAGATGCTGGTCCTTTGGTGGGAAGGGAGGAGTGATTGGACCTGGGGAGACTACAGGTGCACACTGACTGCCACGCCCAGCTAATTTCTGTATTTTTTGTAGAGATGGGTTTTCATCATGTTGCCCAGGCTGGTCTCCAACTCTTGGCTCAAGTGATCTGCCTGCCTCCACCTCCCATAGCACTGGGACTATAGGCATGAGCCAGAACACCCGACCCTGACAAAATTCTTTTCTTTTTAAATAGACACACCCATGTATGTCAGTTGACCTAAACAGGAACACGTCATACATGCTGTTTTGGGCACCTCAACTACCCTCCCCATCACCACCACCACCGTATGAGGGCCCCATCCCCACACTTCCCATTAGTCATTTATCTCCACAGTCATACAATGCCATACACAACTATGTGCATATACATATATTAAAGTATAAATGAGGGTAGACCCTATTTAATATAAATTGAATAATATTTTACAGACTTTCTTGCATCATGCTTTTTTAAAAATGAAATTCACAGCAAGATATCTAATGTGACTCACATATTCTTTTAAATGGCTGTTCACTATTCATTGATATGGAGGAACCAGAGCTTATCCGGCCATCGCCCACTGATAGGCTTCACTCATTTCCATTTGAGGCCTTTACAGGCAGCACTGATAAACATTCTTTCACTCATATCATTACAAACTTGGTATGTGTGGTATGTTTTTTTCCCATGGGATAGATTCCTAAGAGTCAGATTCGAAGACCAAAGGGTATATGTCGACTGTTCATAAATGCTGCCAACTGTCTCCAAAAAGACCCTTCTGATCCCCATTTCCACCAGCACTTATAGGAGTCCTTTCTTCTCACCCCCACCTGCAGAGACAGGCTTTTTAAAACATTTTTGGTCGGGCGCAGTGATTCATGCTTGTAAATCCCAGCACTTTGGGAGGCCGAAGTAGATGGATCACTTGAGCCCAGGAGTTTGAGACCAGCCTGGGCAGCATGGTGAAACTTCATCTCCACAAAAAATACAGAAATTAGCTGGGCGTGGTAGTGTGCACCTATAGTCTCCCCATGTGTACAAAACTTAGCTGGGCATGGTGGCACGTGCTTGTAGTCCCAGCTACTCAGGAGGCTGAGGAGGAAGGATTGCTTGAGCCCCAGGAGGCAGAGGTTGCAGTGAGCCAAGATCGTGTCATTGCACTCTAGCCTGAGTGACAGAGCAAAACCATCTCTAAATTAATTAATTAATTAGCCATTTTGATTTACACCAAGTAATAACTCATGCTCACTTCCATTGGAACCTTCCTGATTACTTCTAAATTTGACCTTATTTTATTTTTACTTAGTGTTATTTTTGTCAAAGTTCTACATCCATACAGTACGACAAGGTCAAACAAGGACTTCTGAGTGGAGAGGGCAGCTCAAACCCACCCATCTACTTCTGCTTCCTCCTGAAATTCTATTAACATGACAGCAAGGCTGTGTTTCCCACAAGCATAGAGTAATTGACAAATAGGCTTCACTCCCTAAGCTGTGGACTCCTCACATTATTCATTCTATTATTTTGTGGATCTTTTTATGTCTAAAATATTTCATTGTAAAAAGTCTAGGGAGTGTATATCCATATGCTGGAACATTCTACCGCCATAAAAAGGAATGAAGAACTGATAGCATGTTGGAACTGACAGCGTGTTGCAGTGTGGGTGAACCTCACAAACACGATGTCAGTGGAAGAAGCCAGACACAACGTGTGTGGTCCACATGTTCGCCCAGGCCTGGAGGCTCCAGGCAGATGGCAGGGCTGAATCAACACTCTCTGACTCCACGCCCACCTCATGAGGACACCGAGAGCCCTGATTTTCCAGCTGCACCACTGGTTTCCTAATAGGAGCGCGGAAGGTTGTTGCCATTGCGTTCGCCTTGATCCATGGTTCTACGTTCCTGTTGCTTCTGTTCTGTGAAGATGTTTATCCTGTTCCAAGTGTGACTATGGCTGAAGAGAGTTTCTTACACCACTGTTTCAACCAATAAATATTGCCTGTAAAGTTTTTTTGTTTTTTTTTTAAGAGACAGGGTCTTGCCCTTTCACTCAGGCTGGAGTGCAGTGGTGCGATCACAGCTCACTGCAGCTTGCAACTCCTGGGCTCAGGTGATCCTCCCATCTTAGCCTCCAGAGTAGCTAGGACTACAGGTGTGCCCCACCATACCTGGCTTTTTTTTTTTTTTCTTGTAGAGACAGAGTCTTGCTATGTTGCCCAGGCTGGTCTTTAACTCCTGGCCTCAAGCAGTCCTCCTGCCTTGGCCTCCTAAAGTGTTGGGATTACAGACATGAGTCACCATGCCCAGCCAGTAAAATGAATTTTGAAGGCATATTTACAACTGCATACATCTAGCATTTATGCAATTTGTGCAATTATGATGCCACAGTGCAGGTATAATTAGTAAATATATGTTGTTTCTTTGTCTGCCCCACCCCCTTTTTAAACAAGTTTGTCAGATGACTGTTGCTGTGAGCATCCAAAACTACCATTAAGTATACAAAACAACCATCGAAGTTGTTTTCAGTTCTCCAATCAGTATTTTGTTTTTTAAAATGAGGATGTGAGGAAAGTAGAACAGAGGATAATTAGAGGATGGGAAGGGTAGAGGAAGGGGGATAGGATGCAGAATTACAGCCAGATGAAAGAATAAGTTCTAGTGTTCTATAGCACTGTGGGATGACTATACTTAACAATAACATATAGTTTCAAATAGCTAGAAAGAGGATATCAAACGTTCCCAACACAAACAAATGACAGTTGTTTGAGATGGTCCATATGCTAATTACCCTGATAGGATCACCATACATTAAATGTTTCAAAATATCACCATGTACCCCATGAATATGTATCATTATTATTTACCAATTAAAAAATAAAAATAAAATGAAGATGTGAGAATTTTTGGGGCATGGAAATGTTCTGTATCTTGATTGTGGTGGTGATTATGCAATTGTACCTACCTGTCAAAATCTGCAGAATGGTCCGCTAAGAACAGTAAGTTTTTCCTTATGTACATTAAATTTTAAAAAGTGAGTGCCTGTAATCCTAGCACTTTGGGAGGCCAAGGCAGGAGGATTGCCTATGCTCAGAAGTTTGAGATCAGCCTGGCAAACACGGTGACACCCTGTCTCTACCCCCCACCCCCCTCTACACACACAATAAATAAATAAATAATGGAGAAAAATAATAGTTTTCCCATGTGCTATCTCCAAGTTACAATTCTGACCCGGTTGTGAAATTCAAGTTTCTCTGAGGGCCCCCCCAAATAACCCACCCTGTCTCTGCGATGGGATTTTTTGTTTGGAAGAAAGAGGAGGACAGATTTACATTTCAGAGCCTTTTCAGAAAGAGAGTATCTGTTGCCTCCTTCCTCTCCCCGTCTCCTTCCCAGTCCCCTAGGAAGCTGATCTGACACTCAACCTCAAATTCCTCTCCCTTGACTATAAAGAACAGTTTAGCCCTCCTTGGCAATGTGTTCTCAAACTCACATACCAGGCGTGGTCGTAATTGCAAGTGTTAAATGTGGTCGCAAACATGGCTTTAAAAATCATGTTACAAGCCATCTTTGTTGGTTTGAATGGCATTGAAACAGGTCACGTTTGTTGTTCCTTATGGAGCCATCAGGGCCTTGGAGCCGAAGGGTATGGAGGGAGCTTCTGGAATACTGGTGCTTCTCTGTGTTAAAAACGAAACAAAACCTTGCCCCCTCTGCCCTCTCCTGTATCCTCCACATCTCTCGGTGATGATGAATTTATAGGTCAACTTGGCCGGGCCATGGTGCCAATATTTGGTCACTTTCGCGAGGGTGTTTTTGGATGCGATTGTGATTAACATTTACATTGGGGGACTTTGGGTAAAGCCCCTTGCCCTCCATAGTACGGGTGGAGTGGGCCTCATCCATTGAGTTGAAGGCCTCACTGGAATAAAAGCCCGAGGAGCAAGACGGAATCTGCAGCAGTTGGCCTTCGGGCTGGAACTGCACCATGGACTCTTCCCTGGGTCTCCAGCCTGCTGTCCTACCTTGCAGATTTTGGTCTTGCCAACCTTCATAACCAGTGAGTCAGGCCCTTGTAACAAATTTCTTTATTTACACACATCCTATTGGCTCTGTTTCTCAAGAGAGTCCCAATACAGAGCCTTCCCACTAGTATTTAAATATGCTCAAATCTGTCCCACCTTAAAAAAAAATCCTTCCTCAAGCCCATATTCCCTCTGCTTATCATCTCTCTTCACTCCCCTTCAGGGCCACATTTTGCAGAAAGGGCTGCTGTTTTCCCGTTGTTTTACCTCTTCACACTCTCAGAGCACCCTAGTCTAACTCCCATCTCCAGCAAGCTTCCAAAAGGGCAGCTGTTAAGATGAATGATTTCCATGTTGATGAAACCAATATGTGCCAGACAGTCCCTCCTTTCCATTGATCTTGAAACACGTGGCTTCACAGCTCTTGAAAAATGCTCTTCTCAGGGCCTGGTTTTCCTCTTGCTGTCTGGCCTTTTCAACTTCCTTTTAGCTTCTCCTCTGCAAATCTTTCCATGTTGGAGTTCTCTGGGCTCTTCCTAGACCTTCCTTTTTCTCTCCACCCCCTCCCCCAGCCCCAGGTCATGTTATCCATTTTGCGGCTTCACCTACCACTGGTTGCTAATTAAGTCCAAAGTCTCTCTCAGCCAGGTCTCTATTCTGAGTTCCCGACTCTTGTATCCAATGGCGCAGTCAATGCTTCTGCATGGCTGCCTGACACACCGCTCCCACCCTCCTTCTGGACCACCAGACGCTGTCCCTCAAGAAATGCAACTGTAATTCCGAAGCAAGCTAGGTGTGTCCTTTGACACTCTGGGGTGACATATCCCGTCATTCATCCCATCTTACCGATTGTACTTCCTGGATATTTCTCAAATCCATCTTTTTTTCCCCCATCTCCACCACAAATTTAGTTTTAAGCCACTGTAATAACTTCCTCCTAACTGGTCATCTCATACCTATGCTTGTCTGTCTCAATTTCATTCTCTAAGTTTAAAAGAGTGGCCAGGTATAGTGGCTCACGCCTGTAATCCCAGCACTTTGGGAGGCTGAGCAAGGCATGCAGACCACCTGAGGTCAGGAGTTTGAGATCAGCCTGGCCAACATGGCGAAACCCTGTCTCTACCAAAAATTAGCCTGCGTGGTGGTGGGTGCCTGTAATCCCAGCTACTTGGGAGGCTGAGGCAGGAGAATCGCTTGAACCCCGGAGGCGGAGGTTGCAGTGAAACGAGATCACGCCACTGCACTCCAGCCTGGGTGACAGAGCAAGACCGTGTCTCAAAGAAAAAAAGAAAAAAAAAAGAGTGCTCTTTGGTCTTTTAATAATGCAAACCTAAAAACCTAAGCCTGTTGTTCCCCTATTTAAAACTCTCTAGTGACTTCCCAAAACCCTTTGAATAAAGTCTATAATTGTCGATGTGGCCTCCAAGGCCCTTCCTAATCCATATGCTGTCTCTCCAAGTTCTCCCAGCTCTCGGTGTCATCACTGGCTGTCTTTCAGCGACGCTCCTGTTCTTTTTGACTTTGAGAGCATTTGCTGTTCCCTATTCTTGGGAAGTTCTTCTCCACCCTTTCCCCTGGCAGCTCACAGCTTCTCAGCTTTCAGGGCTTGGTTTAAAGGCCGCTTCAGCTAAGTCCCCATTTTATAGGTTCTCATAATTCTGTCTCTCCTTAACACTTACCTTAATAATGTATGCAATTATTTATCTGTTTACTCTTTCTGCTAGACAGAAAGTTCCATGTCCATGTTTGATCCAGTCACAGATGACATTTATCTTTCCTTTTGGCAACCCAGCATCTGAACTTCTTTCTAGGCTGGAAGAATCAACCACTTTATGAGTCCTGGTGGGCGTGGAGGGCAGGAGGGCAAAGGACCATCCCCAGCTCCACTCACTTTTCCAGCCTCTCTTGCAGGCAGGACACCAGCAAGCCCCCAATCAGGCACATCCAGAGAGATGTGGGCTCAAGAACCAGTAACACAAGAGGAAAGGGTAGGGAAACTCACTTCCTTCCTTTGGGCAGAAGGAGGAGGGGGGTGCTCCAAGGGTGCGCTCCTGGGGAGAAGCGCTTTGGTGCTGGCAGCAGCAGTGGCTGCAGAGTGAGGTTCTGGAAGAGAAAGTGGAAAATGTGGCGCCTGGTGTCTGGGGGTCTCTACCCTTCAGTAGAGTGGTTCTCCAGCCCTTGATTATTCCATCGGCTTGTAATACAGTTTTTAATAGACCTTTATGTGCATCAGGGCCAGGCTATAACAGAATAGCAGGCTATAAACCACAGTGGAGTCCTGGCATGTAGTAGGTACACAATGAATATCTGCTGGTTAAAATAATGCATGGAACAACGGGGTCCTAGGTGCTTTTGTGGACTGAAGATCCCTTATTCTTACATGAATTTTTAAAACTCACAACCATCTTCCATTTAAATGGCAAAAATCACAAATGTGAAACCAAAGAAAACACTGTTAGTTGATGTTGGAAATGCCTTTAAGATTGCGTTCACTGCATTAATACGTGATTTGTTTTCCTAATAAAAAAGAAAACCACATCCATCAAAGAACAAAAAGGTGGCCTGGCAACCAGGGACTGTGTGTTATGTGAAGGCTGGTTCACTTGGAGGGGAGGGCTACCTCGCTACAGACACAAACCCAAAGGAATTCAAAAGCTGCTCTGTAAGAATGCAGAGCAGAGACATGTTTCCTTTACTGAACACTAATTTTCTCATCTGTAACACTGAAACAGCTGCTACTGCAAATGGGCGTGGTGAGGATTAAAGAATGTAAGAGCTCAAAATTCAAGGTCTGCCCCACAGTAAGGGCTCCCTGAACATTTCCATATTTCCTTCCTCCCTTTTTTCCTTCTCACTCAAAACAGTGATTTGTTTATTAACTCACATGTCGAACACGGCAGTGTTTAAGAAACCAGTGATACCGACAGTTTTTTCATGCAATACATTCTCACCCTGACTTACAGCCCCCAAAATATGGATTCTTTGGCAGGAACATTTATAGCACTTACAAAAAGCACAGATGATATTAAAAATAACTTTCGGAAATGGCTGAAATGCATATGGATTTTTCTTTTACAGATTTATTCATAATGCTGAACCTAGAGGATGCCCAAATGGATAGTTTAAAGCTCAAAATCTAACTTCACACCAGGATTATTAGAATTACCAAATACACATAGAACAAAATATGCCACACTGACAACACTGTCTAGTGTTTGATTCTGTTATTTCTCAAATCTGCCACTAAAACTGCTATTTTTTTTTTTTTTTTTTTTTTTTTGAGATGGAGTCTTACTCTGCTGCCCAGGCTGGAGTCCAGTGCGTGATCTCAGCTCACTACAACATCTGCCTCCTGGGTTCAAGCGATTCTCCTACCTCAGATTCCCGAGTAGCTTGGATTACAGGCATGCACCACCATGCCCGGCTTATTTTTATATTTTTAGTAGAGAAGGGGTTTTGCCATGTTGGCCAGGCTAGTCTTGAACTTTTGACCTCAAGTGATCCACCCGCCTCGGCCTCCCAAAGGGCTGGGATTACAGGTGTGAGCCACCACACCTGGCCCAGTATTTTTAAGACTACTAATTATTGCAGTAGTTAATGATTTGGTTAGAAGTTGTGATTTTCATGATATAAACTGATCCTAAGGTACTGTTTTGGAAATATTAAGAAACCTCAGATGCTTGATTTAAAAAGAAAGGCTGGTTCCTGAAAAGTGCTTTTGCTTTGAATTGGCATCCTGACTCTAATCTATTAATGCTGTGATAGAGGTGAGTTGTTTAACAACACTGAGCCCAGGTTCCTACATCAGGAACTATCTATTAGGACTGCTAGTAACTAATAGCCACTTTTGATGCTCAGCACAAAGTTCTCAACAGATGCAGCTTTTCTCAGCAGGCAGTAGAGGTAACTTTTCAGGAACACTGGTAAAAAAGCCTCAGGCTCTCCACACCTTTCTCTGAAGGCTGAATTTTAGTCTAACCCTTCCGATGTCCAGCCATCTCATTTCAGGTCATTGAAGGCAACCCCAGCCTGTAGACAATGCTATATGGCTAAAATTAATCACCATTCCATGTTTGATGTCATGCCAGCCAGCCCTGTAGTACAGGCTGGGTATATCCCTTGGGACCCGAAGTGCTTTGGATTTCAACGATGTATTGGATTTTCAAATATTTGCATTATACTTACCATTTTAGCATCCCAAATCTGAAAATCTGAAATCCAAAATGCTCTGAAATCCATAGCTCACTGCACCCTTGACTTCCCAGGCAGGCTGTGATCCTCCTGCCTCAGCCTCCTGTACCAGGGACTACAGGCATGCGCCACTGAGACTAGCTTTTTAGCTTTTGTAGAGATGGGGGTCTCACCATGTTGCCCAGTCTGGGCTCAAACTCCCGGCCTCAGGCAATCCTCCCACCTCGGCCTCCCAAAGTGCTGCGATTACAGTTGTGAGCCGCTGTGAGCAGCCATTAATTTTCAGTAGGTATTTTTAGCATGCATTATGCGACAAGCCTGGGGCCAATTCTGGGATACAGTTGGGAAGACACAGCACTTACCTAGAGGAGCTCGAGCTACAAAAGAGCCAAAGACAATTCTCATTCAGGGTGACTGGTGCTGCAATGGGGGAAGTGCCGGGTGTTCCGGGAGATCACAGGAGAGGCTTCTAGCCCAGGTAGGAGAGGGACATGTGGCAGATGTCAAGGAAGTTTTCTCAGAGGAAGTGACTGCCAAACTGAGCCCTGAAAAATGAAGCTGGAGGGAGGGCTATCCCTGGCAGGGAAAACAGCACTTAGGGAAAACAAGGTTACAGGAGCATGAAGTTAGGCTGACTTCAGTGGGGTGGGAGTCGGGGACAGCCACGGTCCAATGAAGCTAGAGATCAGCAGGCCTGGCAGCCACTTTGGGAACTTGAACTTGGTCCCCAAGACAATGGCGAACCGTTTAAGGATTTCAAGGGACACCATGATCAGATTTGTAATTTAGGACAATGACTGTGGCTGCTGACAGAAAAGTACAGAGCCACAGAACTCAGCTAAGGAAGCCCTGGGAAGGAGGCAGTCAAGGGCTCTGGGGCCTCAATTAGGTAGTGCAAGGTAGGAAAGGTCGGTGACACTGAGTGGTGTTTTGAAGGTGGAATTAACAGGTCATGGTGACTGACCAGATGTAGAAGGAAAGGAAAAGAGTAATTGGCAAGCTTCTGGTTTGGGCAACTGAAGGCACCCTTGCACCATTCACAGACACCATAAAACAATGGGCACCTGGAAGAAAAGAGGAAGCAAGAGGCGGGGAGTTCTGGACGTGTAGTTTGAAATGGCCACGGACATTCAAATGGCCATGTCTTAACAGGTAGCTGGACACATGGGTCTGGAGTTCAGGAGAGATCAGAGTTGACTACAGTCGTGGGCATCATTCTCATACACCCGAGGACCAGTGAACTGCATCTTGGCTGCGCATCAATCACTTTTGGAGCTTTTATTAAAAACTGCGTTTCTTTCCTTACCAAGTATGTCCATGATTTTTCCTTACTTCTACTAAGAGTGGGAGTAGCGGACAGGACATTATGTAAGTGGAGTAGGGGTAAAATTCACTGAGATTGAGCTTTTATTTTTGCAGAGCATTTTGAAGAATGACGTAAGACCCAGAGGAGGTGTATCTTTTCCTGAGTGGCAACCAAATAATTTCTGGTAGGATTTGTAGTCCCTCTTCTCTCACACAAAGTTTCCAAGTCCATTTCGCTGGGACAAACTTCAAACTGGCATTTCAAAGTCTAAGAACTGACTAGCAGCTTAACCATCAATTACTGCTTATTCAAAATCCTTTGTTATTTCAGTTATTTATAGGACTTGCTATTGTCCATTCACTTCTGATGACTCTGTTGTCCCCACTGGAGAAATAAGTTCTTGGCAAGACTGATTTTCTCTTGATTTGAATTTATAAATTGCCTAATTTCATGACCTTAAAGTTTGTATTTTTACCACTAGGTCAGAAATAGTAACAGATGAAGTAAAGGACGTGGTAATCTTTACAAACTCTTTCCTCCCCTCTAAAGATTTCATTACATTTTATAATTAGTTTATAAATGTGGTAATACTCTGAACTTCACACCTCTCATGAAGCAGTGGTGTAAGAAATAATTCAAGGGCTAAAATACGTAAAAGCAAAAACATCAAGAATGGGGCCCACTGGCTTCCTGAAGATTAAGTTTTGAGATGTGGAATCTCAGCTCACCTAAACCCAGAATTTAGATTTTTTTCTCTGCATTCTGTTCCATTATCTTGGTCCATTTACATTTTTGATCCACTACCAAACCTAAAGTAATATTTATAAAATGTCCATAGTGTCTATTCCTCATTCACCCATTCTTTTTTTTTTTTTTTTTTTTTTGAGACAGGATCTCGCTGTTGCCCAGGCTAGAGTGCAGTGGCACAATCATGGCTCACTGCAGTCTCAACCTCCTGGGCTCGAGCAGTCCTCCCACCTCAGCCTCCCAAGTAGCTAGGACTACAGGTGTGTGCCACCATGCCCAACCAATTTTTTGTATTTTTTGTAAAGATGGGGTTTTGCCATGTTGCCCAGGCTGGTCTTGAACTCCTGAGCTCAAGCAAGCCTCCCGTCTTGGCCTCCCAAAGTGCTGGGATTACAAGCATGAGCCACTGCACCTGGCTCCCACTTTTTTTAGACACGGTGTTGCTCTGTCACCCAGGCTGGAATGCAGTGGCACAATCCTAGCTCACTGCAGACTTGACCTCCTGGGCTCAAGCAATTCTCCCTCCATCAGCTTCTGAATAGCTGCAACTACAGGCGTGTGCTACCATGCCTGGTTAATATTTTTTAGTAGAGAAGGAGTCTTCCTATATTGCCCAGGTTGGTCTCAAATTCCTGGGCTCAAGCGATCATTCACCCATTCCTAATCCTGCTTTTTACCCTGAACCATAATTTACTAACAGCAACTGCAGAATTAAAAGGTCCACAGAGAGCACCTCGGGCAGCCCCTTGGCTTGACACAGGAGACAGCTGAAGCTCAAAGCATCATGTCGCCCAGGCTGTGAAGCAGCAGAGCCCAGTCCACCTGCCTGGTGCTTCTGGCTGCACTGGGGAATGAAGGCAGGAGCCATTGTAAGGCTTTGAGGATTTCAGCATTAGTTCCCGTCTCCTTCCAGAGGAGATACTGATGGGAAACAGCTCTGTCTTCCTTCAGCATCGACCACCGCCTCCTCCTCAAACATGGAGAAAGTGGAGCCACCAGACAGGGGTTTCATCACTTTCCATTTCTAACTCACCCCTTCTCATGTCTTCATTTCCTGTCATCAATGTCTGGGTTTTGTAAACTCCACCTTTCTAAGGCTCACCCTCCCTGAGTGCTTAATTACATTTCCTTCCTCTCCGGGAGGGAGTACGTCCCACTCTTCCATTACTGATCTGCTCCCTCCGTAACGCTAATATCTCCCTTTGCTCTCTCTCCTTAGCCTACACATTGGCCCCTCTATATTCCCAACCTAAGCCAACAATCCTACTATCCTGTCTCCTCTTCAGAAACTCCCCCCTTGTTTTCTTAATCATGAAGTTTATTCAAAAAAGCCAACACTTCTTGCTATTCATTCATTGACCCAACACAATCTTATCCAGGATCCCTCTTTCACTCCTACAGAAAATGCTCTTGCAAAGATCAGCACAGATCTGACTGCCATATTCCAAAGCTTCTCGATTCATCTTACTTAACCACGAAACATGTCAGGCTTGGTCACCTCCTACTTTTGGGGTTTCTGTGATACCAACAATTTCACCTAGAACTTCTCTTCTGCTTAGCCTTCAAATTTTGGGCTTCCCTGTTGTTTGAGTAACTTTCTTCCTTGCCCATTGTCCAATCTTTAAACATCATATAAATATATAATGCATGGGTCTGATTGTGTTTTACTTCCACTCCAGACCCTTCTCCTGGGTTATAGTTCTATTTAATAAGTGTCCAATCAGAAGGCCCTCAGACATTTCATGTTCAACGCACTCAAAACTGAAATCCTCCCTCTTTGCTCCTACCACCCCATTTCTTCTCCTGTCCTCCTTTAACTAATGGGATCAACCCATGTTTTCGGGCCACACACACAAAGGAATACACACGCCTTCGTCTCTAAGTCACTTTCTGACCAGTTTACTTCCGCTTTGTTTCTCATACGTATCCTGGCCCACCACTGCCAACCTCAGGGTGACAGCCCAGGACAGGCCCTAGCTCCTCGCCTAGAGAACTGATTGATCTCCTCTGGTACTCTCTCACCAGATGGCTTGACTGTCTAAAATTTACATCTTAAATCACCTCCTGGTTTAAAAGAAGTAAACCCAGCTAACTATATGATGAAGTGTGACCCCTGGGAGGGCACACACATTTCAATTAGGTTCAGTACTAACCTACATTTTTCAGTTTCCTCTGTATCCATCCTGTTTTCCAGGCACGTGGAACTTCCAGTTCCTTCTGGATCCACTTTCACTGGTGTCCCACTGTCATTTCCATCAGGGCACACTCTTCTTCTCTCCTGTACTTCCTGAGCACTCCTCCCGTGAGCGCCCTCCTGCCACTACCTGGAGGCAAATGCTCTGAATGCCACAGTCCCGAGGCACTCACGAATGCTCACACTGCGGTGACTGTCCCCACAGAACACCGTTCACACCCTGAGCACTGTTAGGAACTCCACTGCTGGGGAAGCCAGATGACTGGAAGGCTGTGTGTAGGCGAGGAGGCCTCATCGCCTGAAACTCCCAGGCAACAGGTGCGACAGAAAAATGATATACTGACAGGAAAAGTTTTGTGAGAGCTTTAATGGCACAAAATGTTTATAGCTACAAGTTATACATGTATTGTAAACTGTATATAACGATACAAAGTGCTAACTAAAATAGATGAAGAATGCATAATCACTTTGGCTCAGTTAATTCCAATAATTTCCACAACGGGTTCATGAAAAAACTTATCTGACTGGCTAAGTCTTCAATTCTCATTTTTTTAGAATAGTAAATATTTTTACTGCAATCACGGGAACTTGTTGCACTTTCCAATGTGCAAGTTTGTGCAGTTTTGCTCTTGATTCTATTTACAAACATCTTGAGCCAGTTTTCATCAAACATATGAAAAATGAAGCCTGCCTTTTTGTCCCCAAATTGTAAACAGGTGTAAAGCTTTTTAAACATTAACCTCACAATTTCAACTATTAATTGTTGAATTCTCCTTTCCAAACCACAATGTTTTCGTTCAACACAAATCTGGGTGTAGCAGTAAAACGTTCATCCCATGTGTTAGGGCTACAGATACATACTACATGCTCTCATAATAAATTCTACTGTGATGATGTATTCACGTTTTAAGTAATTTTCCATAATTTCACTGATGCTTTAAGAAAAAGGGCAACACTATGTTTCTTTTTAACGCTGAAAGAAATCATAAATATACCCAGTTTCAGTGGCACCACTGATAGAACTGCTGCTGAACTTGGAAAGAGCACAATGCACTAGCTGTAAGAAGTCACTTTCAGGTAAAGTGTAATTTTACTTTTCCCCCCTGTAATACCAATTGTAATAGAAATTGCATACTGTAGCAGTTTAGCTAGTCAGTTCTCCTAACTTTCCAGTCTTTCCAATTTTATTCAGGCTTTTCAAAAATCAGTGAGCCATCAGATTTACTTTCTTCCCAAAGAAATTCAAATATGAACACTTGAAATAAATAGGTTATAGAAGGCAAATCAAGTGTTACCAGGTTTAAGAGTAAGACAGAAACATGGTCTAGGAAAAAGATGTCCAAAATTATTTAGACATCAAATGCTAGAAAGAAAAAAGAAAATTACTTTCAAAACTAGGATATATCATCTTTCTTAAAGATAGCCAGCTATATTCTTGAAAAAAGATAAAAATTTTGTTTAATCTATATGTTATTTTCCACTATAACACATCAATTTTACAAATGTTGATGTGAGAAAAGAGTTAGTTTCTGCAAACTGGCAAACCTGTCTGTCATAGTGTTTTTATTCAAGTTGACCTGGTGCACTTTATAGATTGCTAGTTTTAAAATTAACAACGGTTCTCTAAATAGTCAATATCAATGTCTATATCATAAACAGTAATTATTTATATATAAAACATGTGGTATCCTTCAGAGTCATGCTAGATGTTCTGAAATCCAAGAAAATCTACTCGAGATAACTGGTCATCCTGATGCTTTCTAACAATTTGGTCCTAAAGCTTCACATTTTAGAAATGAACGAACAAGTATATCACTGAAGGAATCTGTTGAGTGTTCTGAACTTTAAGAGTTTACCATAACTGAAAAGACAGCTACATGAGAAAATGACCAGTGCCTGCAGTCGCAGGAATCACCTTGGGAAGACTGTACAGTAAACATTATTCAGTGAGAGATCAGAAGGAAACAAATGGCATCTTTTCAGAACGCTGTCAACTGTTCCCACAACCCAAGTCTGTTTTTCCAAGTTGCACAAGTGCTTGGAATAACTCTGAAACAATTCTCTTCAGAGTTTAAAGGCTTCAGAGTATAGGTGATGCTTCCTAAAACAAGAAGCCTGTATTAACATCACAAATTGGAACTCATTCCAAAGCCTCTTCTTAGAGAAAAAAAAATAAAGAAATAAAAAATAAAAAATGTAAAGAAGGTCATGAAAAATTCACATGCAGCTAATTATCGTAAAAAATATCAAACACACACGCAAAAATCTCAAAAAGCAATTTCATATATTTCTAAGCCTGAGACGTTCCTTATCAGAAAGAAAGATTCTACACCATAGAAAAGACAGCATTACAACATACTAGTATGAAAATCTGCTGATGTATTTTACTTCTTATTCTATTTCATACCTATCATTTATACAGTTTGCCTCCTATAAATTAAAAGACGCTATTAGGAGGCTTAGACAAAAAAGTGGCTCCAAAGCTGGTTTAAAATATTTTTTTTATTGCCCAGGATATTTTTTTGTTGTGCCTTGCCTTTTTTTTTTGTTTTGTTTTCTTTTTAATAACTATCAACTCAAACTTAGGGAAACTTGCCTTTGTCTTGGGGGAAAAAAAACAACTAGACAATAAAGCTTCTTTTACATCATTTGCTAACCTGATCTCGTTTTAAGAGAGAGATGGTAGTTATGTTGCAAGAGTAAAATTTATACCATGAATGATACAGGTCTAGTCTGGTGGCACTAATTAGAGATAATAGCATTGCTGACAAAATTATAATCTGCTGGTGGCATTTGCGGAAAAGAAGCCCTTGCAAATTTCTAAACAACAGTAAACTCTGTTAGGAAATTCTAAAATGTCTTCAGGCCAAAAAGGGTATAAGGTTAGTAAAATGCCTCAACAGAGTTTGAATAAAATATTGAATTTGAGAGTTACTGGAATTGGATATGTAAAAACAGGGTGGTAGGTTGGGTCATGCTTACAATGGTCTCAAGTTCAAATAAGCTACTGTGACAATACACCACTTCACAGGTCACACGCATTTCCAGGGGCTTTTCCTTTCCCTCAGTAGGTGCTGGCAGAGGGTGTGCTCAGTCGCTTTCCAATATAGATGCTGAAAGGAAGCAGAAGCATCATGTTTCACCTGTTTCAACAGTTCTATACCAGCTTGTCCACAGGTTGAACTCTACTTAAAACTCTTCAGTCTTTGTAAAAGGCTCTAAAGGTTTGTGGGTACCGCTCCCCAAACACCGTGAAATCATCACTGACTTTCTTAAAACCAGTCACCAGCCCGGCCAAACTGGTTTTATATGAGTTTGTTTACTCATTAAATATCGGGGCTCGACAGCAAAGGGGTAGTGATTAGACAAAGTAAAGCCAGAGAGAACAGATCCCTCCACAGAGTAAATAAAGCAGCCCAACTCCTTCAAGATGTTCCTCTTTGGTGGACAGAAGGTTCTACTGACATTTCAGACACAAAAATATAGTAATATGTGAAATTATTCTGGTGCTCTATGTAGGACAAAAGAAAAAAAAAACCTTAAAAGCTGCCAGTGCTTTAAAGACAGCTCTTACTAATAACTCCTAAGGATTAGGGGCCTTATAATACTTTTTCATGCCAAGAAAGTATTTGGCCTCTTCAACAGCAAAAGCAGAAGGGAAGTTAAGGAAAGTATGTAACTAGCTTCACCTCCAGTGCAATTAAAGCAACGAACTTTTTAAACACTCTTTTTACATTCATCTATAGCAATAGTTATACTTACAGCCAAGACAAACAATCTGAAGATGACTGAAAGAGAGACGGCAAGGTATAGACACCAATCGCTTAAGGGCAATGAACTGCTGTATAGGCAGCAATGTATTAAACTCCTACACCTGCCCCACATCAACCCCCACGCAACAGTCACACAGTCCCCTTCTGCACAAACCCCTTCTAGGTTGCTGTTTGTTGATTACTGTCCTTGCCCTCACAAAAGCAGATCAAGCACCCAAGAGAGACAAGACGGGTGTGTGGAAAGCTGTATGCAAGTTTCTGAGGTCGTGACTAAGAATCTCTCTCCAATATGCTGAGCTCCTTAAAGGGAAGAAAAAGGATGACCCCATCTTCTGCATATCTTATACTGAAAATGACCCACTGGGCATGCTTAGAGCACAACATACGTCTTGAAAAAAATTAACAGCTACTGTTTAACTCCTAAAATCTTTCAGAAGTGTAATTCCTCAATTGTTTAAATCAAGGAAAAAAAGCAATTTATTTAAAAGATGTGGCTAAGAAACTAATGAATTACACGTAAATATGAGGTTGATTTTAGCAAAATAAATGAAAATACTACAAAGTTAAAAAAGGAAAAAATTAGCACCAATCAACCTACCAGTTTCATTAAAAAAAACTATTCAATGTAATCATGTATTTTCCCATATGAAAAAAAGGTATTTGCACTGACCACAAAATGTACATGCTAAAGATTAGTTTAGTTCATAAATTACTCAAGATTAAATATTACACAACAAAACCCAAAAAGAAAAATCAATCACAGAGGAGTCCGCTTACATTTGATCATTTAGGGGATTATTATGAACATCTTCTTTTTTTTTTTTTTTTTTCCGAGATGGAGTCTCACTCTATCCCCCAGGCTGGAGTGCAGTGGCATGATCTCGGCTCACTGCAATTTCCGCCTCCCATGTTCAAGCGATTCTCCTGCCTCAGCCTCCCAAGTAGCTGGGACCACAGGCATGTACCACCATGGCCAGCTAATTTTTGTATTTTTAGTAGAGACCGGGTTTCACCATGTTGGCCAGGCTGGTCTTGAACTCCTGGCCTCAGGTCATCCACCCATCTTGGCCTCCCAAAGTGCTGGGATTACTGGCATGAGCCACCACACCAGGCCAAACATCTTATTTTCAAATAAGAAAACACACTCTACTATTATTAAAAATGCTTATTTGTAGAACAATTGTGCACCCACTTTTTTAAGTTCACCTTATTTGCACTAAAACATTGAAAGTAAAGCAATAAAAACTGCTTTCACATACATTTCTTCAATCTGAAAATAAGAGGATAAAATGAATGGAAAAAACTTCAGGAGTTGACCGGTACTTACCCTAGCCCCAAAGCCAAAACATGAGAAAGGAAGAGAGATGGAATGAACACCTTCAGAAATTCTGCGGAGAAAATACCCCCTTTCTTCATGGCTCCACTTTTCCTCATGCTTAAAGACACAGAACGTTTAGGGTGTCTGAAGTGGAACTCCCTGAGAAAGAAATTCAGAGGCAGATGTCATTTGCTGAAAATATCGTGGGGATTACCAGGCCCATTGCCTGTAAGCGTGCGCAGATCAACTGTGTCCACTGACAAGAAACATGTGAGAACTCACTTGGGTGGAATGTTTTCGGGTCTACTGGACCAGTCTGATACCCAGTCCGCACTTTTCTTCAAAGCCTCGACTTCCTTCTCTCCTTCTACAACTTCTTCTTCTGACTGTAAAGAAGAATTCAAACTTTAAGAAAAAAAGGAAGACCAATTCCTCCTAATACAAAGAAAAATCTAGACAGAAAAGATACCAAACTCATAAGGTTGTGTCTCAGAAATTTTAGATAACAAACATGTTGCTTTTCTAAAAAATGCTGAAAAATAATGTAAGATCAGAGTATGTAATATCTTCAGAACAACCTGAGTGAGCTTCACTGTTGGGATATCTAAGCACAGCACAGGAACTGCATAAGACTGTACTTTGGGATGTAATGCTAAGGGAAGTATGAAAAACCTCGATAAGAGTTAAATCTGGGCAATACTTACATGGAGGTCCATTATATTATTCTCTCTTGTATGCACTTAAAATTTTCGTAATTAGGCCGGGTGCAGTGGCTCATGCCTATAATCCCAGCACTTTGGGAGGCTGAGGCAGGCGGATCACTTGAGGTCAGAAGCTGGAGACCAGCCTGGCCAACATGGTAAAACCCCGTCTTTACTAAAAAAAAACACAAAACTTACACGCTGGGTGCGGTGGCTCACGCCTGTAATCCCAGCACTTTGGGAGGCCGAGGTGAGCGGATCACAAGGTCAGGAGATCGAGACCATCCTGGCTAACACAGTGAAACCCTGTGTCTACTAAAAATACAAAAAAATTAGCTGGGCGTGATGGCGGGCACCTGTAGTCCCAGCTACTCGGGAGGCTGAGGCAGGAGAATGGCGTGAACCCAGGAGGCGGAGCTTGCAGTGAGCAGAGATCGCGCCACTACACTCCTGCCTGGGGGAAAGAGCGAGACTCCGCCTCAAAAAACAAAACAAAACAAAACAAAAAAAAATTAGCCGGGCATGGTGGCGGGCACCTGTAATCCCAGCTACTTGAGAGGCTGAGGCAGAAGAATCGCTTGAGCCTGGGAGGTGGAGGTTGCTTGAGCCTGGGAGGTGGAGCCGAGATCCAGCCACTACACTCCAGCCTGGGTGATAGAGTGAGATTCCATCTCAACAAAAAAAAGAAAAAAAAAAATTTCATAATTAAAAAAATAAAAGGAAATAAAAGGATATGCTAAAAATAAAATGATGAGAAGTAAAACAAAAATAAGTGAGAGATGTGATGAGGAAATAAATAATAGTATTTATTGAGCACTTAAAGGGGCAAATATTATTCCAAGCATGTTACATGCATTTTTTTTTTTTTTCTGGAGACAGGGTCTCCTGTGTCACCCAGGCCAGAGTGCAATCACAGCTTACTGCAGCCTCGAACTCCTGGGCTCAATTAATTCTCCCACCTCAACCTCCCAAGTAGCTGGGACTACAGGTGTGTGCCACCACGCCCAGCTAATTTTTGTATTTCTTTAAAGAGACAGTGTTTCACTATGTTGCCCAGCCTGGTCTTGAACTCCCGGGCTCAAGGGATCTTCCCTGCCTCAGCCTCCCAAAGTGCTGGGATTACAGGTGTGAGACACTGCACCCAGCCACATGCATTAACTTTCACCTTGCAACAAATAACCCTATAAAAATAATTATTAAAATCCCATTTTACAGATGAGGAGACTGAGACATAGATTAAATAACTTGCCTAAGGTTCCACAACCAGTACATAGCAGGGCCAGTATTCAAACCCAGGAATACTGTATAGAGAGGCCCTACTGTTAAGCACCAGGGTTTACTCTCTGGAAGGAGATTATATTTTTAGGACAAATTGCTATACAAACATTTTCCAAGGTTTCGAAACTATGTTAGCCAAAAGTTTTTGGGAATAATCTATAATAAGTTGAGTCAGAATTTAACATGTGTCATATCAAATAAAATAAAAAATGTGACTTTTAAAAATTGCTTATTATAACCTAAAGTTTCAGGCCAAGAACAATTAACATTTCCAATAGCTCCCCTTTTAATAGAACCAAAAGGAATGAAAAAGTCCTAAAAATGATATTTATTTATTCAGTATTATTTATTCAGTTTTCTTTTTGAGACGGAGTCTCGCTCTGTCACCCAGGCTGGAGTGCAGTGGCGCGACCTTGGCTCACTGCAACCTCTGCCTCCTGGGTTCTAGCAATTCTCCTGCCTCAGCTTCCAGAGTAGCTGGGATTACAGGCGCCTGGCACTACACCTGGCAAATTTTTATATTTTTCGTAGAGACGGGGTTTCACCATGTTGGCCAGGCTGGTCTCGAACTCCTGACCTCAAGTGATCTACACGCCTCAGCCTCCCAAAGTGTTGAGATTACAGGCGTGAGCCACCGTGCCTGGTCATAGTCAGTTTTAAGGGATGTCATGCTATGATCCCAAACCCAGGGGTCTCAAAACTAAGAAGCATTTTGACATTTTATTTTGTTTGACTAGGATTCACTCAAAAGAATGACCAAAGCTGTCATTCTTTTCAGTAGGTAGCTAAGAAATGCAGAGTCTGACATATTCACATGACTCTTGACAGGTCTAGTTCTCTGTGAAACAGCTACCCCAGGAAGGAGCTTCAGACAGGGCAAAGTAAAACCCCTGTGCGTTCTGCTGCTCTTGTTAGTACCAATCTTATCTAGTTCTGCTGAACTTGGCAAATTCCACTGAATGACACAATGTAGCATTTAGGATTAAGCTCCTTCCATTGGCTATTGAGATTACTCAGAATCATGAGTTGGCTCTTTGGAGTAACACTGAAATCATCCCAAATCAAAAACAATAAACTGTTACAATTTACTTGCACATCAGTTCCTGTACACACAATATCTGACTATACTCAACACACTGCAGGTCGCTTCTGTTTAGTTTCCTGCTTTGGCCTCACAGATCTTTCTTTAAACCTGCTCAAAGATTTAACAAGTTAATATTTCATAATTTCTGACAGAATGAAACGCAGTAAGATTTCACGCTCTAATTTTTTTTTTCATGAGGATGGAATTTTCTCAGTTGAATGAAGCAAAGTTATCTCTGGACAAGTGTTTTAAAAAGAAAACAAAACAAAAAAGAACTCCATAAGTTTCCCAACTTACAATACTTTAAGAATAAGAGTGGTAAGCTTTCCTCATTCACTACCACTCTGTGCTTCCTTTTATTAATCTTAAATTTGCCACTTTCAGGTTTTAAACTGCCTTCCAATTCTTAGAATTCCAGAATATGGTAAAAATGTACTTAATCTAATTACGTAAGATTTGTGCTTTTAAAATCAATAATCCTCTCTCTATACCTACATCTATTCAAAGAAGATTCTGGCTGGGCACCATGGCTCATGCCTGTAATCCCAGCACTTAGGGAGGCCGAGGTGGACGGATCACTTGAGGTTAGGAGTTTGAGACCAGCCTGGCCAGCACGGCGAAACCCTGTCTCTACTAAAAATACAAAAATTAGCCAGGCGTTGTGGTGCACACCTGTAATCCCAGCTTCTTGGGCAGCTGAGGCAGCAGAACCACCTGGAAACAGAGGTTGCAGTGAGCCGATGCCACTGCACTCCAGCCTGGTGACAGAGTGAGGTCCATCTCAAAAACAAAAAACAAAAACAAAGAAGATTCTGATCGTTCTAGCCTGTTCTCTCACATGGAGTTCTTTGTTTTCTGATCACTTAAGTTTTCCTTCTCTGGTTTACCTCAAGGTCACTCTGTCCTCTAAATATGGATATTAAGCTGTATACCATGATTCATGTACAGATAAAAATCACAGTTTTACAAGACAGGAAATGGAGGATATTTTCTGTTTGGATCATTTTTCAGTAACACTCAACATTGTGCTGGCATTTTTGGTCCCAGAAACACAATGCAAAAATGTCTTCAATAAATAATCTATATCGCTTCTCGGACTTTTGGCTAAGATCAAGTGAAGAAACAATCTACAGTCTGTTTTCTGATACAAAACTGAGACTCTTGAGGATGATCATCCGAAAAGCAGTTTCATGGTCTTTTTCCTAAGTGCACACTGCCTTAGGCAGATTCCCCATACCATAACTCAGCAGACATTTTTCAGTTCATTCTCATGGCTTTGTGAGCTCTCCTGTTATCAATCGAATTCATTTACTTAGTTCAGTAGAAAGAACAAGGGCCACAGACTCAGACCTGCTTTGAATCCTGGCTCTAACAGTGACTTGCTTTGTGATCTTAGATAAGTAATTAGTACAAAGCCTCACTTTTTCCACTGGTCCATGGGGATAATATCATTGCTTTCACTGGATTGAGAACATTAAAAGAGAGGTGGGAGTAGTAACTCATGTCTGTAATTCCAGCACTTTGGGAGGCCGACATGGGAGGATCATTTGAGGCCAGGAGTTTGAAAACGGCCTGGGCAATATAGCGAGACTCTGTCTATACAAAAAAAAAATAAAAAAGTAGCCAGGCGTGGCAGTGTGAGCCTGTAGTCCCAGCTACTAGGGAGACTGAGGCAGAAAGATTGCTTGAGCCGGGAATCGAAGTCTGTGGTGAGCTACAACTGCACCACTACACTCCAGCCTGGGTGACAAAGCAAGACCCTGAGACGCTGTCTCCAAAAAAAAAAAAAAAGAAACTGAGTACCTAGAACATATCTAGTTAATGTTAGTGACTTTACTTCCTCATCTTAGAAAAGCTTGAAAATTATATATAGTCCTTATAAACACATATAAAAACATTCTATAAGATCAAGTACAATAACAGTCCTTTAACTGCTTTTTTAAGTTTCCTAACCCTAAACTTTCTTCTTATTCAGGAAGAAAATCAATTTTCCCAAATCCTAAAGAAATTAATTTTTAAATTATTGTTTCTTCCATTAAAAAAAGGCAATGTCAAAGGTTTTTGAAAGTTTAAACTATACCTGCTGACAGCTCCCTTATTAAGTCCTACTCAACTGTTATCTCTCACAGGGGTTAGGCTGTCTTTCCAAACTCTTCCCTTTGTTGAAACTGACCGATCTGATTGTCAACATAAAGTAAGTACCTCCTCTTGATGATAGCCTATGCTCTTTTAGGGATTTGGTCCTGAGAAGGGATCAACACTGGCAAACCTACCAAAGGCCAAAAACCTGACATTTTCTTTCCTGAATTTCAAAAATTCCTTTGGAATTCCAGGGTAGATGCATTCAACTCTAGAATTCCATGTACATTCAATATTGAGTTAAGCCTGATTGCACATCTGCAACTCCATGAGCCAGGAAAGCACTTACCACAGTGCTCCACGGAGTTATTAAGTTCTTAAGGGAAAAACGTATGCAGAGAAGAGGAAGAAAGTCTAAGGTCAAATAAGCTTGGGAAACATTTGGTTTAATTAAACCCATTTCTTTTTTTCTTTTTTTTAGAGACAGAGAGTCTTGCTATGTTGCCCAGGCTGGACTCAAAAACTTGTGGGGCTCAAGGGATCCTCCCACCTCCACCTCCCAAGTAGCTGAGACTACAGGCAAGTGCCACCATGTCCAGCTTAAACTATAATTTCTTTACTGCAGGAACTGGTCAGAATTACTCATGCGACTACTAAGGTGAGAGTGTGGGGGAACCTGGGGCTGCATTACCTTCCATTTATTTGACCTTTGAACAAATGTTCTTGAAAACACATTTTGGAAAATGCTAATCTAAACTTAAAGCTTTCTGTATAAAAGGTGATATAGATTGAAGAAATCCTCCTCAGGAAAGACCACGGCAAAGAATTCGATTTCTCTCCTGGATTCCGTGGTACACTTTCTGCTATGGAGACTTTGTAAGCTTTCTTCTACATCAGCTATAGCTTACTGCATGTGGCCAAACTGACATACATAAGCCAGCAATTCAAATGCTCCAGTCAGATCATCTTATATACGACAGCCTGCTATTGTGAGCTTCTCTACAGTATAAAGCTCATCATCATAAAATAAATTTGTGTTGAATCCAAAGATTTTCGACATTTCAGAGAAAAGCAAAAATAGAGCATAGTAAAGTATAGAGGAATTCTGTGGCCTTTGGAAACAGAAAGAATACTGGGTGGATCTAAGACACACAAAATATTTCTAGTGCCCAGGACACAGAATAGTGAGAACCCGACAAAACAAGGTTTTTGTTGCGACTCATTCAAAGGTTCATTAAACATTTTTCAAGCACCCTAAATACAGGAGAAAAAGATAATGGTTCCCGTCCTCAAGAATTTGTACTCTAATGACACTTTTAGGTGATCTTACATATCAATAAAGTTAAAGGCTGGCTATGAGTATTCTAAATCATTAGCCACAGTTATATACTTACCATATTTTAAGTCTTATAACACAAACATTTGTAAGATTTTAATACTATATCCATCTATGTTTCCAACATTGTCAACTCCTAGTAAACAATATTTATCTTGAAGGAATCCTGCATAATTTAGATAAATTTAAAATTTATCTCAAAAGCCACTGCTTTGATTTCAGATGCAAAAAAAAGTCTTCATGTCTAGTTCTAATACAACCTTCATCTTCATTTATTCTGTGGTCTTTTTTTTTTTTTTTATTTTGTACCTCCACTGGTAGGTTTTTTTTTTTGTTTTTTTTTTTTAATTTAAGTTTTAGGGTACATGTGCACATTGTGCAGGTTAGTTACATATGTATACATGTGCCATGCTGGTGTGCTGCACCCACTAACTCGTCATCTAGCATTAGGTATATCTCCCAATGCTATCCTTCCCCCCTCCCCGCTCCCCACCACAGTCCCCAGAGTGTGATATTCCCCTTCCTGTGTCCATGTGATCTCATTGTTCAATTCCCACCTATGAGTGAGAATATGCGGTGTTTGGTTTTTTGTTCTTGCGATAGTTTACTGAGAATGATGGTTTCCAATTTCATCCATGTCCCTACAAAGGACATGAACTCATCATTTTTTATGGCTGCATAGTATTCCATGGTGTATATGTGCCACATTTTCTTAATCCAGTCTATCATTGTTGGACATTTGGGTTGGTTCCAAGTCTTTGCTATCGTGAATAATGCCGCAATAAACATACGTGTGCATGTGTCTTTATAGCAGCATGATTTATAGTCATTTGGGTATATACCCAGTAATGGGATGGCTGGGTCAAATGGTATTTCTAGTTCTAGATACCTGAGGAATCGCCACACTGACTTCCACAATGGTTGAACTAGTTTACAGTCCCACCAACAGTGTAAAAGTGTTCCTATTTCTCCACATCCTCTCCAGCACCTGTTGTTTCCTGACTTTTTAATGATTGCCATTCTAACTGGTGTGAGATGACATCTCATAGTGGTTTTGATTTGCATTTCTCTGATGGCCAGTGATGATGAGCATTTTTTCATGTGTTTTTTGGCTGCATAACTGTCTTCTTTTGAGAAGTGTCTGTTCATGTCCTTCGCCCACTTTTTGATGGGGTTGTTTGTTTTTTTCTTGTAAATTTGTTTGAGTTCATTGTAGATTCTGGATATTAGCCCTTTGTCAGATGAGTAGGTTGCGAAAATTTTCTCCCATGTTGTAGGTTGCCTGTTCACTCTGATGGTAGTTTCTTTTGCTGTGTAGAAGCTCTTTAGTTTAATTAGATCCCATTTGTCAATTTTGGCTTTGGTTGCCATTGCTTTTGGTGTTTTGGACATGAAGTCCTTGCCCACGCCTATGTCCTGAATGGTAATGCCTAGGTTTTCTTCTAGGGTTTTTATGGTTTTAGGTCTAACGTTTAAATCTTTAATCCATCTTGAATTGATTTTTGTATAAGGTGTAAGGAAGGGATCCAGTTTCAGCTTTCTACATATGGCTAGCCAGTTTTCCCAGCACCATTTATTAAATAGGGAATCCTTTCCCCATTGCTTGTTTTTCTCAGGTTTGTCAAAGATCAGATAGTTGTAGGTAAGCGGCGTTATTTCTGAGGGCTCTGTTCTGTTCCATTGATCTATATCTATGTTTTGGTACCAGTACCATGCTGTTTTGGTTACTGTAGCCTTGTGGTATAGTTTGAAGTCAGGTAGTGTGATGCCTCCAGCTTTGTTCTTTTGGCTTAGGATTGACTTGGCGATGCAGGCTCTTTTTTGGTTCCATATGAACTTTAAAGTAGTTTTTTCCAATTCTGTGAAGAAAGTCATTGGTAGCTTGATGGGGATGGCACTGAATCTGTAAATTATCTTGGGCAGTATGGCCATTTTCACGATATTGATTCTTCCTACCCATGAGCATGGAATGTTCTTCCATTTCTTTGTATCCTCTTTTATTTCCTTGAGCAGTGGTTTGTAGTTCTCCTTGAAGAGGTCCTTCACATCCCTTGTAAGTTGGATTCCTAGGTATTTTATTCTCTTTGAAGCAATTGTGAATGGGAGTTCACTCATGATTTGGCTGTTTGTCTCTTGTTGGTGTATAGGAATGCTTGTGATTTTTGTACATTGATTTTGTATCCTGAGACTTTGCTGAAGTTGCTTATCAGCTTAAGGAGATTTTGGGCTGAGAAAATGGGGTTTTCTAGATAAACAATCATGTCATCTGCAAACAGGGACAATTTGACTTCCTCTTTTCCTAATTGAATACCCTTTATTTCCTTCTCCTGCCTGATTGCCCTGGCCAGAACTTCCAACACTATGTTGAATAGGAGCGGTGAGAGAGGGCATCCCTGTCTTGTGCCAGTTTTCAAAGGGAATGCTTCCAGTTTTTGCCCATTCAGTATGATATTGGCTGTGGGTTTGTCATAGATAGCTCTTATTATTTTGAAATACGTCCCATCAATACCTAATTTATTGAGAGTTTTTAGCATGAAGGGTTGTTGAATTTTGTCAAAGGCTTTTTCTGCATCTATTGAGATAATCATGTGGTTTTTGTCTTTGGCTCTGTTTATATGCTGGATTACATTTATTGATTTGTGTATATTGAACCAGCCTTGCATCCCAGGGATGAAGCCCACTTGATCATGGTGGATAAGCTTTTTGATGTGCTGCTGGATTCGGTTTGCCAGTATTTTATTGAGGATTTTTGCATCAATGTTCATCAAGGATATTGGTCTAAAATTCTCTTTTTTGGTTGTGTCTCTGCCCGGCTTTGGTATCAGAATGATGCTGGCCTCATAAAATGAGTTACAGAGGATTCCCTCTTTTTCTATTGATTGGAATAGTTTCAGAAGGAATGGTACCAGTTCCTCCTTGTACCTCTGGTAGAATTCGGCTGTGAATCCATCTGGTCCTGGACTCTTCTTGGTTGGTAAACTATTGATTATTGCCACAATTTCAGCTCCTGTTATTGGTCTATTCAGAGATTCAACTTCTTCCTGGTTTAGTCTTGGGAGAGTGTATGTGTCGAGGAATGTATCCATTTCTTCCAGATTTTCTAGTTTATTTGCGTAGAGGTGTTTGTAGTATCATTTTTTGTCTATTTGATTCTTCTCTCTTTTTTTCTTTATTAGTCTTGCTAGCGGTCTATCAATTTTGTTGATCCTTTCAAAAAACCAGCTCCTGGATTCATTGATTTTTTGAAGGGTTTTTTGTGTCTCTATTTCCTTCAGTTCTGCTCTGATTTTAGTTATTTCTTGCCTTCTGCTAGCTTTTGAATGTGTTTGCTCTTGCTTTTCTAGTTCTTTTAATTGTGATGCTAGGGTGTCAATTTTGGATCTTTCCTGCTTTCTCTTGTGGGCATTTAGTGCTATAAATTTCCCTCTACACACTGCTTTGAATGCGTCCCAGAGATTCTGGTATGTTGTGTCTTTGTTCTCGTTGGTTTCAAAGAACATCTTTATTTCTGCCTTCATTTCGTTATGTACCCAGTAGTCATTCAGGAGCAGGTTGTTCAGTTTCCATGTAGTTGAGCGGCTTTGAGTGAGATTCTTAATCCTGAGTTCTAGTTTGATTGCACTGTGGTCTGAGAGATAGTTTGTTATAATTTCTGTTCTTTTACATTTGCTGAGGAGAGCTTTACTTCCAACTATGTGGTCAATTTTGGAATAGGTGTGGTGTGGTGCTGAAAAAAATGTATATTCTGTTGATTTGGGGTGGAGAGTTCTGTAGACGTCTATTAGGTCTGCTTGGTGCAGAGCTGAGTTCAATTCCTGGGTATCCTTGTTGACTTTCTGTCTTGTTGATCTGTCTAATATTGACAGTGGGGTGTTAAAGTCTCCCATTATTAATGTGTGGGAGTCTAAGTCTCTTTGTAGGTCACTCAGGACTTGCTTTATGAATCTGGGTGCTCCTGTATTGGGTGCATATATATTTAGGATAGTTAGCTCCTCTTGTTGAATTGATCCCTTTACCATTATGTAATGGCCTTCTTTGTCTCTTTTGATCTTTGTTGGTTTAAAGTCTGTTTTATCAGAGACTAGGATTGCAACCCCTGCCTTTTTTTGTTTTCCATTTGCTTGGTAGATCTTCCTCCATCCTTTTATTTTGAGCCTATGTGTGTCTCTGCACGTGAGATGGGTTTCCTGAATACAGCACACTGATGGGTCTTGACTCTTTATCCAATTTGCCAGTCTGTGTCTTTTAATTGCAGAATTTAGTCCACTTACATTTAAAGTTAATATTGTTATGTGTGAATTTGATCCTGTCATTATGATGTTAGCTGGTGATTTTGCTCGTTAGTTGATGCAGTTTCTTCCTAGTCTCGATGGTCTTTACATTTTGGCATGATTTTGCAGCAGCTGGTACCGGTTGTTCCTTTCCATGTTTAGCGCTTCCTTCAGGAGCTCTTTTAGGGCAGGCCTGGTGGTGACAAAATCGGTCAGCATTTGCTTGTCTGTAAAGTATTTTATTTCTCCTTCACTTATGAAGCTTAGTTTGGCTGGATATGAAATTCTGGGTTGAAAATTCTTTTCTTTAAGAATGTTGAATATTGGCCCCCACTCTCTTCTGGCTTGTAGGGTTTCTGCCAAGAGATCCGCTGTTAGTCTGATGGGCTTCCCTTTGAGGGTAACCCGACCTTTCTCTCTGGCTGCCCTTAACATTTTTTCCTTCATTTCAACTTTGGTGAATCTGACAATTATGTGTCTTGGAGTTGCTCTTCTCGAGGAGTATCTTTGTGGCGTTCTCTGTATTTCCTGAATCTGAACGTTGGCCTGCCTTGCTAGATTGGGGAAGTTCTCCTGGATAATATCCTGCAGAGTGTTTTCCAACTTGGTTCCATTCTCCGCATCACTTTCAGGTACACCAATCAGACGTAGATTTGGTCTTTTCACATAGTCCCATATTTCTTGGAGGCTTTGCTCATTTCTTTTTATTCTTTTTTCTCTAAACTTCCCTTCTTGCTTCATTTCATTCATTTCATCTTCCATTGCTGATACCCTTTCTTCCAGTTGATCGCATCGGCTCCTGAGGCTTCTGCATTCTTCACGTAGTTCTCGAGCCTTGGTTTTCAGCTCCATCAGCTCCTTTAAGCACTTCTCTGTATTGGTTATTCTAGTTATACATTCTTCTAAATTTTTTTCAGTTTTCAACTTCTTTGCCTTTGGTTTGAATGTCCTCCCGTAGCTCACTCTAATTTGATCGTCTGAAGCCTTCTTCTCTCAGCTCGTCAAAATCATTCTCCATCCAGCTTTGTTCCGTTGCTGGTGAGGAACTGCGTTCCTTTGGAGGAGGAGAGGCGCTCTGTGTTTTAGAGTTTCCAGTTTTTCTGTTCTGTTTTTTCCCCATCTTTGTGGTTTTATCTACTTTTGGTCTTTGATGATGGTGATGTACAGATGGGTTTTCGGTGTGGATGTCCTTTCTGTTTGTTAGTTTTCCTTCTAACAGACAGGACCCTCAGCTGCAGGTCTGTTGGAATACCCTGCCGTGTGAGGTGTCAGTGTGCCCCTGCTGGGGGGTGCCTCCCAGTTAGGCTGCTCGGGGGTCAGGGGTCAGGGACCCACTTGAGGAGGCAGTCTGCCCGTTCTCAGATCTCCAGCTGCGTGCTGGGAGAACCACTGCTCTCTTCAAAGCTGTCAGACAGGGACATTTAAGTCTGCAGAGGTTACTGCTGTCTTTTTGTTTGTCTGTGCCCTGCCCCCAGAGGTGGAGCCTACAGAGGCAGGCAGGCCTCCTTGAGCTGTGGTGGGCTCCACCCAGTTCGAGCTTCCCGGCTGCTCTGTTTACCTAAGCAAGCCTGGGCAATGGCGGGCGCCCCTCCCCCAGCCTCGCTGCCGCCTTGCAGTTTGATCTCAGACTGCTGTGCTAGCAATCAGCGAGATTCCGTGGGCATAGGACCCTCCGAGCCAGGTGTGGGATATAGTCTCGTGGTGCGCCGTTTTTTAAGCCGGTCTGAAAAGCACAATATTCGGGTGGGAGTGACCCGATTTTCCAGGTGCGTCCGTCACCCCTTTCTTTGACTCGGAAAGGGAACTCCCTGACCCCTTGCGCTTCCCAGGTGAGGCAATGCCTCGCCCTGCTTCGGCTCGCGCACGGTGCGCGCACCCACTGGCCTGCGCCCACTGTCTGGCACTCCCTAGTGAGATGAACCCGGTACCTCAGATGGAAATGCAGAAATCACCCGTCTTCTGCGTCGCTCATGCTGGGAGCTGTAGACCGGAGCTGTTCCTATTCAGCCATCTTGGCTCCTCCCTATTCTGTGGTCTTAAAGCATCTATCTCAGTCTTTTTCTACTTATACACTCAAGAAACTAGCCTGGAGTATTGGCATGATTTATTATGGACAAGAATTTTCCAATTCGTTTAGAGTGACAGGGCCCAAAATCCTTAGTTGTAAAGGAGTGCGACAAGAACTATATCATCCTAAATAAATTCCAAAATCAGAAACTCAATAATAGCTTCAAACTATTCCTAAAAGTCTTCACATTTATTTTAGCAAAATATACTTAGAGAATTTACATCTTTCTTAATTGTTTACTGTAAATCAGAATCCCCCCGACACACCTGAGAGCTATGGTCCCTGCTGGTGTGCATTTCCACATCAAACATGATCTGCCCATCTTCTTGTGGCGAAGGGCTAGAAGAGAAGGAATTCAGCTATTAGTTTTAATTCTCACTTTGTCAAATGACTTAGTCTCTACTAGAAATTAGAAAATTAAAAGTTACAGCAGTATGGCTTTGAAAAAGCAAATCAGAGAATATATCATAACCCTATACAAGAAAAATTTATGTGATATTAAAAGGCTAAATGAAATTGAGCATTCTTACTCCCAAAATGTTCTGCACTTTTTCAGTAGTAATGAAATCCTTCAAAATGATAAATTTGCAAAGGAAATACTATCTACAGACACAAACTGTCACATTCTCTTATATTTACTCTTTTGTCCACTAAAGGTAAAATAATCTTCAAATTCAGGAACTTCAGAGTTCTTTTTCTCAAAGTTCCCTCATCATTAAATAATTCACCAGTAGTTCTCAAAGTGCATAAGGTAGTTCTCAAAGACGCTTTCAGAGGGTCTTTGAGGTTACAGTTCCTTTCTCAATACTAGTAGGATTTATTTGCCTTTTTCATTCTCATTCTCCCATGTGTATAGTGGAATTTTCCAAAGGCTACATGATGTGTGATAGCACAACAGTTAGAATGCAAACACAGATGAGAACCAGCTGTCTTCTATTAAGCTTGGTATTAGAGATTTGTAAATGTGTAAAACAATGCCACTATTCTTATTAACTTGGAGGGTTTATAGAAAATAGGTATTTTCACTAAAAAATGCTACTTATGTTAAAATGTATTATTTTTGAATGAATATATATTTTCTCAGTTTTAATTTCTAATATAGTAAATATCAAAATATATAAACCCACAAACAAGTTTTTTGGGGTCCCTAATGATTTTTAAGAATGTAAAGGTATGTAATGACCAAAAACTTTGAGAACCACTATTTTACTTATTTCAGAAATATTTGCTTTGAGATATTTCAGAGTGAATTATATAACTTATATATTAATATAAAACCTTTATGATTGCACAAAATACATTCTTAGAACTGTAAAAATTTACAAATAAGTTTTTAGACAAAAACAACATGATCACAAACTGCACTTGATACAAGAGATGAACAGAATGTGCTAAGTTAATTTCTTAGCTTTATTAATGATTTCTTGTATAAAAACTGAAAGTCACTGGGGATCCTTCACTACATACACAAACCCTCCCCCAAAATCTAAAATAGAAATAAAAAATATTTGGGGCTTAACTTGCTGAAAAGAATAGATATTAACTATTAAAGTTATCAAGAGTATGTATATAATGTTAATTAATGTATAGAGACGTTGGTGAGACTGACTCAGAAATAAGATCGTCAGAAATTTATCAGACAGATTAGGCCTAGGAGTCTTTTAGACTAGTATAATTGACATAGGAGATTTTTAAATGGGGACAGGAAAACAGAAAAGCTGGTTCTGTATCAAACCAACGTCATATATATTTAGGAAATTTTTGTCTTGAACTAGCACAGGAGTCAACCCGAACTGGGCACTCCTACTGGCCTCAGTTTACTATCTTTGTGCTCATAACTGTTGGGTTCACAGCTACACATCAAGTTAAGGGTCAGCCTTACATAGCCGTGACCAGGTCAAGGCAGTCAGGGTGACAAAGTCAAGAATCCTATGGAAGCATTGCTCTGCTTCTATATGCTTCTTCACACTGGTACCAACCTCTTCTCTAAACTGTTTACTCCTCCTAACAATTTGGAATGCATTAGAGCTTCACCCATGGCACATATTAGAATCGGCTGGGGAGCTTTTAAAATATTGTGACGTCTCTACCCTGCCCCTGTCAACCAAAATGAGAAGTTCTTGAGATGCAGTCCATGTGCTGCCATTTTTAAAAGCTTCTGGGTGAATCTAGTGTGCCGTCAAGGTGAAAACCCCTGTGACAGGGTGAAAGGCAAAGCAGAACACACTGGGGTTCCCAGCTAACAACCCCTGCGGCAACACAAATATTTCTATGGAATAATTTTTAAGTTGAAAATATACATAAATCAGCTCTAGGACTGATACCCAACAACCCTAAAACATTTCCCCCTACAAGAAACACTTTCCAATTACTTTTCACATATAGAGACGCATGGCAATTCAGATGATGTGAGTTTTGAAGACACTCCTCAATGGTAAAGCGTGTTAGTAGGCTATCCCAGAAGACTCGAGTTCTAGCCATTCTCTGAAAGATGACCACTAATCTAGGGCCTGGAGAGACATAAGATGAGGGGTACGAAAGTGTTCAAAAGCATTTGCCATGCCTCCTCATGGCAACCTAAACTTAAACATGATCATAGGAGGGTGAAGGCATATTCAGTCACACGTAAAACTGCACCATAAATGAAGTAAGATGAACAGACAGGTAAGCAGGTGACTGTTCTCTGCTCATTGACAGCACCATGTGAACAACAGGCTCATGGACACCATGGTATCAATGATCAAGGCCCACACACCTGAACGCAGAGTGAAAGCCTTGTTGACAGGCCATAACAAGCAGAAAACTTGAGAAACCCATCAGCAAGTTCCATAATATAAATATAAATCTTCATTCGGAAAGACAGACTAATGCTGTAGCTACTGGAATCAAGGGCAAGCTGTTCAGAAGAGAGCCATCTGCTCTGGTTCCGCTTATGACAAGAGCCATCCCAGGCTCTAAGAAGCACAGGGACAAGTCAGGGATGACACGGGGGTGGCGGGGGTGCACAGTGTGCCACAGAGCCAACAAACCAGTCCCCCGCTGCCTTGGCAACATTAGTGGATCATAAGCCACTCAGGAAGTTGGACATGATTTAACTCATTTCTCCTTTTTTTCACTTCTTCTGATAAGTAATAATATGTGCAATATACACAATTTTTACAAAATACAAAAATGTTAAGAAGAAACATATCCATACTGCATTCCTAAAAATAGTCACTGTTTACATTTCCTTAATCTGCTTCCCGTGCATTTGCATTTTCTAAATGGTTAACATCAGTTAACAACCACCCAGAAGGTCATCCAGTGCCCCATAATGCTAACAGTGTAGCTGTCACTGAAACAAGAATTTCTTAAATGTCATTTAATATCTAGCCCTTCTGAAAAAAAAAAAAAAAAACAGAAAAGTTTATACTAAAAAATAATGACCTGGTTTCATTCCACACACATATCTCGTTGTATTCTTACTCTTTCACCATAAGCAGTCCTTAATCCATGTAATTAGTTTCTTCAGCTCAAATATAGAAAAATGAGGTCTGAAACAAAACATCCCCTGAGAAAGCAGAGGAGACTTCAAAACTATCTTTACAGACCTTGGTTGGTGCTTCCAACTGTGCAAATATTGCTATAACGTGAAGCAACCTGCAGTTCCTATGAATCAAACATTTACTGAGTGTCTACTACGTGCCAGCACCATTACTGTGAAGGTAATAAAAATTAAACATGGCCCCTGCCCTTTGCAACGTCAACATCTAGAAGGGAAGACACATATATACAGAGGTAACTAATTCAAGAACAGTCTGTGATCTGTAACACAGGGACACAAAGGAAAATGGGGGAAAGTCAGATTAATTCTATAAATTAGCATTTATGCCACTGAATTTTAAACTGATAAACTGCTAGAAACAATATAATCTGGGTAAGAAAAATGACAATCTGGGGAAAAACAGTGGGCACTGAAGCACCTGTCAATTAGCTGTCTCATATAAACACAATATATATCTGTGCAATATATATTATACTACAATATATCAGGAGGCATATTTTGCTAAGTGAAGATTTAAGCAAACAGATTTTTCCTAGAGTGAATGAGCCCTGTAACCCACCTGTTTCCTGAATTCCACCAAAACATGGGTCTCACTTACCTGTCACAGTGAGAACTGCCTCTGGAACTACTCTGTCCTGATTCATGTTGTGCATCCAAAAGAATCTTCTCCATGTCTCCATTGTGGATGGAGGATGAGGATGGTACGTGTTCCAGCCCCCCATTTTTCCCATTGCCATTATCATTGCCATTGCTGCTGTTCATGGGTAGCTCCACCCAGGAACCTGTTGGACAAGTCAGATAAGTTAACCACAGCAGAACTGAAATCTGTCATGTGCACACAGATGTGAACATGGTGAATCCAGATAAGAATTCTGACTCTCCTCAAACCAAATGTAAAAGTATTCTGAAGAAAATAAATAAGAAGTAATAAAAGTCTAAAGATCTATATAGTTCTGTTCCTGAAATAGCTCATGCCATCAACTGAGAAACAGCTCAAACTCTAAAACATCTCAGAAAACGTGTTTTTCAGTCAATTTCTCTCTGGGTAAAGCTTGGTTTATAATAACACTCTACTGAAAACTCAGGTTGCTTTTCAAAAAAAAATTGCTACTTTTAGGCTATTTACCTTTAACATTTTAGTTGGTGTATATATACACACACACTTTCTTCATAGTCTACCTAAGCTGCTCAGCTGTATCTGCTCCAGAAATGAAATAAATATATCACCTACAAATTTCATAAAAGGTCATCTAAGTAAGTTAGCAACTATATCCTACTTAGTGCAAACAACTGAGAAACTCCTAGAGAGGGAACCTAAATCCAATAGCAAAAATTTCAATTTGTGCACAAATCAGGAGCATAAAATTAATGCAGCTGGTTAACTAAATCAGGTAATAATGCTAAAAATTCAGAAAAAAGCTTTATCTCTATCTCACTGATTAGTTTCTTCATTTCCTTTGTATCTCAGGCTTTCTAGTCCTTCTCCTTTTTTATACACTAAACATACCTTGTGAACTTGTCTTTTTTCTTTTCTCTCCCACGGGTTTCTACTTTCTAGGGTTTTCATTAAACCCTGTTGATTTGGGAGCAGAAACAACTGCACATCAGCTACAGGCAAACACGAAAAGTTTTCTTGGACAAAAAGTTGAAGGGGTGGAGCCACAGAAAAAGGGGATGTGCCACTGGTAATTCTGCATACATCTTGAAAATATTTATTGGTCTGATGAGTTTGCTAAACGTATTAAGGTGCTTTAATTTTAACAAGAGTTGAGGCCAGGTACAGTGGCTCACACATGTAATCCCAGCACTTTGGGAGGCTGAGGCACCAGGATTGCTTGAATCCAGGAGTTTGACACCAGCCTGGGGAACATGGCAAGACCCTGTCTCTACAAAAGAATAGTAAGTAAGTAAGTAAATAAATTGTTAACAGTAGCCAATAAACTTAACTTCACAGCAAAAAGAGATAGTGGTATATTTTGTTCATAATTTCCATTTCTTACAATAAATTTTGTTTTAGAAAATGTACCCAAGCAGCTTGGTGTGGCCATCCCTCTAAACTCCCAGCAGAAGTGTTAGAGAGTTCCAGGGATGAACAAGGAGTTCCATCAGTAAGTTGAAGTAAAATCATCAAAACTGGCTCAAACTCTAAAATGCACTCTAAATGTGGCGATGGCTACACCAGTTCCAGAGTGAACTGAACATCACCCTCACAAGAAGGAAAGCTCCAAGGCAGACCTAGCTGGGAATCTGACCCCATCACTTCCTGTCTACCTGTGTGACCTGAGCTTCAGCTTCCTCATTTGTAAACAGAGATAATAATAACACCGGGGTGCTGTGACGATTTAGTAGTATCAAGTGCTGGTAAATAGAAGATGCTCAGTTATACACTAGAATTTTCTTTTATAAATACTTAGAACCCTTTCCTTTCCATTTGAGGCAGCCCCAGTGGCTACCACCATCCCATAGTCACCACCAATTCCTTAGGACTCTGCTGCCAAACGACACAGTTGTACAACATCTCCATGGCCTCATTCTATACACACATAAAATGGACACAGGCTAGAGAACTCAAAATGGATTAACAAATACAACTAGCAAAGCTAAGAGAGATCTAACATTGAAGATAATTTATCTCGAGTGCCTCTGGAGTGTATAAGAAATACGCCAAAAGCATCCCTAAATTTAGAGCTCTGCAACATATTTCAACTGGAGAGAAAGGGGGTGGGGGAGAGAATATGTATATAAAAACAGTTTTTTTTTCTGACTCTCACTGTTTCTAGGATTTTCAAACTTATTTTTAAACCAATGGGACCAGTTCTTCTTGTATAGAAGCCTAATGTGTACAATAGTAACAAACCAAAACCCAGAGCTGCTCTGACAGAAGCAGAGGTAAGGAACCAGGAGTTCCAGATAGGTCTCTGTGGAAGTCAGTCTTCCCTAAAATACAATTAATATTCACTTGAAGTAGGCAATCGAAGAGAAAAAAGGGTGTAACAAACAATATCAGGTTTTCTGGTCCTTACTTTTGTTTTTCTTTTGAGACAGTCTTGCATTGTCACCCAGGCTGTAGTACAGTGGCACAATCACAGCTCACTGCGGCCTTGATTCCTGGGCCCAAGCAATCCTCCCACCTCAGCCTCCCAAGAAGCTGGGACTACAGGGCACATGCCACCATGCCCGACTTATTTATTTATTTATTTATTTATTTATTTATTTAGTAGAGACAGGGTCTCCCTACATTGCCCAGGTTGGTCTCAAACTCCTGGGCTTCAGCAATCCTCCCACCTCAGCCTCCCAAAGTGCTGGGCTTACAGGTATGAGCCACTGCTCCCAACCTGGTTTTTACTTTTTTGAAGGACTTTCAAATCAATGTCTGGATCCTATTTTCTTCATTAAAAACACATAAGCAATCATAATCCAATATATACTTTTGGAACCTGAAAGAGACATACCTAGAAAAGCTTAGTAAAAGTGATCTCTGCTGTGGCCTCCACACCCTGAATCATAACTGAAAGCATTTCTACTTAAGGCGGACAATTTGTACTTGGGATACACTGGTATAGTGTGGTCAGGGGCTGAGACTGAAGCCAGGCTCCCACTCTCAGTTATAGCTGTTACCCTCGCACAGGGTACTTAACCTCTTTGTGCCTCAGTTTTCTCATCTATAAAATAGAGATAATAACTGTATCTACCTCGAAGACTTTGTTAGGAGGATTAAATGAATATAGCACGCAGAACAATAAGAAAGGTCCCTAAGAAAGTTTTAGCTACTACAATTATATTCTATATCATAGAAAAACCATTCCTTACTGGAAAAATGTGTTCCTAGAAAACGTAAACATCAGTACATAAAATTAAAAATTAACATCTCTCCCAACCTCCCGTTCCTACTCCCAAAGGAGCCACTTTTGACAGTTTCACATGGAGACTTGCAGAGTTTTTGTCAATGAAATATAGGTCTGTTTTTGCTTTTGTTTTTATAAAGAAATGGAACTGTACCATACACACATACTGACATATTCTGTAAGTCGTTTTTCAGATGTCTTCCCTATCAATATATACTGACATTCATTCTTTTGAACAACTGCATTGCATCTCATCTTTTATAAAGATATACCATACTTTAACCATTATCTAAATGGCAATGGTTAACTACTACTGAGATGGTTGTTTCTAATACTTTGTTATTACAATTAGGGCTTCAGTGAACATTCTGGAGAATAATTTGACAATAGGTATTAACAGCCTTAAAAGTGTAGATTTCCTTTAATTAATTAAGGGTAATTCTCTTTCAAAAATATCATCTATGGAAATACATAGTGGTACAGAGAAAGTTATGTACACAGGCATTAAGAGGCTACATATTAATCTTTTGAGTAACACATAAAAAAGCAAATGTGTCTTCCTCAATAGATGAACAACACGTCTGTTTCCCATCACCCGATTTGTTCCTGATTTACAGCCTCAGAATTTCTTAGTGTTCTAACTCTACCAATCCTCACAAAGTCCCTTTTTACTTGGAAAGGAAACAAGGCTAGATAAGAGGTTTGTGCTGTCCAAGCAACACAAAGTAGAAAACAACCACAGAGTGAATTCTCCTCCTAATGATCAAGCTTGAAAACTAAAAGCTGGAAGCTTTCTCCATTATCTAAAAGACTTTACAAACTAAGAGCTGTTCCTTATGCCAATTTGTACATAACATACAATGACATGAGATATTTTCTGGTTTGGGTTTTTGGGAATGACTAAGAGATTCAGAGAAACTTCTGTGAATGCTTCTCCGTTCTCTAACATAATAGACTGTGAAGGGTGGTCCAATAATTGTGATTATACTCATTGCCGTATGTTGTATAATCTTTACAGTTTTATAATCACTAGTTCAATCCTCTTGCAAGAAGAAGAAGAGAGGAGCTTTGGGACAAGGGGAGGAGAGAATGAAGAGTATTTCTCCTCATCTTTCCCCCTAACTTTTCAAGGCCCACATGTAACTCTTTTGAAATTTCATTATATTTACATTCTTTCCTCAAAGCTTTTCATTCATTATTGAAAGGAATCCAGACCAGGCCAACCTGATGCTGAAATCCAGACCAGGCCAACAAGAGTTACTGGCATTCTTCTTAAATAAAAAAATAAATAAATAAATTTTTGAAAAGTTGGTCTTTTTGCAGCAGTATGTATTTACATACAAGTTACGTAGGTATTCAAAACATTATTATGAGGCAGTGACAATCCATGAAGGCCTTAAGAGCACTCTTCATAACAAGAAAGCAAGGACATTGTGCTTGAAGATGTTTCTATTTAAAAAAAAGAGTTTGTGACCAGCTTGGGCAACAAAGCAAAACTCCATCTCTACAAAAAATAAGTTAGCCGGTGACCAGCCTGGGTGACAAAGTGAAACTCGAACTCTACAAGAAATAAAATAATTAGCTGGATGTGGGGGTGCACACCTGCAGTCCTAGCTACTTGGGAGGCTGAGGCAGGAGGATCACTTGAGCCCAGGAGGTCTAAGCTGCCATGAGCTATGACTGTACCACTGCACTCCAGTTTGGGTGACAAAGCAAGACCCTGTCTCAACAAAACAAAAAACAAAAAAGAACAAGAAAATTTGAAAAGAAAAAAAAGGCTATACTTCTCAACAACAAGAATTATACTACGATTTACACTACTACTTTGATTTTCCTTATTCGGCCCTATTGAATCTTATTCAAACATTCTTAAGGAAGTTGATAGTTTTCTTAACAATAAAACAAACTGGACAACATCCTTTTGACTTGGAAGGAGTTTGGGTATTTGCCCTGTAATTTTTAATGAAAGTGAACAGTCTCTCCACAGCGGTAAAGTTAAAAAAAAATCACAAAAATACTTCACTATTCAAATACTTCAGTAATTTGCTATTGAAACCCTGCTTTGACCCCTGAACCAAAGATAAAATCCCAAACGCAAGATAATCTGTACATTTCTTCTCCTGTTTTTCAGTTGTGCAACTTTACCCAACAAAGTCCTTCGACTTATCAGCAATTTGGATAGTACTAGATGCCTGAATAAGTTGTTTTGCCCATTGCCCAAAAATCACTTCAAGGAATTCAATGAGGCTTCTTGTTTTGTTCAGTACAGTGTTGTGTAATGAGCTAAAAAAACGAACAGAGTGAGAGGCAAGAAGGGAGTAATTAAATATGGCAATATCTAAAAGCTTTTCAGAAAGCTCACCCTATCCCACACAAAATACTTTCTATCTAGCAGATGTCCCAAAGCAACATTTTGATGTCCCATGCAGGCTGAGTGTACTTCCACCTCTGTAAGAGCTGATGTCAGCCAAGCAGGAACCGACTGGCCAAAGACATCAAACTCCTCATAGGTCTGTCAGACACCAAGATAAACAATGACATATGGCTCAGCCCCCGCCCTCGCCCCTTTTTTTTTTTGAGACAGAGTCTTGCTCTGTCACCCAGGCTGGAGTGCAGTGGCGTGATCTCGGCTCACTGCAACCTCTGCCTCCCGGATTCAAGCGATTCTCCTGCCTCAGCCGCCTGAATAGCTGGGATTACAGGCGCCCAACACCAAGCCAGGCTAATTTTTGTATTTTCAGTAGAGAGGGGGTTGTTCTCTCACCATGTTGGCCAGGCTGGTCTCGAACTCCTGACCTCAAGTGATCCACTCGCTTTGGCCTCCCAAAGTGCTAGGATGACAGGTGTGAGCCATCGTGCCCTGCCTGGCTCAGCCCTTTTTGTTGTTGTTGTTAAAGGGTCAAAGGAAGATGAAAATCCCTTTGCTTTCAGTGAAATCACGTACACCTACCAAGTATCTTCACTCATAAGAAAACTGTACAATTAAGAAACAATACTAAAAAGAAACAGAAAGGTTGGCCACCTTTGTCAATTAGGTAGAATAACACACTGACAAAATAAGACACACACACCAGCAGGAGGTTCTGCACCACTGAAAAGAAGCCGGTGCGATGGCTCAAGCCTGTAATCCCAGCACTTTGGGAGGCCCAGGCGGGCGGATGACGTGAGGTCAGGAGTTTGAGACCAGCCTGGCCAACATGGTGAGAGACCAACAACCCCCTCTCTACTGAAAATACAAAAATTAGCCTAGCTTGGTGTCGGGCGCCTGTAATCCCAGCTACATGGCGAAACTTCGTCTCTACTAAAAATACAAAAATTAGCTGGGCGGGTGGCAGGCACCTGTAGTCCCAGCTACTCGGGAGGCTGAGGCAGAAGAATCGCTTGAACCTGGGAGGCGGAGGTTGTAGACAGAGCGAGACTCTACCTCAAAAAAAAAAAAAAAAAAAAAAAAATGTCCTCAAAAGAGCAGTAGACAGGCTGAACATGAGAACCTCTGCTTTGCTCCCAGCCGGTTGTGAACTTGGACAAGGCCATTTACTCTAGACCTGTTTCTCTACAGGCAAACAACAGGAGGCAGTTAGCTAGCTCTGAAGTTTCTTCCCATTCTAAAATCTAAGACAGTATGCTAAACATGGGCAAATAACTTAAAATTGCATAGGAATATGTGATACAAGTAACGTTTAAAGACTCATACATTCATCCTAATTTACTGTGGGAAATAATATAACCATCTTACATTCTGGAATATATGACACTTAAAGGTTTTGGGAATTAACCCATCAAAACCTGGAGCAGCAGCATCCATCTTAAAATCTCCAAACTCCATCGCTACCTGGTGAGGGCTGAAACTCTCTTCCCTAAAATAATCTTCAGGCCACACTGGAAGCACCTCCCTCTTACGAAAGATACTGCATGACCTTTAAGCATCCAAGTGGTTTTGAAAAGACTTCATCTGGCCATATGCTCACTGCTCCCATTACCTCTTTCCCAAGAGTTGAATTAAAGAAAGGTTAGGCAAGAACCCTTCCAAGAAGGCTCCCGGTTCTCACGACTAGGAACAATCTGAGGACAAGATGTCTGGGCAGCGGAATGTTATGAAAAGACCCTGGCCTGGGTTGTCTATCAGCCTCGTCCGTTAACTTTCAACTGCCCGAGTGCGTTTTTAATTCCGTTTCTTTAAATGCATGGCCCCAGACTCCCTGACGTGTGCAATCTTGGGTGGTTCAGGAGGCTGCTCTCAGCTTTACTGGGCGCACAACCCATCGCTTTAAAAAAAAAAAAATCACTTGGGCAACTTCGAGAAATCTAATAAAAAAATAAAAAAGGAAAAAGGAGAAGCAAGGCACAGCCTCTCACCCCACACGTGACTGAAGCCAACCCTAGACGAGCAAATGAATTTTCCTGACAAACGTGTGGCAACAAAGGAATGCTCGCTGGGGGGCTCCCGCGCCCGCCAGACGCTGCCCGCCCGCGAGCCCCGCACACCTGATCCCCGACACGTCCCGCGGCAGCCGCCCGCCCCGCCCCGCTCCCGCGCGTCCATCCCCCGGCGTCCCCGCCGCACGTCCCCATCCCGGCCCACGTCCCCTCCGCGGCCCGCTCCGCCCACCCGGCCTCCCCGCCCCCCAGGCCCGCCCCCGCCCCGCCCCGCCCGGCTCCGCTGCTGGGGACCACCCCCCGCACCAGGGGGATCCGCGCTACCCGCGCCGCTCCCGGACCGCGAGCCCAAACGGCCCCGGGCCCAAGACCCCAGGAGGCAACAGAGAGGCCCGGAGCAAGGCAGGCGCCCCTCCTCTTGACAGGGGACGGGAGCTGTCAGTCACCTGGACATCCCATGCCTGAGCCAATGAGCTGCCTTCTCCTCCCGCCTCCCGCGCCGCGCCGGTGGCGGCGGCCGGGGCTGCTCCTCCTCCCCCATCCCCTTCACAGAGCCTCGGCCCCGCACTCACTGTTGAGGCCGGCCGGCGGGGGCAGAGACTGCTCATTTTCCTCGCAGTTGTTGTTGTTGTTGTGCAGGGGCGGCGGCGGCTCGACTAGGTGGGACGACATTGTCGGACAGCTGGCAGGACTGCGGCAGCAGCAGGACCGTCTCCGGCACTCAGGCAGCAACACAACAAGCCGAGTCCGCCGCCCCCTTTTCTGCGCCTGCGCCGTCCCTCCCCTGCCCCTGACGTCAGGGCCCGCCCAGGCCACGTGATGACAACACAACAAGCGACCGGACGGGGCAGGGGCGCTCCCCTGCGGGCCCCGGACGTGGAGACGCTCGAGTCAGGCTGACGCGCGCGCCGGGAACGAACTCTTGCGTGTGACTTGGGATGACCGGATGGGATGAGTGATGCCAGTGGCAGTGGGAGAGAGGATGAGGAGAAACGGAATGAGGAAGTGCGCTCCTGTGTTCGCGCCCGTGCCTCCTCTCACACAGGCTCCACAGTGCTTCACCCAGCCCTGCGCACGCATCTGTTTTCTACCTCTTAGGACTCACTTCTGCAATAGGTGTCTTGGGGACACAAAGGAATCCCCAAACCCAGGTGCCTCCACGTGTAAACTCCAAATAAAGCTGCTGAAACATCAACACTCCATACGGGAAACAAGGGAAGGCCGCCCCCAAATTTAATTGTTACAGAATTTTTAAAATGTCGATTACAAACACACCATCATTCTGAAAAAAAGAGAAAGAAGAAAGGGGAAGAAAGAAAAAAGAAAAATTCAGGAAAACAGAGAGAAGAAAGTACTCACCCAAATCCCATCGACTAATCGATTTCTGGGACATGACGTGGGAAGCCGTTTATCCTGTACGTGGATGACATTAAACTATGTTCCTGAGCACACCTCCTACTTCACATCTCCATGTCTTCGTCCAGTCTCCTTGGTCTGATTTATGAGTGACATATGTTTCTCGCAGTCTCTAACTTGTCTTTTAATTTGTTTTTTTCACTCTGTAGAAGCTTAAGGTTTTCATGTAATCAGATTTATCATTCTTACATGGCTTGGGGAGACAGTCACACCAAGATTACTAATCTATAATTCCCTTATAACTTTTTCTAATTTTCTTATAGGCTTAACTTTACATTTAGAGCTCTAATCCATCTGAAATTTATTTTCCATATGCTGTAAATTATTTAACTTCAATTCTTCCCAATTTTGTAGCCCATTGACCTAATAATATTAATTTTAAGCCATCCTTTCTACACTGATTTGAAATTGCACCTTTGTCACTCTCTGAATGACCACAAAAATGTGAGTCTGTTTCAGGGCTATCTGCAATACCTCTGTTAGATAACTATTAAAGTTTCTCTTCCTTTGTCTTTTTCAGATGTTAATGGCTAGTTACTCTTCAGATGAACTTAAAAATGGACTTGTCCAAGATTGACCTTGTGTTGGTAATTATTGAAGCTATGTAATACATTAAAGTATTCCTCTAATTTTTTAATATATTTGAAAAAGTCCATGCTAAAAGGTTTTTTTTAAGGATTGATTTGTCAAATCCCTTTGCAAATTCTTTTAAGATTTTGGTCAGAAATGAACTCTATTAATAGATTGAGTGCTGTTTCCGGTCATACCCGGAAGCAGGAGTTCAAGCCGCAGCTGGTAGGGATTGGCGGCTGCTGGCCATCTGAGTTTTATTAAAACTGCTCGCCGCGAAGCCAGTCTTCAGCCAGAATGTCCAGCAGAAACAACAACAAGCTGCCCAGCAACCTGACTGCAGTTACAGAATCTGATGAAGCGAGACCCACCACCCTCCATCTAGGAGTTTCTACAGCAGTATAATCACTACACATCCAATGTGGAGATTTTCAAATTGCAACCATATAAACCCGGTAAAGAACTAGCAGAGCTGGTGGTGTTTATGGCACAGAACGTCCTAAATATGTGCATCTGAATAATAGGAGAGAAAGAGAGAAACTTCAGAAGAGCCTTTGCTTTGTTATAGATTAGTTACTGCTACCCAGGGTATCTAAGTAATTTTCCTCAAGTGGTGAAAGATCTTCTGTCCTGTAATCATACTGTATTGGATCCAGATCTTCGAATGACATTTTGCAAAGCTTTGATCTTGCTGAGAAATAAGAATCTCATCAATCCATCAAGCCTGCTAGAACTCTTCTTTGAACTTCTCTGTTGCCATGATAAGCTTCTGCAAAAGACTTCATACACATATATCGTGACTGATATCAAGAATATAAATGCAAAACACAAGAATAAAGTGGATGTAGTATTGTAAAATTTCATGTATACCATGTTGAGAGATAGCAATGCAACTGCAGCCAAGATGTCTTTAGATGTTATGATTGAACTCTACAGAAGGAACATCTGGAATGATACCAAAACTGTCAATGTTATCACAACTGCATGTTTCTCTTAGGTCACCAAGATATTAGTTGCTGCTTTGACATTCTTTCTTGGAAAAGATGAAGATGAAAAACAGGCCAGTGACTCCGAATCTGAGGATGACGGACCAACAGCAAGAGACCTGCTAGCACAGTATGCTACAGGGAACAAAGTTCCCAAAACAAGAAAAAGTTGGAAAAGGCAATGAAAGTGCTCAAGAAACAAAAGAAGAAGAAAAAACCAGAGGTGTTTAACTTTTTAGCCGTTCACTTGATTCATGATCCCCAAGATTTTGCAGAAAAACTACTAAAGCAGCTTGAGTGCTGTAAGGAGAGGTTGGAAGTGAAGATGATGCTCATGAACCTCATCTCAGATTGGTGGGAATTCATAAGCTCTTCCTCTTCAATTTCTATCACTTTTTGCGAAGGTTTCTGCAGCCCCACCAAAGAGAAGTAACAAAGAACCTTCTGTTTGCTGCACAAGCATCTCATCACCTAGTACACCCAGCGATTATTCAATCATTGCTTATGACTGTGGCCAACAATTTTGTTAACGACAAGAACTCTGGAGAAGCCATGACAATAGGAATCAATGCTGTAAAAGAGACAACAGCTCAGTGTCCTCTGGCCATGACTGAAAAGCTTCTCCAAGACCTGGCTCAGTATAAAACACACAAGGATAATAATGTAATGATGTCTGCTAGAACTTTGATTCGGCTCTTCCGAACACTGAATCCTCAGATGCTGCAGAAGAAATTCTGGGGTAAGCCTACAGAAGCCTCCATAGAAGCAAGAGTACAAGAATATGGAGAATTAGATGCTAAAGGTTACATTCCAGGAGCAGAAGTTCTGGAAGTTGAGAAAGAGGAGAGTGCTGAAAATGATGAAGATGGATGGGAAAGTACCAGTCTCAGTGAGGAGGAGGATGCCGATGGCGAATGGGTTGATGTGCAACACTCTTCCAATGAAGAACAGCAAGAAATTTCCAAGAAGCTGAACACCATGCCCATGGAGGAGCAGAAAGCCAAAACTGCAGCCGTCAGCACCAGTCGAGTTTTAAGTTAGGAAGACTTCCAGAAAATCCGCATGGCGCAAATGAGAAAAGAACTTGACGCTGTCCCCGGGAAATCCCAGAAGAGGAAATATATTGAAATCGACAGTGATGAAGAGCCGAGGGGTGAATTACTTTCTCTTCCGGACATTGAACGCCTTCATAAAAAGCCAAAATCTGACAAAGAGACAAGACTAGCAACTGCAATGGCTGGAAAGACAGACCGAAAAGAATTTGTGAGGAAGAAAACCAAAGTGAATCCATTTTCCAGTTCAAAAAGTAAAGAGAAGAAAAAACAGAAGAACTTTATGATGATGTGGTATAGCCAGAATGTCTGGTCAGAAAATAAGCGTTCCTTCTGAGAAAAACAGTTGGCGCTGCGAGATGCCTTTTGAAAAGAGAAAAAGAATGAAGTAACTTCCCAGAAAGTTTTCCATTCCAAGAAGAATGCTAAGTTTGTGTCATTACTCTGAAAATTGGTAAATCAAGCATGTTTGTTTACATTAAAAAGTCCAGAAGCACTATATTATGAAAACTGCTGAAAATGTGGCAGCAATTTGGTGTTTTTATTTTGGGGACAGCTAATGATGGGAAATGTTAATGTAAATAGTGGTGGTAGTGTAATATCATTTATCATTCATGCAAAAAAAAGTATTGAGTGCCTATTAATTGTCACTGTAGATACAAAATGACTGAGTTGTAACTACCCCTTCACTCAAGGCATTGACAGCTTAGTTGTGGGGGTGGACACAGACGTGTATTTACAGTGCAGTGTAAATAGTTCTCTAGTAGAGGTAGGTCCACATTTCTATGCAGACACTGAGGCCTTATGGACTAACTCTGTGGGGATGGGGGTTATATATTCCTGTAAAACAAAGCAAAACAGGACAATTGTAACAAGAGTAAGAGGTTCTTTCTTGCATATAATAGGCTTACCTGCTGAAAACAGGCCCCTGCTGTACAGATTTTGGGTACATAATTTAGCTCTTTTAGTCAATCCAAAAGATTTAAATGACCCCCGCTTTTTTTTTTTAATGCCATGTAAAGGCTTTTTGGTTAAGACCTCACTTTTAAAATTGCCTTAAGTGTAAATAGTACCTTTGGAATGTATTTAGTTCATCATTTGAGATGCCTTCATACTGGTTTCCTCAACCTTCCTTCACCCTGTATTATTTTCAGCCCACCGTTTGTCTCAATAAAAGGTTTCTAATGCCAAATGATAAAAAAGAAATTGAGGGGATTATTGACATATTTATAGAATTGTTTTCCCAGTCAGGACTACGAGATCCCACTTTGTTCTATTTTCCTTTTAGGTGCTCCTTTCAAAAGGTTTTAAACTTTCAAAAAAAAGTTTTTTATTAATCATGTGCTATTTTATTTTTATTTTTTTGAGACAAGGTCTCATGCTATCACCCAGGCTGGAGTGCAGTGGTACAATCACAGCTCACTGCAGCCTCAGCCTCCCGGGCTCAAGTGATCATCCCACCTCAGCTTTCCCAGTAGGTGGAACTACAGGTGCCTGCAATCATGTCCAGCTATTTTTTTGTGTTTTTTGTAGAGACAGAGTTTTCCTGTGTTGCTCAGGCAAGTCCTGAACTCCTGGTCTTATGGGATCCCCCTGCTTCAGCCTCCCAAACTGCTGGGATTACAGGCATGAGCCACTTTGCCCAGCTTACTATACTCATTTTATTGAAAATAATTAGAAAGTTTCCTTTTCTCTGGTCTTACATAGATGACATTGAAATTACTTTCTTTAAGGAGATGTTATAATTCCCTATGGAAACATTGGGGCCTGATGCTTTTAGGAAGGTCATCTCTGTTTCTATAGGATGTTACTTTTATTTCTTATTTTATGTTGTTTGTCCTCTGTTTTTTTCTGGATTATATTACCTAATCATTTATTTTATTGGCTCTTGAATTGAATTCCTGCTTCCTAATTGTATTATTCCTAATTCTTGTTTTTTTTTTTTTTTTTTTTTTTTTGAGACAAAGTCTAGCTTTGTTGCCCAGGCTGGAGTGCAGTGGCACAATCTCGGCTCATTGCAACCTCTGCCTCCTGGATTCAAGTGATTCTTCTGCCTCAGCCTCCTGAGTAGCTGGGATTACAGGCGCCCGCCACCACGCCCAGCTATTTTTTTCTATTTTTTTAGTAGAGATGGGGTTTCACCATGTTGCCCAGGCTGGTCTCAGACTCCTGACCTCGTGATCCACCCGCCTTGGCCTCCCAAAGTGCTGGGATTACAGGCGTGAGCCACTGCGCCTAGCCTCCTAATTCTTGTTTTTTAACAGCCCCATTGAAATATAATTCACATACTATACAGTTCATCCACTTAAAGTTCAATTCAATGTTTTTTATATATTCAGAGTTACGTAACCATCACAGTCACTTTGGAACGCTTTTGTCACACACCCCCCCCCCCAACCAATGACTGCCTGTACTCATTGGCAGTCACCCTCATGCTTTCCTAGCTTCTTATATATTTGATACTTATTTCATTCTTTATTAATTTGGGTATTTAAGAATTTTTCCCTGGTCAGATTTGGTTTTTGTATCATTTCTAGTGTGGGATTTTTTTTTTTTTTTTTTAGGTGTTCTCTGGGGCCTAACTTATGATGCCTTTTGGGGACTATTCCGTATTTGAAAAGAAGATGTAGTTTGTGTTCACAAAATCAGGTTTGATGTATCTGTTGGAACCACCTTAATGTCATTTAAGTTTTCATATAGTTGATTATTTCCCCCCTTTACATGTCATGGATTTCAAGAGGTAAATTAATATCTCCTACTCCTGTTTCTTTCTTCTTGTATCTTCATTCCTTATAGTTGATGCACAGATATTCATAACTATCCCTGTTTGTCACTATAAAGTGGTCATAATTTTGTCTTCAGTTCAACCTCAATATTAAGATCATGGTTTGGGTTTTTACTATTATTATTGTTGCTTAGTTGTATTAGCCTGATGAAATTTTAATTTTTGTTCAGTTAGTTACCTTTATAACTATATATTTATATAATCCTCCTAATCCTTCTTTTCCTTAGTTTCTTTTAATGTCCAGCAAGGAACAGTAATGAAATTAGTATAATTCCTCTTCTTCCACCTTTATCTCTACTACCCATTTTTTAGTTGATCATATCCTTTTTTTTTTTTTTTGGATAGGTTCTCACTCTGTCACGCAGGCTGGAGTTCAGTGGCAGGATCCCAGCTCACTGCAACCTCCACCTCCTGGGTTCAAGCGATTCTTGTGCCTCAGCCTCCTGAGTAGCTGGGATTACAGGTATGTACCACCATGCCCAGCTTTTTTGTATTTTTAGTAATAAAGATGGGGTCTCACCATGTTGGCCAGGCTGGTCTTAACTCCTGACCTCACGTGATCCACCTACCTTGGCCTCCCCTAGTGTTGGGCTTACAGACATGAGCCACCACGCCCAGCTGATATCCCCACTTAATATTTACTTTTCTCATTTTAGCTATAGTTGTACTTCTATTACTTGATTGTGGCAATAGCTACTGGATACAAATACTATTACCTGATTTATTAAGATGATTAATTTTCATAAGAAATAAGGTAATATACTTGCCCTACCAATTACTTTATTTATTTAGAGACAGAGTCTCGTTCTGTCGCCCAGGCTGGAGTGCAGTGGCGTTCGAGACCAGCCTGGGCAACATGGTGAAACCCCATCTCTACGAAAAATACAAAAGGGTGTGGTGGTGCACATCTGTAGTCCCAGCTACCTGGGAGGCTGAGGTGGGAGGATCACCTGAGCTTGGGGTTTAAGGTAGCAGTGAACTGTGATTGCACCACTGCCCTACTGCCCTCCAGTCTGGGTGATGGAGTAAGACTGTCTCAAAAATAAAGTAAATAAATAAAAAGAAAAAAGAAAAACAGAAACGATGCTGTGCTCTGCAAGATGTTTTACTATTAATTAATTTTTGAGCATTGATTCCATAATACCATATCCAATTACAAGTATTTTGCCTGGTTTGGTTGTAATCTTAAAGCAAAAGAGAAGGTACAAACTCAAATGCTTACAGAAGGAAGGGGAGTTAGAAAGTGTAGTTCAGGAGTGACTGTTAGAGGCATTGTCATCCAATGACCAAATAAACTTGTCTGCAAATAGGTCAGGACTTGGCTGCCAGTGGACAGAAAGAAGTAAGGATGAGAAGAGGGAAGAAGGGGAGAGGAGGAGGGAGAAGTTTCTATTTTCTAGGCTAGGCACAGTGGTGGCTCATGCCTCTAATCCCAACATTTTGGGAGGTGGACGCGGGAGGATCACTTGAGCCCAGGAATTGAAGCTTAGCTTGGGCAACATCTCTACAAAAACTTTTAAAAAGTTAGCTGGGCATGGTAGCAGGTGCCTGTAGTCCCAGCTACTTGGGAGGCTGAGATGAGAGGAGTGGGCCCAAGAGGTTGAGGCTGCAGTGAGCCATGATCAGGCCACTGCATTACAGCCTGGGTGACAGAGCGAGACTGTGTCTCAAAAAGCAATTATCATTATTATATTTTCTTAAACTCACAGGATTCCTAGTGTGGCAGTCCAGCACGTCCTAACCACTTTGCTCTGTGTTACTTAACAACTACATTACCTGATCAGTGAATCTTTTTAGGCATTGGTAAGTTAAGTGTTGGGCAACAAAAGTTTGATATAGATTTGGGCTAACAAATTAACATTTTCAAAGATACTGTAAGAGAGCAAAATGGTGTTTGACAAACTCAAATTATGATGCTTCATTCTGTTAACTCGGCTGGGCGATTTGGTGAATAGAGCAGAAATACATTTCAATTCTGAAAAGAGACAAATGTTGTTCTCCTTACAGTGACTCAGTGATGTGACCTTTGATAGAATGGTATTTAATAATTTGTCACTAGTGAATTCTACCAAACACTGAAGGAAGAAATTGTACCAATTTTGTCCATATTCTTCAATAATACAGGAGAGGAAAATTCATTTTATGAGATCAGCATTACACTAGACAGTGACATTAAAATATAAAAAAATTGTAGATCAATATCCTTCATGAACATCAATGCAAACTACTCAACAAAATACTTGCAAAATACAGAACTTAGCTGGATGTACACAAATGCCAACTGTGATGTCATTACTTATATTGTACTACAATGAAGTCATACAGTGTAAGTACAATAAAGTAGTACAATGTAAGTAATGACATCACAGTTGGCATTTGGGTAAACCCAGCTAAAGTTTTGTATTTTGCAAGTATTTTGTTGAGTAATTGTACTACTTTGTTGTACTTATATTGCATGACTTGATTGTAGTACAATATAAGTAATGACATCACAGTTGGCTTTTGTGTTCCCCTCCATCAGTGGGTTCTCAAATATTTACTCAAGGGTCATAGGGAACAGTGGTTTTGGGTACACAATATCCTGTATTTGGTCCCTGACTTTAATAATGAAGCTCTTCCAGTACATAAAGACTCCCGTTTATACTTTCTCAAAAATACCCCATCATTGCTGTTCAAAACTTAACGATCGCCCCCTAGTGGTTTCCTAAAATATATTTCTTAAAATACATCTTTTATTTGTAGAGATGGGATCTTGGTTTGTTGCCCAGGCTGATCTCAAGTGATCCTCCCACCTCAGCCTCCCAAAGTGCTGGGATTACAGGCATGAGCCACCGCTCCCCACCATTGCCCTCTAGCGGGAAAGTCCTCGAAGAACTTGTTGCTATTCAGATTACAAAGGAGCATGAGTAGAACATGTGAAAAAACACAAATATTAGTTTTTCCCCTTATACCAGTTTGCCAAATTCCTTTTAGAGGAAACTAAGCTCTGTAGTGCCTTCTCTTTGATACACTGAGCTAGCAAGAGACTTATTAACGTTAAGCCTGTAAAGTGGGTGTTTCTTCATTCTAATACAGAGGTAAGAGGTTCCAGTCTGACACCACTACGGAATAAAATGTTGAGGCAAACTCAGTTACAAAATATATTTGGCATCTGAGAACACCTCAAGACTCTGTAGAATCGCTAAGCATTTGATTAATACTAAAAGAGTTGTAATGTTTTGACTTCATGCATAATTACAAAATGAAGCAGGGTCATTTTTCAAGGCTTTTTGAGGGGGAAGAGGAGGTGCATAAAACTCCCTTTTTAACCACAGTAAGACATACACGCAGAGCTTAAACTATCACCATCTGAACAGATAGATAAGTAAGATACTAAAGTACAGGTGCTCTCAAATACACAAGTAAACTGACTTGATTCTTGACTACCCAGCATATGCCTATCTTTTCCATCTTTTGGGGGGGATTGGTTTTGTTTTTCTGGAAGGGCACAATACTATCTACATTTGAATTTATGTGTGGTAAAGATGCTCAAACAATATTCCCTTAGAAGGGTTTAAATATCACTAAAAATTCTTTATCAGTACTGCATAGCTTTCACATGTGCACAATTTCCTAATTAACACCTTACTCAAAAGTCACACACTGAAAGAACCTGCTTTCCTATCTCTAGCTTTCCGTAGAAGTATCCCTAACCAGAATAACTCACATTTAAGGTTTAAAAAATTCTCTTCATTTTGAAAGGAAAAGAGTGCATGGACGCATTTTTGTTTGAGTCGGCGTCTCGCTCTGTCACCCAGGCTGGAGTGCAGTGGCGCGATCTCGGCTCACTGCAACCTCTGCCTCCCGGATTCAAGCCAATTCTCCTGCCTCATCTTTTGGAATAGCTGCGATTAGACACGTGCCACCACACCTGGCTGATTTTTGTATTTTTAGTAGAGACGGCGTTTCACCATGTTGGCCAGGCTGGTCTCGAACTCCTGACCTCAGGTGATTCACCCACCTCGGCCTCCCAAAGTGTTGGGATTACAAGAGTGAGCCACCGCGCCCGACTGGATGCATTTTTTTTAATCCCAAGAGACGGAGGGCTGCACAGAAGCTTACCATCCAGCAGTTAATGGTTACATAAACATGTATTTAGACAGGTTTATAAAACAATTCTTATTGCCCAGCCACTAAGTAAAGATCAAAAGAGGTTAATAGAATGAAAGTCCTTTTCCTACCCACAATCTCTTCTAAAAGGTTAAGTGATGGAGTATGTGCATGTATATTAGTGGCAAGAGAATAGGAAATACAAGCAACTTGACAAGACTAAGTTTATTCTAAGTATAATTTTTATTAATAAAAAGATTAACCATGGCCATGTAAAATGAGTGGCTGGGCTTAGAGTTTGCTACACCAATGAAATTAAAAAATTAATACTTGAGAATGTTAACAATAATTTATAATAGCATTCCTTGATAGAGGCATTTTAATTTTAGCAATTATTTCTCTTAAATATATAAACTAATCCTTAGTGTCATGGAGGAGAATCATCATAGCTACTGATCAATCAAAAAAGAATTTCTGAGAGCTGTTTGGTGGTGTTATCTCAAGACATACAACCAAGCTGTAGGAAAATCTCCCAAAAAAGATCTGGAAAACTGTCCAGTCACAACACAGGAAGAATATCACTGTTTGACACTTGTGGCAGGGGAATATCCCACTTGCAAGTCAAGCGTGAAGAATAAACACAAATTAAGAATGTACCCAAGATCCCCAAATAAATTAGTAAAAGTGCCATTAAGAATTATCAGACATAGAATGTGTTTCAAATACAAATTTGTTAAATCCAAAAGATACAGTAATTTTATTACATAAAATTTCTCCTGTGTGCTAAAAATGCTAACTTACAAGACATAATATTTGTAGTAGAGGGAATCACGGTCGGCTCGTTGAATTCTTTTTCATTATTGAAGAATAGAACAATAGGTAGTGGACATAGAAGCACTCAGAGTCCTCTGAAATTCAAGGTTGTTACATTATGTTCCACCAAAATAAGACTACCATTCTCTAATAATATAAATGCCTGTTCATTTCACCTTTCAAAAATAAAGTCCATTTCTTCTCCATTAAAGTTTCTGCAAGACTGACAAAGGTACATTCTACCTATTAAAAATAGGAGCACTCTTCATCTTTGGATAATGTATCACCGCTTAGGGAAAATGTATTCATATACAGATTTTTATTTGAGGCAGCTGTTGGAGTTCATTAAGCACTTTTTGAACGCTGTACCTTTAAAAATTTGTCTTTCATATAGCTTTGGAAAACCAAAAATAGAAGAAAAATATCTATGGTAAAGTATATTTCATTCTGATTTGATAGCAGTAAAATACAAAAAAAGTATTTAGTGCAGTGTCACTTGATGTTAGTTTTCTGCTATTTTATATGACTGAATAACAAAAAAGTTCTAACTTGTTAAAAATGTTTTATAAGTCTTTGACTATTTAGTAAGGCAAAAATGAAATTAAGCACTCTAAAAAGTAGAAATTAAGTTCTACAAATTTGGTTCCCATTTACAACAATTTCATTAACACATAATGAGTTAAATAGAGACACAATGTATCCAATACCCTCATGATGGTAAAAAAAAAAAAAAAAACTAGTAGCATTTATAGATTGTGAAATCCTTAATAAAACCTATATTCAAAATATGTTCATAGAGAACCAATACCTCTCCTCCTGCATGTAAAAGAACACTTGTTAAAAATAATTAACAAAAATACCAATAAACAATGAAAACCCATTTTGTTTCACTGTGCCCAAAGGTATGACACAAAATATTGGCTACAAGAGGTAGGTTAAAAAGAAAAAGAAAACCAGATTCTCCATTCTTTGTCACTTTTATTCAGTAGTAGGTTTTTTTTCCTTATTTTCAGTGCCAGACACGGCGAGGAGTGATTACAGCCAACTGTTACTAAAACATTTGTTTGCAACATATACCCCCTTTATACCACTGACCCCAAACTGACTCATTTTGTGTGCTTTCATTCTTTCTTTTTTTAATATACCACCACCAAGACCGGGTGGAGGGGGCAAGGGTAAGAGATGAAGGGGAGCAGTCCAGGAGGCCAGAAGAGGAGGAATGCTACAAGCCACAGTAAGAATGAGCTGTATTTAATTTAAAAAAAGGGGGAAGGGGTGTACCCCACAAATGATACAGTAATGAGGATACACAATTAAATCCCATAGCATGACTGAAGGCTTTCACTGTGTTTGACGTCATCACAATGGAAGGCATAAAAAGTGGAGTAAATCAATGTTGATACAGTCCAATCTAGTCCATTAGGCAAGATGGTGCAAGAAGTCATTTAAATTAAAAGTGCCCTACCCTTACCTAAATGGCTAGCAGACATGGAGAACACCACAGTGATGAATCCACAGAGCTTTCTCCATGTAGCTATAACAATGTGTTGTCGAATGGCACACTGTCAAACACTGGAAAGGGGCGCCACAATGGACCTCTCTCTTTTATAGGAACGAATGCTAGATTCAACTATCTCAACTAAGCAGGAAGTGGGTTCTTCTGCTAGGAATGCCAACCCTAATTCACTTTGTCTTGAAATATATACAGATTGTTTGTAGTAGCTACGGCAATGATATTTTCCTTGGGGTGCCAGGCTGTGTGAAGGATTTTCTTATTGAAGTCTAGGCTGTCAACACTTATTTCATCTTTCTTTCGCTTGCCACTTGCACAGACTTTGCGAGGCTTCAGAACTGTGCGAGGCTTATTGTTTTCCCGCGATGCTTCTAGGGTTATGTCTCGCTTTGTGTTTCTGTCAAACATTCTGAAGAAATTATTGTAAGATCCAGTCATGACAACACTGTGAAAATAGACAGTACACTCAGTCAAACAAGCAGAACAAGAAATTGTTTTCAAGTAAAATGATTCGGCAATTAAACCATAGGAAGCTACTTCAAAAGCAGATTTAAACTAAGGGACAGGGGCTGTTGACATCAACTCAATCACTAGAATAAACCAGAAATACGGTACTAATTAACTGGGTTTTCTGCTTATTCTTTTTATGGCTACCAAAACTATCAGCAAAGTTGACAGCATCCTCAAGTAAAACTTCTTAGGAGTGCAGAATTATCGTTGTTAAGTATTTTTGCAACTACAGGCTATGTGATCAACCAGGCCAGCCAGCTTCTCAAAGGAGCAACTATCTGTGGAACTCACAGGTTCTAAAACAAAAGAACCCCGCATGAAGTAGCTGTAGCTGTTCACAAGAAACCAATGCTTTATCTTATGATTTACATTTTTTGGGCCGGGCGCAGTGGCTCACGCCTGTAATCCCAGCACTTTGGGAGGCCAAGGTGGGCAGATCACGACGTCAGGAGATCGAGACCATTCTGGCTAACATGGTGAAACCCGGTCTCTACTAAAAATACAAAAAAAATTAGCCTGGCGTGGTGGCAGGCACCCGTAGTCCCAACTACTCGGGAGGCTGAGGCAGGAGAATGGTGTGAACCCGGGAGGTGGAGCTTGCAGTGAGCCAAGGTCGTGCCACTGCACTCCAGCCTGGGCAACTGAGCAAGACTCCGTCTCGGAAAAAAAAAAAAATTAGCTGGGTGTAGTGGCACGTGCCTGTAGTCCCAGCTACTCAGGAGGCTGAGGCAGGAGAATCCCTTGAACCCGGGAGGCGGAGGTTGCACTGAGCCAAGATTGTGCCACTGCACTCCAGCCTGGGTGACAGAGTGAGACTCTGTCTCATAAATAAATAATCTTCTCAGGGTATTGTCTGGTTCAGATAATCACATTTAATAAATGCTTATGTTATAATCTGCTCCTGAGAATATTAAGTGGTACATAATGTGTGTGTGTGTGTGTGTATAATTTTTTTTTTTTTGAGACGGAGTCTCGCTCTGTTGCCCAGGCTGGAGTGCAGTGGTGCGATCTCGGCTCACTGCAAGCTCTGCCTCCTGGGTTCATGCCATTCTTCTGCCTCAGCCTCCTGAGTAGCTGGGACTACAGGCGTCCGCCACCACGCCCGGCTAGTTTTTTTTGTATTTTCAGTAGAGACAGGGTTTCACCACGTTAGCCAGGATGGTCTCAATCTCCTGACCTCATGATCCGCCGGCCTTGGCCTCCCAAAGTGCTGGGATTACAGGCGTGAGCCACCGTGCCCGGCCTATATATATGTATTTTTCAAGACAGGGTTTCACTCTGTCACCCGGGTTGAAATGTGGTGGCACAATCACAGCTCACTGCAACCACAACCTCAACCTCCTGGGTTCAAGCAGTCCTTGCACTTCAGTCTCCTGAGTAGCTGTGACTACAGGCATATGCTGCCATGTCCAGATAATTTTTAAATATTTTGTAGAGACAGGGTCTTGCTATGTTGCCCAGGCTGTAATATTTTCTTAACAGAACATCATTTTACTTTTACCACTTAGAACATTTTAAGCAAATATTTATAAAAGTATCAGTTTAAAGGGGTGGCAAAATTTTTAAACTGCCCAAGACACTTCCTTGTCAGTTCTATTTGCCACCCATTACTGCTCGACATTTATTAAGTATCCTCACAAACAAAACTTCGTAAGTTTGAAGCTCTTAATTTGGAAAGGGTCTGCTACCGCTGCTTACCAATGGTTCAAATTATTATTGTAAATAAGGATTACAGGATACTGGGGAATTGTTCAAAGTAATACTTACATACAAAGGTCACCTACTGAGTACAAATTATTATCTATTTAGTAATGTCAATTCCCAAAGGACACTTGGCAACAACTTTAATCAAACTCAAGGTAATGCGTGCCCCTGAAGATGACAAAACTGTATTTCTTTAAAAATGGCTTGTGTAATTTAGATTGACATCCCCATATCATCTGAGTTTGCGTGGTTTTAATGTATTAGGACACCTAGGCTGTGGCTACTTGAAACTTTAAAAAGGTATCATTAGGCCAGCATTTCTGTGGTATTCCTGCCAAAAATGTATAGCCTGAATCTAATCATGAGGAAACATTCTATAAAATAACTGGCCTGTGTTCTTCAAAATGCCAAGGTCATGAAAGACAAGGAGAGACTGAGGAACTGTTTCAGAATAAAGGAGACTAACAAGAGATGACAACTAAATGCTGGATACTGAACCAGACTGACTTTGTTCTGTGCCATAAAGGACATAGTTACAGTAACTGGTCAGTTTCAGTGGGTCTCCGGATTAGATGGCAGTACTGCATCGCTGTGAATGTTGCTTTGGATGCTGCACTGTCACTATGTTGGAAAGTGTTTTTGTCAGGAAATACTCATTCAAGAATTTAGGGTTATGGGCATCACATCTGGCGTAAATGGAATAAATTCCCATGTGGCACACAAGTTGCATGTGAGCACATGCGCACGTACCTATGTGGACAAATATAGCTATAAATAAACAGAGAATAGAACACGTGATACAGCAAACAGCGACAGGGGAACCTGGGTCAAGGCCAGCCAAGAGTTCTTTGTGTTATTCTAACAAATTTTCTCTAAGTTTGAAATAGTTAAAAAAAAATTTTTAATATTAAGGAAAACAAATCGTTTTTTTCTGATAATAGAACATAAAACTGCTAATTATCTGCTTAAATACAATGAAAAACTGGTTGTAGCTGTGCGCCACACCTTATTTCAGTATCTCTTTACTCTTCAAATTTGTTAATCTTTTTTTTCTTCTTCCCTTTCCTTCTTTCTTCTTGATGCCTCAGGTTTAGTAGTAGCACTCAAAGGCAATGTTTGCTATTAACAGAACTCTAGGTTTACTAGTCCTTATGTCAAAAATCAGATAATTTTAAAAGCCAGATGAAAGAAAACATTCTATAAGTTCTATTATCCTCTGTAACACACAACACCATGAAATCGGAATCATATTAAGCTCTGTGATAAAACTGTTGTTGAAGTATCTCTGATTACTTTAAATGTCAGTTTAATTCCAAAATTATGTTTTACTACTTTCTGTTCTACTGGAACATAGTGGCAAATAGACAACTAAAAGACTCAAAGTAAGACTTATTTTATCTTTAAATAATGGGTAACATTTTACTAAAAATGAATACGAAAAAGGAATTACACTACGGCAAAACTGGAAATTATAAAAAGCAAAGGATAACTACTACTAAAATTTTAACCATATATATTATGGTTAACATCATACATAACATACATATGAAAGACCACTTCTATGAGGTGTTAATGTAGCATCTGGAAAACCTGGTGTTTCTAACAATCCAAATGAGTTATCTGCCGCCTGAATGTTTCTGCAACAGTTTAATGGAAGAATAACAACCAAGCTGAAGCTTCACCGTTTTAATGGTTAGCATGTCAGAAATGTGATCTGGTTCATAAAAGAAAAAAAATTCTAGACATTTAAATAATTTAGATTACCTAGAATTTGTGTACTTTTATATTTACTAGTGAAATACAATGCTTTAATTTTTTATCTACCAGTACTGCTGTGCTATATCTAAAATTACTAAATTTATTTCAAGGAATCCCTAGAGACGAAGTTAGGACCTGGAATGAAATAGTTGTTTCTTTTCTTTAATAAAATTCATATTTGAGAGGTTTGACTTAATTACCTGTCAGATCCATTCCAACAACATTCAAATTTGTCAAATATGCAGTCATTTTCATACAGTGAACAGAGTTTACTTCTGAGGTATTCATGCACCTGGGGGAAAAATACAAATATACTGCACTGAAATTAGGAAAATGATTTAACAAGTCCATATCTTTAAAAAGAAAAAAAGGGCATATACAGACACATACACACACCTTTTAAACCTATTAATCTCAATCTTCTCAGTAACAATAAAGGCATTTTGTCCTTTTACAAAACACACAAGCCCTTCAGGGAGGTACATTTTCCTACTGGTATGACAAAGGAAAACTCCATTCTGGGCATGGCACACATAGCCTTTATAAGCCTGAATAAAACATTCAGGCCAAAAACACTTGAAAATGGCACAGTTAAGAGACTAATAAAAGAACATTATAGCAATATCTGAATATCACTATTCTTGGCTTTCAGTCCATTAACTACTGATAACAACACTGAAACTGTGCCTATTTCTTTCTTAAATACCATTTTCTGGGCATAAATTTAACTGAAGCCTATATTTTCCATTATAAATGCACATGTATGCATAGCGTAACCATGCCTTGGTTTGGTGATAAATTATATGGTTATTCTGGGCATATATTATTAAAAATTTGATAGTATCATATTATACAATGTCAAAAGCTAACAAAGCTGTGCCTGTTTTTTGAATTATATAATTCTGTATTTACTAATATGTCAAAAAAGGATAAACTAGAAATCTCATATTTAAAAAGTCTGAGAAATATGACATATTTCAACATTAATATTAATTACAAACAAAAGTTCCAAAGTATTTGTTGTAACTCAAAGGAAAAAAGGAAGTGTCTATATTTCACCATCTCTTTTTAAGGAGCTACTTAAGGAGAAATGACAGAAATGAGAAGGTACCTTCTAAATGCTTAGAATTCTCTATTCTATATGAAACAATCTAAACTTATTTTCAGTGTCTATTTTAACTTTAAATATAGTGGAATGATTCAGGCCATGTCTCTGTGACATTAAGTGAAAATCTGTAATACAGAGGAATAGCAACTCATGTGGGGTTAGGATCAAAAGTGAGCATGTAACACAAAAAAATCAGTAAGAAAAAAATACCCTTCAATCACACAAAACTTGGCAAGATGCTGGTACAAATTCAATAAAAATAGTTTTATCTATATATGATACATTTGCCTATAATGTGACTACTTTTAATCACTACTCCAACTGTTTATAAGTAGAAAAGTAGCAAATCAGGTAAAATTAGGTAGATTATCATAATTTAGCAACATTTTAGAATGCACATTATAGAGTTTCTCACTATACATCAGTATGAAGCTAAGCTTCAAATCAATTCTTCTCAATGGGAATGAAATGATGGTGAGGGTAACTAGGAGATATATCAATCTTGGCAGTTACACAAATAGAAGTCTTTTTTCAGTATACACGAGGGATGGGTTCCAAGAACCCCAGGTATACCCAAATCTGCAGTTAGCCCTGCGGAACCCACACGTGAAGTTTTGGCCCTCCATATATTTGAGGGGTTTGCATCCCTCAAATATTGTATTTTCAAATGTGCATTGGTTGAACAAAACAAAACAAAAAATCTGTGTATGAGTGAACCCATGCAGTTCAAATCCATGTTGCTCAATAGTGAACTATACTTTGAAAAGCAAAGCAGTATTTTGTCTTTTGTTTCAGTGCAGTATTTATTTTGAAATTTCACGTATCAAAAACAATCTTCGTTTATGTTTGTCAGAGGATTTAAAGTTTGAGAAACATACTTCCCAGTCTATTGAGAATATATAACATAAAGAAAGTATATGTATAAATTAGAGTTAAGTGATTTCAACACTGCAGTCTAGGGCCTAGCACAGGTTTGTGCTGTCCCTCACCCTGTTCCAGGCTGTGTACTTCATTCTCTTCTGTTTGATGTAGTGGACACGGATAAACAGTAGTGGCTGGCTGATAAGAGAATCAAGAACTGACATCCAACAACGGATAGGCAACTCCTAAAGCCATCTGCTAAGGCTTTCAAGCCCTTTCTTTTAGCTGAAGACAACAGTTATCTGCCAAAAGGCAGAACACCAGTCCATTTGACTTGGCACACCAAATTTAATCTCTAGTTCAACTACTCCCACAACCTGAGCAGGTGCACCTCTACTAAGGACTGGCCACTTTCTCCAATCCTCTTCCTGCCCAGACCTCAATGAAGGGTGCTCTTCCATCCTCACTTTAAATGTACATAGTGGCAGAAAAAAAAACAATGTCAATACTGAACCAAATGGGTAGCAAAATCACACTTTAACTGCAAAACTCAAGAGACAACACAACCTATGTAAGTATATATACATTTAACATAAGGAAGAGCAACATACTCATAGATCTCTGAGGGAAAAGGCCTAATGGTGAACAAACACCATACAGGGATTAAAACCTAGTAACAAAATCCTTCTCTATAAACACTTCAAAGTAAACAGGGTATATGCTCATTGAAAGAAAAAACTCAAATACCTGGTATGTTTCCACAGGCCTGTTTTCCATATTTAAGTCCCAAATTTTGACTGACAAATAGTCTCTAGTCATCATATATCGACCACTATGGCTGAATTTTACATCCGAAATAGAGGAGATGATTTCGGAAAAAAATGACCTGTTACTGGGATCTTCAGGTTCTTCAAACACTAAAAACAAAACAAAACAACACAAAAAGGGCAAGGTGTACAATATTCTGGCTTGGACAAAGCATTTCCTAAACAACCATTCACAAACTCCCTACAAGTGAGGTAAAATGCCAGGCTAATAAAGAACTGAAAAACATCTCTCTGGCTAGAATTCTCCTGAAAGCTTCTTAGTTTAATTGAATATTGAAGTTGAAGATGCATAAGTATGCAGTATACTTCCAGTCATATGACTAATTTAGAACCAGACTCACCTGGGACTTCTGACTTCAGTGCACCAGGTTTATTGGTATTATTCCTGCAATATGCCTCACTGACTGCCTGTATCATCACCATGAGAAACACACCATCCTCGCCCATCCCAAATTCATACCAGGATCTTATTTTCTAGTAGCCAGGTAAAATTATTTTGGTAACAGGCATGTATCAATTTTCATGAGTTAATATTCAACAAGACAAGAATATTGTATCCTGAAGTTTTTAAACCAAAGTTGTTTTTTTTTTTTTTTTTTTAAGCCAAGGAAACCTCAGAAGAAATCTTCCTAGGAAGCTCAAAGTAGGAAGGGAGGATGGGAAAGAAAGGAACAGCTCTACTTCAATACAAGGTTACAGAGCCCAACCGCAAGTTACCAAAGAACAACAGCATTCCATGAGAGATATATTCCTTGGCAATCAATAGACATGCCCCCCAAGAGAGCTTCCAGGAATAACCTGGAATGCCTCATGAGGAGGTAGGCAGATTACCAAGGGTACAAGTGGCTCTGGACACACGGGTTTAAGACTTTGAACCTCTGTAATTGTACTTATCATGTCTGAGGCTTATTTCAGACAAACAGAATATGTAATCATTTTAAGGAAAGATACAATAAACTTACATTTAGAATGTCTATCACAGAGGGCAGATGCCCTCATGTCACATAGCCGAATAGTTCCTTTACTGCTGCTGTATACAAATGTGTTACAGCTGTTTGGATGAAATTCTGCTGCTGTAATCACCTCTGTTAGCTCTTCCATATTGGCAGGCTTGATATCCACAATGTCTAGATAACATTTTATTAAGGAATTTCCACTTAGAAAAAAGGGCAAATATAATTCTACATTTCTCAAACCTAAAACCCATTCATGGACCTAAGCAAAAATATTAATTCTGAATTGCACTCCACTGTTTTTATGAGTATAAATTCCAAAGGGATTAAAACTTTTTTTTTTAATTTTTATTTAGACGGAGTTTCACTCTGTCACCCAGGCTGGAGTGCAGTGGCGCAATCTCGGCTCACTGCAGCCTCCGACTCCCAGGTTCAAGCGATTCTACTGCATCAGTCTCCAGAAAAGCTGGGATTACAGGCGCACACCACTACAACTGACTAATTTTTTTTTTTTTTTGTATTTTTAGTAGAGACGGGGTTTCACTATGTTGGCCAGGCTGGTCTCGACCTCCTGACCTCATGATCCATCCGCCTCGCCTCAGCCTCCCAAAGTGCTGGGATTACAGGCATGAGTCACTGTGCCCGGCCTCAATAGAATATTTTTATTTACCCAATCATGCATCATGACTTGCGTGAATTTCTTTTTCTAATCTTAATCTAATCGTAATCTTTAATCTTTCTTTTTCTAATCTTTTTCTAATCTAATCTAATTATTAATCTTTTTCTAATCTTAAAATTAATCTTAATCTAATCTTAAGATTAATCTTAATCTAATCTTAATCTAATCTTAATATCAATTAATATAATATATATAAATCTATATATATATATTTTTTGAGACAGAGTTTCACTCTTGTTGCCCAGGCTGGAGTGCAATGGCACAATCTCAGCTCACTGCAACCTCTATCTCCCAGGTTCAAGCAATTCTCCTAACTCAGCCTCCCATGTAGCTTAGATTACAGGCATGCGCCACCATGCCCGGCTAATGTTTTGTATTTTTAGGAGAGACGGGGTTTCACTATGTTGGCCAGGCTGGTTTTGAACTACTGACCTTAGGTGATCCACCCACCTTGACCTCCCAAAGTGCTGGGATTACAGGCTGAGTCACCGCAGCCAGGTGAGACTATTTTTACAATAAAAAATTCAAATACAGTAGTTCATACATTTGATTAGAAGAAAAAAAATTTTTTTAGAGACAGGGTGTTGCTCTGTCATCCAAGCTGGAGTGCAGAGGCACAATCAAGCTCACTGTAAACCTTGAACTCCTGGCCTCAAGTGATCTTCCCACCTCAGCCTCCCAAACCGCTGGGATTACAGGCATAAGCTACCATACACAGACCTCACAAATGTGATTTTTAAAACAAAAACCTAAATTATAAAAAATAATCCTATTTACATAGATACAATAGACAAATTCCTTAAAATTCCATGAATCCAATTTTAAATCAATACATTATGCCCTTTATGTTTAGCAAATAACTTTTTCCAGTATTTCATTACTCATCTACAAAGAAAAAAATAAGGTGCCATACATATATGTACACAGACTATAAAAAGCAACCAAATTCATTAGGAGAGATGAAATAAATCTAATATGGGCACAACATGCCTTCTTCACCAAACACCAAAGAAAACCAAATGGATACTAAAACTCCTGTCTGTAATTTCCAGATGCCAAAGATTAATCCGCAAATCATCTGCAGATAAATATGTTTCATAATCACTATTAATAGAAATTGAGTTGATGTGATATGTATGAGCATTGGCAAATATTCTTCGTGGACTGGCCTCAACCATTAGATCCATAGGCCTAAAGACTGGCACCTGTCAATAAGACACATGAAAAACAGAAATTACAAAAGGCTCAGTTTCAAATAGCAATTAAGATTCAGAAAACTTCATTATTTCAGTTTTTGAGAACATAAAATAGAACAATATTACATAGATTTAGTTTTAAAAAGCAACTGATGTTGATCCTTTCGAGTGCTGAAGAAAAAATGAACAATGTGGATAATATATCTTCTTTTACTGGTTGCAATACTATTAGAATTTGCAGTTCTTAGTTTCAATATTTTGCTTGAAAGACATGCCAAGCTAATAAATGTTTATGGTTCAGATTAAAGAGGCTAAAAAGAAAATTAACCCATAACATCTAATTCTTGGTATTTTTTAGCTACAACTAGAAGATTTGATCTGTATCTACTTTTTTGATTTCCAAAGAAAATTTATCTTGAAACTTGACCTTGTGATAGCTAACATGACAAACCAGAGATGAAGTCTGATGGCGTGAAATACTGTCTTGTGCTTGAGTCCTGCTTCTGTCCCTGGCCAAAGTGAGACCTCTATGTAGGTCAGTTTCTATGTTTAAATGAGTTACTCAATGTCCTACCTGATTACAGAATTACTGGGAAAGGGGAGATAGACTGTAATTATTCCTATTCAAGCTCTGCTCAGGATTTGGGCTATATAATATGAATACAAGCACTATCTGTGACATTTTTTTCTTATGTACTTACTCGTAGTGTAGTAACTGTAGTAGGATCTCTATACCTTCCATCCTCCTCTTTCAAGTTATACCCTTCTGGTCTTTTGTCCCTTTCACTGATTTTCCATAATTTTATTGTTTTATCTGGGAAGAAAATAAAGAAAAGTCCTTAAAATACTGAAGAAGAAAAACATTTTAAGGCATTTAAAATATGCTATTTCACATTTCACGTAAAAGGATTCCACGAAAAAAAAAAAAACCCTAATCTGAACTTACTAAAAAATTTCCTATTATCAGCTGAATAACATACACACATGGAAATAAAGTGCAAAGATTGGTGGCACTCATAAATTCCATGTGATAGTCAAATCAAGTCACAGACAGGTCTCTATCCCTGTCCCTTAAAAGTAATTAAAGCTAGAGGGAAAAACTTGATATGCATGTGTGGTGTATGCAAACACATATATGTCTGTACCTACATGTAAACATATACATGTTCAGTACTGAATTTTAAAAAATTTAAAGGGAACAATGAAGTTGATTAAGACTGCCTATTATGTAGAATCAAAATAGTAAAGCTGCTCTCCCTTGCTCCCACTTCTTAGCAGAGCCTATCAAAGATTCCACAGAGGCCTCCATAGGACTGGATGCCTCCTTTTTAAAACCTTTCCCCTTCTTGTATCAGGGTTCACAAGTAGGAAACAGGGCCTGAAGAAAACTGATTAAAAGCATACATCCCCAAGTCCTTCAAGAAGAAACCAAATTCCTAGGTATCAAGGATATATAAAATGGCATCTGTTTAAAAACAAACTTTTGTTTTACAATTAAGTTTAGATTTACAGAAAGTTACAAGAATTGCAGTGTTCCATATATCCTTTACCCAGTTTCTTCTGTCAACATCTTACGCAACCATGGTACGTGTGTCAAAACTAAGACGTCGACTTTGTATATTACTATTAACTACAGACTGCATTTGGAGATTTAACCAGGTTTTCCACTAACATTCCTTTTCTGCTCCAGAATTCAAACAACACTGCATTTAGTCATCAAGTTTCCTTAGTCTCTCTGCCTTTAAGTTTCTCAGGCTCTCCTTATTTTTCTTGATCTTGACAGTTTTGAGTAGTGGTGGTGAGGTACTTTGTAGAATATCCCTCAACTGGATTTGCTTGCTCTTTCCTCATGATCAGACTGGGACCATGGGTTTTTAGGAACAGAACAGAGAGATGAAGTGACTTCTCACAGCATTGTTCAAAGGGATACATGGTATCAACATGACTTACAGCTGGTGGCGTTAACTTGGGTCATTTGGTTAAGACAATGTTTGCCAGGCTTCTCCACTATACAATGACTCTTTCACCCTTGCCATATTCTGTTCTTTGGAAGTGAGTCACTAAATCCAGCCTGTACTTAAAGGGAGAAATAAGTTATACTCCCTGTAGGGAAGAGTATGTATCCACGTCTTATTTAGAATTCTCCTGCAGGAAGCATCCCTGCTCTCCATGTATCCATTCAATTGTTTATTTGTATCACTATAGGCTCATGCATGTTGATTTAAAACTGTTACAATTGTATAACAGTTTTTCTTATAGAAAAGCATACATTCCTAACGATCTTTCATAAGCAAAATGGTGTAACAAAATTGTTTATAACAGTATATAAAGCCATTTTATAAAAACAGAAACAACTCAGAGAGATGCCAGTGACTCTAGCCTGGCAGTCTCTGTATCGTACAGAAGAATGATAGTTGCCCCTAAGGATGCCCTTCCCAATGATGAAGTGTAAACAGAGAAAAACTGCTAACTTTAATCATCTGTAATCTATTATTTCTTCTAAGCCCTATGTGACCTTGCTTATAATTTTCTTGTAGTTCAGTCATACAGATTTTCTATGTGTTATTTAGTTTATATATGTATATGATTTATAGATAGATATGAGCCTAGCCTAAATCTGTATTCTGAGAAGTATTTGTTCTAAATACTTGCAAAGTATTTGTGATGAGGATGACAACACCCCCGCCCCCTGGTCCAGTTGTCTTGTGGCCTGTTTAAATCCATCCTCCTTATTAAAGATCCAAATAAAGAAACCACAATGTATTTATGAAACTTTCAGATGAGATAAAATTAGTTTGTGGTGCCTAATAGTGTTTACAGGAAGAAAGCTCTTTAAAAAATGTTTTTTCCTTAACACAAACACAGGACACATATGAATTAGGATACATTTTTCAGTAAGGTGGGGACAAGGCAGGCAGGAAATAAATCAGTATGTTAATAAATATGACATAAATTTTTAAAAAATCAGAATCCTTATGTTCTACAGCAGTGATATTTTATTACCTGGAGTTTTTGGCCCATAAGACAAAGTATGTGAGAATAATCAAACTCCATAAAACTGTATGTGAGATTATGTAAAAACACAGTTTTCAGTGGAGACGTTATTAGATTCTCAAGATCTGTTCCTTCCAAAACGACCACACTGTGGTGTTCCCCTGAATTATCAACACTAATAACTAAAGCATTGGAGAAACTGCAGAAGAACAGAGTTCCTCTCACCACAAGCAGAAGGTATGAGAGGTATGAGCAGGGAAAACCACGCTGCCGTTTCCTTTGTGGGAATGCAGCTTTATGTAAGACCCTAAAAAACTTATCAAGAAGTTGTTAAGACACACCCTATTTATGAGTGAACTTTACATTATTCATATATGTAACACTCATGGTTGACAGGTCAGTTTCATGTTTTCTGCAATGTAGAGGAATTAATGAGAATTCAGAGGAGCAAAAGAAGATTAAAGAGAAAGAGAATTAAAATGCTTGAAGGAACATTAAATTAACTCAAGTTATAAGGTGACTATGACGTCCTTTAAGTAAAAATGATCTGGGAAACCCAGTTCATATAATGATCATGGAAAGCCAATGCAAATATTTTTATAAGATTAATTTTGGTTAATCAAACCTGGAAAGTTTGGTACTATTTTCCATCATTCTCCCACAGATATAGTTTTTATATAGACCCATTATATTGGGGGGGGGGGGTGTTACTATGCTCACAGAAAAAACTCACAGAGAAAAATACACAAAATAATATAAAAGATATCACTCAGAATCAACAGATGTTGACATTTTTCTCTAAGTCTCCTTCTTTCCAAATAGTTTTTCAGATATAGTTCAAGTCCTACTCCTCCCATCCTTTTCCCATCTACCCAGACACAACAGTTCATATGATTCTCATAATCTGCTTTATCCTTCCACATTGGACTCTATTATTAAGCACTTATTTTAGCATTAAAAAATGCAGCCCCCAGTTAGCTGTATTTTACTTAGTATTAAGAAACAAAAGACAAAAATCTACAATGCATTCTCTAATGTCTTTAAACAAGATTTAATCCATAGACGTTGTAATCGGATTTGCTTCGAAATAACACTGAGGAGGAGGGGAAGGGGAAGGATCCGAGACACAAATTAGCCATGAACTGAGGAGTGTCAGAAGTGGATGATGAGCATGCAGGGCTTCACTATACTATTCTCTTGAACTCAGCCTACATTTAAAAAGTTCTCTTTATAAGAAAGCTGATGTAGCCCTATAAGAAATAAACTGACATAAAAATATTCCAATATATAAAATGTTAACAACACATTTCCCTAGGAACATTTACTTCTAAAAGTAGAAATTATATAAATGGTTTAATTATGTATCATCTGATGCCAAAGAACAGTGTCTAAAATATTTGAAGCTATTTGAAATAACTTAGTTTACCATATAAATTAAAACTGACCCAAGACTAGAAGCTAGCATATGACAGGAATAAACTGTTCCCTCCACCCATAGTGCTGTGATTTACAGGCTTTAAATAGTTACTTCTCTTTATTTTTCTTCTAATAAGGACAAGAGAGGGGAATGCAGTCTATTGTGAAAACAGAGAAGGCAGAGGGTACGCATCTCAATGGACTGGCTGGGGAAAGCTTTCATGATCAGAAAAACGGGCACCCAGGAGGCGGCCAACGCTGATGGCCATCAGGCATTTGTGAACAGCATTTCTAAGAACTAATACTGTGGACGAGGGGCATCAATTAGATGGAGGAAGTGCTGAATTTCTTCCCCCATTTCATCCTGAAGTCATTTAAGTATATATTCTGCAAATGTTTATGGTCTAGGTGTTAGAATTTGCTTTTTAAATTAATAGTGAGGGGATGAGAAAATAAGAGGTTCCCCTCACCCTAGCACCAACCTCAAAAAAGTTTTAATCACAAATTTTTATAGACTACGGCTACCCAGAAACTAAAGTATCTCCTCAGTCACTCTAATGATTCCCTTTAGACTCAAGACCCCAACAAAGTCCAAACAATTCACAGGAAAAAGTTTTTCATAAGAACAAAGAGAAAGCACCCAACTCATCATAAAGGATTTCAAATTCTGGTAGAGTCATTACTAACTTTTTTTTTTTTTTTTTGAGACGAGTCTCGCTCTGTTGCCCAGGCTGGAGTGCAATGGCGCGATCTCGGCTCACTGCAAGCTCTGCCTCCCAGGTTCACCCCATTCTCCTGCCTCAGCACCCCCGCCCCAGTAGCTGGAACTACAGGCACCCGCCACCACACCCGGATAATTTTTTTGTATTTTTAGTAGAGACACGGTTTCACCATGTTAGCCAGGATGGTCTCAATCTCCTGACCTCGTGATCCACCCGCCTCAGCCTCCTAAAGTGCTGGGATTACAGGCGTGAGCCACCACGCCCGGCCTGTCATTACTAACTTTTAATCCTCACTCAACTTTTCCTGGGCCAGGCATAGTGGCTCACACGTGTAATCCCAGCACTTTGGGAGACTGAGCGGGGCAGACTGCTTGAGCCCAGGAATTCAAGACCAGCCTGAGCAACATAGGGAGACCCAGTCTCTACAAAAATGTTTTTAAAAAATTAGCCGGGTGTGGTGGCACTCACCTGTGGTCCCAGCTACTCAGGAGACTGAGGTAGGGAGGTCGAGGCTGCAGTGAGCTGTGATTACACCAATGCACTTCAGCCTGGGCGACAGACATTGTCTCAAAAAACAACAAAAAATGTTCCCTTGGCAAGTAAACAGTAGGAGAGGAATCTCCTTCCAGCCATGTGGATTGCTGGGAAGAAGGCAATATGCTAATGGTGATCAAGTAAGAAAGTGCTCTCCTATAGCGTATCCTGGAATGGAGACCATCCTTTGAGTATTTTGTATCTGCAGTTTGAGATACTCTGTGTAGTTTACAAACACTTAAAAAGGAGGAATAAATTAACATTTATTGAGCACTTGCACTCATGATGTATGTGAAGTTATTTAATATTCATAATAATACTATAATAAAAAATTGCTATCTCTAGTTTGCTGCTGAGGAAAATTCAATTCAGTGTTAGTAACCTGCCCAAGATTACGAGACTGAGAAATGACAGAAATATTACCTGACCTAAATCCAATGGTATAGCAGCCCATTCTTTTCACTACAAATTGGAGGTGTAGTAAACAAAAAATTGCTATCAGAGAATCTTTCAGAGAATCTAAAAACTGCAAGTGACAGTAAAAAAGTAGAGTTTACATTCTGTATAGAAAAACAAAAGTCCTTTTTACAAGTATCTCTGTTAAATGATTCCTCTCCTAGGCTACAGGATATGTGCAACAGGTACACACAGTGGGCACATGGAAAGAAAATATGTATACTTACCATTGGTAGACAATAAAAACTGAGCAGCATTTTTCTGGGGTAACCACCTAATTTTGTTGATCTTTTCTTCTATTTCTAAACTTTTCAAGTAGTCAAACTCTGGTTCATGGCTCTGGAAGGTGCTGTAAACATTATATTCTCCTCTGCTATGAGACTGGATTTTGTTCTAAAATGAAAACAAAAATATATGGACCATTGTTGAAAAATATTTCAAAATAATCAAATATGTAATCAATTCCAAAGGACCCTGCACATTCTCAATACCCCATTAGTTGTGTCTTTATACAATTACATTCTGTTTTTTATATTTCTAAAGGCCTTCAAGGATTAAATGAGAAAACTTAACGGGGGAAAAGGCTAAATAAAGCTGAATAAATAAGCTCAATTCATTAGGGAAATAATGACGTTAAATATGGATCAATTTGATTGCTAATTTACTCTTATGTATTTGATGGTATAGTCTATGAAAAAAACTGATGAAAAAAAACTGAGCACCCATAATAAGGAAGTTCATCTAAAAATAATGATAAAGTCTTGCCCAGAAAGAGCTAGGTGAGGCACACCTTCTTCCTATGCCCACTTTAGGGTCAACTCCCCGATCTGTTATTTAATATGATGTATTGTCCTTTTCCTTTCTGCTGCCCGCCTTTTGGTTATTTCGCTGCTGAAAGCTTAAAAAAAGAGCTCTTATAAAAGAAGGGATACCATTTGACCCCTACCTCCCACCCCAAGACCACTGTTCCAGACAGCTTTGCTACCAATCAAGTCCATATTCAGCACTACCCAGCAATGGCCCCATGCACCCCCATCAACAACTGCTTACTCGCCTTAAATTTGCTTTCTCATCTTATGAACCTGGCACACACTGATGACTAATTTCATTTAGTATCACTTTGAAAAAATGTAATTTAAGCTATCTCATAAAGGGACTACTTTTGAACTACTCTGGTTAGCATTAATATCTCAGCAAAAGTGAGAATTATAATCATGTTCAGAATTTCATCTTTTGACCTATTATCACACGATTAAAAACATTTTCATAAAAAAATTTGAAAGTCTAGTTCAAAGAACCACCTATGGAAAAAGTTTAAGTAAAAAATAGAATGAGATATTATTGACAGTCAACTATTTTAAGTAAAAGTGAGTTACCCAGTGAAATGTTTAGAACTTCTTGATAATAAAAACAGCCTATTACTATTCTCCATATCAAAAGGAAACTTCACTGAATCATCTTGAAAGTCTATGTTTTGGGTTGTTTTTTCCAGCAGCCTGATGATCTGGGTTGTTCATTCATGGATGGTTGTATTTGAACCCTTGGACAGCAGTTATCAGTTATTAGAGGGCAAGTCTGCCAATGTTAAGAATACATGTCCCACAAAACGATCCACATATCGGGGATACACAAGGGGTAAAAATCAGACTCAGAGCCTTGGTCTCATCACCATACCCATACACAAAATTAGACAGCCTATTCCATTAACATATATAAATACTCCAGTATCACTTTAAAGCTCCACAAATCTTTTACCTAAAATGACTCACCCAGTCTCACAAAATTTATCATTATAGTCTACAAGGAAACCACAATACCATTAAGCAGGCAACTCGATTTTTAATATAAATCCTGCATTTTAGACTGGTTTTTCATTTAACACTTAAAGAGACTATAATATATAGTACTATGTACACTAGGGCGTAGAGGGATAGACAGAATCCCCACATTCAAGTAACTTGTGTACGTCAAACTTTAGTCAAAGTAGAAACTGGTTATGGTCTACACAATTAAGGTAAGCAATATGAAGGGCCAAGGGCGAGCCACACATTGTATTTGATGAGTTAAGAAAAGCACAAAACAACAGAAATATTTTCTGAAACAAAACATGAACATCTTCCTGTAGACTCGTGGACAACAACACAGGTCTACTAAACATGGTATCTTACAGAATCCAAAAACAAAATCATAGAGGTATATGGCAGTTTCGTGGACTGCAAGAAGCTCCATCTCTTTGCAACAGGAAATAAATTAATGTATCACAAAAGGAGAAAATTCTGTCTAAAAAGCTCAAGATGCCAGGCTGAGCACATGCATTAGCCTCCCCTCTCTCCTGAAACTTTATTAAAGTGATCATAACAGAACTTTTAAAAACAAGTCCACAGGACAAAGAGTAATGGCAGAAATGACAGCAGCAGTAACAAAACTGAAGAGGCTATAAAACAGATGGGTACAAGTGGTAACTGACAGTAGACCACAGGGAGCTGCAGCAGACTTTTCCTAACACTTTGGGAGGGGATGTTTACATTATAATGATCATGATAGCATTGTTCCCTGCACAAACAAAGTACAGTGAGCAAGCCTGAATAAGAAGACACATAACCGCATACTCAACACTGAGCCACTCAAATGAGAATGCATCAAAATCAAACACAATGTTTTTGTTTTAAAAACCTCTCCTACAGTCATACAGAATTGTGACACATCCTTCAACAATTCATACTGGCTTTACCTGCACAGCATTTTCACCTCCCTCTCTTTTCTTGCTTGCCTTTATGATCACTATGAGAATCATCTTCCTAACCATACAATCTATTTGCATGAAAGTTTCTACAGTAAGTTTAGATGTGCTTTATTCCCCAGCACCTATAACAGTACTTGGCACATATAACAGGCATTCAATAAAGACTTTCAAAGCAGGATTTAGAATGAGCTATGTCACATACTTTACATACATTACAAACACAGGACACAAAACCAAAATCACACATTTTCAACACAGATGCTAACAGAATTCACTAAAGGACATCATAACCAAGTTTTAAAGCAAAGTCATAAAGACTGTGTACTGGCATGAGGATACACCAATGTGCCAATGAAACAGAACAGATGGCCCAGAAACAGGCCTAAATGATGACAAAGGTTGCCTTGCTGGGCAATGGGGAAAGGATGGTCTTTTCACTAAATGGTGTTAGGTTGACTATTCATAGGAAATAAAATGAAGCTCGACCCCTTCCCAAAACCACTCGTAAAGTGATTACAGATGAATAAGAGATATAAATGTGAAGGTACAATAATTAAGTTTTAGGATAACAGGACCCAAGAGAACTTTTCTGCAATGATGGAAATAGTCTGTATCTGTGTTGTCCAGTATGGTTGCCACTAGTCATGTTGAGCACTAGGCACACACTGAACACCTAAAATGTGGCTACTGCAACTAAGGAAGTTAATTCTACAATTTATTTTTAATAATTTAAATTTATTTATTTACTTATTTATAAGGTAGTAAGGCTGACTTTAAAGAGGGCCATGGAGACAGGGACCACTGCAACAGGGTCTTGCATTAGGGGAGAGAGAACAGACTCAACTCCCCATTAATCTGAATAGCCACATGGATCTAGTAGCTACAGTACCAGTCATACAGTTCTAAAAGATAACGGAAATGTCTTCCCTGGATTTTGGGGTTGAAAAGTATTTCTTATACAGGACAGAAAAACCAGTAACCCTAAGAAAAATACTGATCAACTGTATTATATTAATAATCTCTATTTATAAAAATATACTATTCAAAAAAATGAAAAGGCAAGTCACAGAATGAAAAATACTTCTAACAAATGTGTGGGTTTTCTTGTTTTGTTTTGTTTTGTTTTTTAAAAAAGATGAGGTCTTGCTATATTGCCCAGCCTGGTCTCAATTTCCTGGGCTCAAGTGATCCAACCAATTCAGCCTCCCAAAGTGCTAGGATTACAGGCGTGAGCCACTGCCCCTGGATCCTCCAACAAATGTAACTGAAAAAGAGTTCATCTACAAAAAGTGTAAAGAAAGTCTACAAATCAGTAAGAAAAATGACACACAACACAGAAAATTATAAGAGATTTCGATAGTCACTTCCAAAAGATAACATCCAAATAGCCAATAAACATATAAAAAGCAGCTCTGGCTAGGAGTCGCAGCTCATGCCTGTAATCCAACACTTTGGGAGGCCAAGACAGAGGATTGCTTGAGGTCAGGAGTTCAAGATCAGCAACACAGTGAGACCATCCCTACCAAAAAAAGAGAGAGAGAAAAAAAAAATTAGTCAAGTGTTGCAGTGCACGCCTGTAGTCTCAGCTACTGGGGAGGCTGAAGTGGGAAGGATCACTTGAGTCCAGAAGTTTGAGGCTACAGTGAGCTGTAAGCGCACCACTGCACACTCCAACCTGGGCAACAAAGAAACACCCTGTCTCAAAACAACACAACAACTACTCAATCTCAATGTGAATCACAAGAGTAAGTACAAGGCCGGACGTGATGTCTCATGCCTGTAATCCCAGCACTTTGGGAGACTGAGGCGGGCAGATCACCTGAGGTCGAGTTCGAGACCAGCCTGGCTAACACAGTGAAACTCTCTCTCTACCAAAAATACAAAAATTTAGCTGGGCATGGTGGTGCATGCCTGTAATCCCAGCTACTTGGGAGGCTGAGTCAGGAGAATCACTTGATGGGAGGAGGAGGTTGCAGTGAGCGAAGATCACACCAACTGCATTCCAGCCTGGGTGACAAAGCAAGAAGACTTCGTCTCAAAAAAAAACAAACAAACAGTAAATACAAACTTAATTCATACCCACAAAGTGTTAAATTTTAAAAGACTGATAATACAACACATAGCACTGGCAAAGATGTAGAACAGCCATAAAATTTATATACTGTTCACAAGAATAAAATTAGCAGAACTTTTTACTGTGATGTCTGCTAACAGTGAATGCCTACCCTATGGGCATAATATTTCTACTCATGATTGTACAGCAAAAAACATGAGTAAGAATGTTCACAGCAACATTACTCATAATGGATAAACTGTGGATTCCATCTATTCAAAGTTCTAAAACTGCAGGCCAAAATAATCATTAATAAGACAGGCTCATAAAGGAGAGGAAGGGAAAAGAGAAGGGTTTGTGGAAGCGTAGGAAGTTCTATTTCTTGACCTAAATGTTTGCTATGTAATAATCTGCTAGTATTTTATGTACTTTTCAGTGTATATTTAAATAAAGATTTTAAAATATATACCACACATATGTTGCAGCCACTATGGAAAACAACGTGGAGATTCCTCAAAAAAGCTAAAAATAGAACTACCATATAATCCAGCAATCCCACTTCTGGATTTTATCCCAAAGAACTGAAAATGGGACCTCAGAGAGGTGTTTGGACAGCCATGCCCATTACAGCTTTATTCTCAAGAGCCAAAAGGTGGAAGTAACCCAATCAATGGTTCCAACAGTCTCTTCGTCTCCCTAACTGGAAGGCAGTATTTCAACCTGAGAAAACATTGACAGTACATAAAACTAAACATTACAAAGTGATATGTACAACATGAGTCTCATTCTGTAAAACAAAACAAAAATCCCCAACAAAACACACACACATCTACCCACCCACCAAAACTAAGCAATATTATTTTCCCTTAAATGAACAAAAAATTAAAAATGTGATAATGACCATTGTTTTAGTGACAGAAAGGCAAAGTCACATACTACTGGTAGAAGTATAAGCTGTTCCCACAAGCCACAAGTTTATTGAACCTTGTCACCTAAGTTATAAGATGGAGTATGTTCTTCCCAACTATTCAAGTGCCCCTTTCTACTCAATGGTTCCAACAGTCTCTTCATCTCCCTGACTGGGAGGCAATATTTCAACCTGAGAAAACATTGACAGTAAATAAAACTAAACATTACAAAGTGATATGTACAACATGAGTCTCATTCTGTAAAACAAAACAAAAATCCCTGAGAAAACCACACATACATACACACACACAGGTCTTCATTTTTCATTCCTGTTATGGGATGGTTTTGATTTTATTCTTTGTGGAAATGATACACATTTTTCCTATTTTCTGCAATAAACATACTAAGAATAGTCAAGACTTAAAGGCAAACTTCTGAAAGAATTTCACTTAACATTTTTCAACAGCTACTTCTAAATATAAGTAACTCCATTGTGCTTTTACAGGCTGAGTATCCCTTATCCAAGATGCTTAGGACCAGAAGTGTTTCAGATTTCACATTTTTTTCCATATTTTGGAATATTTACATATTCATGATATTATCTTAGGGAGGGGACCCAAGTCTAAATACAAAATTCAGTGGTTTTGTATATACCTTATACATATAGCCTGAAAGTAATTTTATACAGCATTTTAATTAATTTTGTGCATGAAACAAAGTTTTGACTGTGACCCATCACATGAGGCCAGGGGAATTTTCCACTTGTGGTATCACATCAGCATTCAATAAGTCTCCAATTCTGGAATACTTTGGATTTTGGGTTAGGAATGCTCAACCTGTACTAACTTTCTCCTTCCTTAAATGAAACTCTGCAAAAATGTAGGAAATATTTACTTTGCTCCGTGGAAAAAATTTAAAAATTTAAGAAAATAATAAATGTATTTTACTTTGATCTCATATAGCAGAAAATAAATGAATATTTTTAAGCCTCCAAATAGAACCCTACTAAAACTTACTGTTTATTAATGTTCATCTTCTATATAGTGTAAGCAGTCATTTGTTTTATATTTTATAGCAGTATAAAAGTATTTTAAAAGAGTCAGTGTCTTGTGAAATGGGCATTCAGGGACAGTGGCAGAAATGGTACAAAACAAAATTAAATGATATCTGATAACTACTCTCAACACATTCAGAAAATATGGGGAACTTTCTAGAATAAAGCAAAATACAAGTCATTCGATGAAATAAACACAAGAGAAATCTCAAAACTTTCTCTAAACTAATGATAACGATAGTCATGGAGCACTTCAAGATTTTGCAAGGCCTTATTAAATTATGTTCAGTAAGTTAATACTCATTCACTGAGTGCCTATTATGTACTATTCTAAGTGCAATTTGGAAGCGTATCAGTCACAATATCCTATCAAAAAAACAATAATATAGTGGGAGAGATATCTGAATGAAGGATACCTGGTTGAAACAATTAGAAAGTCAAATCAAGTAGCATTATTATTTGTCTATAAGATAGTCAAATAAAATTTAAAGGAAATGCATAAAATACAATTAATATAATGCTTTAAAACCTAAAGTTGTTAAAGTGCTTTCACTCAGATTATCAAACTAGCTAGAATATCTGTTCTAAACTATGCTACAGATTAAGTGATAAAGTTACATAGGAGGAATGCTTATTTATTCTACATTTTACACATTACTGAAAGGAATGGAAAAAAAAAAAAAACCCTCCATGCACATGCGCGTGGACACACACAAACACCCCACACGAAAACTGTGCCTTGCTCAGATGCTAGCGCTCTTCCCCAGTTCTATCAACAACCAAGGAATGGAGGCAGATCTCAAGGCTCTCCAACCTTGTTTCTCTCAAAATGGAATTTCAATCTAACCTGGACCCTTAAGGAGTTGGTTTCTCTCTGAGAGAAGATTCAGATGAACCCTACCTGGTGTTAGATTAAAAAAAAAAAAAAAGATTCATTTTACTACTTGTGTCTCTTTCCCTTTGAAGTTCATAAAATATAACAATCCCCTGGATCACGTTTTCTTCATGTGTTAAATACAATTTATTCTCTCAGGACAGGATAACTTTGGGAATTTAATGCAAAAGCAAGTAAAGTTCAAATATTAGTTTCTCTTCCAGATAAGGATCAAGTGCAAATTCTATCATTTAGAAACAACATGATGCAGGTAAATGCATGACACCCCGACATTTGAGGCGCCTGATTTCAGACTCTTCTCTGTGCCTCAAATTGGAGAAATAACAAATAAGATCGGATCAGATAGTCTTCAATGTCCTTTCCACTGGTAACATTCTAATAAGAAAGTCCTCCATACCCCTGATAAATTGACTACAGATGAAGTTCGCTAGAAAATTCCCCTTTGTAAAGGCACAAGTCAAATCCTTCTTAATAACTAGACACTAAGAAATATGCAACAACAACTATTCTGATCAAGTATTTACTCTGAAAGGCTATAGAGAGATATTTGAGAAAGAACCCAATTTCAATACATTTCAAAACCTATCTACACAACTCAACTGTAAGAAGGAACGAATAAAGTAGAAAGACTAGCAGAGTTCATCATCCTTGAATAAGACTTTGAAAAGCTAAAATATAGTGAAGTCTAGACACAACTCTGCAGATGACTGATCTAATGTGCATTTTAAATCCATGTGAAAAAATTTCAATAAATAATGTAATAACCAGCTGGGTGTGGTGGCTCATGCCTATAATCCCAGCACTTTGGGAGGCCTAAGTGGGCAGATAACTTGAGGCCAGAAGTTTGAGACCAGCCCGGTCAGCATGGCAAAACCCTGCCTCTACTAAAAACACAAAAATTAACCAGGCATGGTGGTGCACGTCTGTAATCCCAGCTACTCGGGAGGCTGAGGCATAAGGATGACTTGAACCTGGGTGGTGGAAGTTGCAGTGAGCTGAGATCATGCCACTGTACTCCAGCCAGGGTGACAGAGTGAGACTCTGTAAAACTAAAATAAATAATAATAATAATAATAATAATAATAATAACCCGACTGGTAATCTGTGAATGGGTGGGGAAGGTGGAAGAGAAAAAAATCACTTCATCACATAATGTAGGGTAATAAAGTCTAACTAAATAATAAATTTAAAAGGGAACAAAAGAATGTTTAAATAATCTGTGGGCAGAAAAACAAAAAGTAAAATAAAATTTAAAGGCAGCCAATCAACAAAGCTGAAAAACATAATGCCTCGTGAGAAAAAGAGCTGATGCCGTCTCTCACAATATGTGGCCCATCCAAATTCAATAAATACACCACTAGAAAAAGAGGGCATAGAACAAGATGCTTTAATTATTGGGAGTATTAAGGCGTAAAGTAAAACCAAAATCCAATGAAATAATGTATTTTCAATCACCAAGTTGCTACTTTTCTTTTTTTAGAAAGAGGGAAAAACACAGTAACTGCAAAGGGGCAGTCGCTCACCTCCCAACCCTGAAAAAAGAGGCAGAAATAAACAATCTAGGAATCTAACAATAGAGACTAGATCAAATAAACATAATTATGTCATGTCATGTCATTACAGAGATGGTGATACAGAAAACTGAATGACATGAAAAGGTATTCACTATACAGTATGTGAGAAAAAAAATCATACAACCCTAAATTTATAATCAGATATTCAGAAAGACAGGCCTTTGGTATATACCAAAAGTTCTTATTTTTGTTTGGTGGGGTTATACATGCATTCTTTGCCACTTATCCATATTTACTGAATTATCTACATCGAGCATAATGAATTTATAATTAAGAGGGAAAAATTATTAATAATAAGAATACAATGAAATGTTTTATATGTGTGAGGCTAGGGAGAGCACAGGAAGAAGGAAAGGTAAATAAATTCCAAGTTTATTAATTAAATAATTAATTCCAAAATTACTGGGCATTATTAATTTCATAGATTTGGAGTTGTTTTTGGTGGAGAATTTCTTGGGGATAGGTTGAGCATACCTAATCTGAAAATCTGAAACCCAAAATGCTCCACAATTTGAAACTTTTTACTGTCAACATGACACAAGTGGAAAATTTCACACCTGGCCTCATGTGATGGGTCACAGTCAAAACTGTGTTTCATGCACAAATGATTTAAAATGTTGTATAATTATCTTCAGGTCATATGTATAAGGTGTATATGAAACAATTTAATTTGTGTTTAGGACTTGGGTCCCATCCCCAATATATCTCATTATGTACACATGCGCATATTCCAAAATCCGAAAACATCTGAAATTTGAAACACTTCTGGTTCCAAGCATTTCAGATAAGGGATACTCACCCTGTATAAGAAATATGGTTAATTCAAATTTCTGCTCAACGGGTAAAATTAGGTACCCATTGAGCCGATATTTTAAATATTTAAAATACATGATATTTTGCTTTTGGGAAATGTAATACCCTAAGGAGCCCCAAAAGATTAACAGGTAGCTGACAAGAATCTGATGGCAGTCTGGACAGAAATCTGGACGCTAAAAGGCTGAACAAGAAGAGATGGCTGGGCAAATGCATAAATGAATACCAGGACTAGAACCAAGGCTGTTCAACTCTTAGTCCATTTTCCCCTCTAACACCTATGACAGAAAACAGATCACTCAATAGCTCATATTAAAAAGTCTAAGGATCACGTACTTTCCTCATTAGGTATAAAGTAATGAGACTGATTTTCCTGTGTGATTTCTAACAATTAGGCTCATCACACCAAACAGGATTAAAGTTTTTTTTATTTTAATATCAATAGCCAGCATTGTGAATACTCATCCAAATTTACACAGAATTAGCTTTTACCCACTTACCTAGCAGGGTGCTCTTGGAAATGTTACTTATCCTCTCTAAATCTCATTTTATTTATAAATTTGTAATACATCAAGATATAGTAAACATACATACATCTTTGTTATTTTGCTGTGATGATTAAGTAAGATTTAGGGATCTTGGCAGAGGTCCTAGCACATAAACTGCTGCTACTACATCCAGGTTAGAGTGGGCAAAGCCATGCAGTAGAAATCAGGATGTGTGGCTTCTGCAGTGAAGAATCACTTCCTTATTAACTGTATGACTTTGGATGGGTAATCTGGTACCTGGGCCCCCAGCTGGCAAAAGGAGACTGCACTACCAGGGGTTAAAAATTGAGGGCTCATGGACACAAGGGTCCAATGACAGAACCCAGGGATTTTATAAGCCTGGATGGGGGGAAAATGTACACATTTATTTTCACTAACCTCCAGCTAAATTTCAGCATTTCTTTTGATTATGGGCATAGGTAACAAACTGCATATAGTATTAGCAATTCTTGTGACTCTGTCAAACAGAAATGACATTTTAATATCGTAATCCAGCTGTTATCCACTTAAAACATATATTACTCAATTATGAATATTTTGGTAAATTATTTCAACCTTTATAATCTTAAATATTTTATGCAATTTAAACATTCTGGCCAGGCACGGTGGCTCACGCTCAACACTTTGGGAGGCCAAGGTGGGTGGATCACGAGACGGGTGGATCATGAGGTCAGGAGATCGAGACCATCCTGGCCAATATGGTGAAAACCCATCTCTACCAAAAATGCAAAAATTAGCCAGGTGTGGTGGTGTGCACCTGTAGTCCCAGCTACTCAGGAGGCTGAGGCAGGAGAACTGCTTTAACCCTGGTGGTGGAGGCTGCAGTGAGCTGAGATCACGCCACTGCACTCCAGCCTGGGCAACAGAGTGAGACTCCATCTCAAAAAAAAAAAAAATCTGAGAAGTCTACAGGATTTACTAGGCTATCAAAGGAATCCATGGGATGACAACAAAAAAGTTAAGAATCCCTAGAAAGCCCTATAAATGTTAGCTCTTACATTCTATGAATGCACCATATACATACATATTCTGATTTAGTAATCTTGAGGAGCAGGATAGAAATCTGTATTTTATTTATTTATTTTTTATTATTAGTTTTTGAGACAGTCTCACTCTGTTGCCCAGGCTGGAGTGCAAAGGCACCATCTCAGCTCACTGCAACCTCCGCCTCCTAGGTTCAAGTGATCCTCATATTTCAGTCACATAGCTGGGATTACAGGTATGTGCCACCAGGATCAGCTAATTTTTGTATTTTTATTAGATACAGGGTTTCACTATGTTGGCCAGCCTGCCCTCAAGTGATCCACCTGCCTCAGCCTCCCAAAGTGTTGGGACTGCAGGCATCAGCCACGGCCCCCAACCCAGAAATCTGCATTTTAAATACATGCAAACATTTTGAGCCATATATAATTTAGAAAGGTAATACTATCATATTAACAATACTATCCACCTTTTGTGAAAAGCATGCTTTTTAAGGTTTCTTCTGTATCCTGTTAAGGAATTTTGGGAATACCACATTAAGAATAAAAAAAGCCAGAGGGTATGAAATCCAAGAAAGTTACCAGCAGCCCTAGAAAACAAAAATCAAAGGCCCCATACCAACCTAGAAAAATTATAAAAAGAAGTGGAAAGAGGTACAACCTCCCTCCTCACCTTCTGTCTTAGCTGTCCCTTTAACCCAGCACCCACACACCCACACTACCTTACAGGGTACATCACAAAGTCTCAGAGAAACTGAAGGTCTGAGCAACCCAACTCAGTAGGAAACCAGCTACTTTGACAACTGCTAATTACCTAATTTGAGCACCCATGGAAACAACAAAAATCCCTAAAACCTAGAGAACATCATTATCCACTTTAATAGCTGTTTGGACTCTTCTCCTCAAAACCCTGTATTAATATTTTCATTAACAAAAAGAATATACCCTATCATTTACTTTGCTGTCAAAAGCTATTAGAAGCTATAAAAATAACATGGGTCACTTATATCGGGTCATGCTATAAAGAACACTGGATTTGTTATCAGAATTTTGGACTCTCACTGATCACATGATGGCTGTGATTACATCAGGGAAATCACTTTACTTGTGTGCCTCAATTTCTTTAGGTGCCCTGATTCTACAACAGAGATTCCGTGTAGCAGAATACCTATACAAATATATTAGTTATAACAATGCTATTAAATGACAGCTAAAAATATTAAACAATTATCAGTCTGAAACATACTCAAACCAAATGAAGACCCTCTGAATTGGCTACTCAGTTTCTTTATATTACGATTGGGGAATAAACGGACAGGCAGCAAGAGGACACAGATACCCGCCTGGATCACAGGAAGGAGACTAGCTACTTCTGAAGGGTAAAATAAATGAGGCAGACAATGAGGGGTTACAGATGTCAAAGTCTGATGTGCCAAGTTCTCTGTTGCTGTTATATGATCTCTTCTTCTTCCAAGTAAAGACAATAAAAATGAGTGGGTGGAGATATTTTGGTCTCCAGTAAAGTCAAGTTTAAGAAGGAACCCTGCCACTAGGTAAGAGAATAAAGCCACAATAGATCAAATGCCAGTGTATTCTGCAAACAAGGCTAGCACCCTCATCAGAGTCTAAGAAACATTAGGCACCAGTGTACTCTGGAATGAACATATAATAGTTGGATTGAAAATCGGAGACCCAAATCCTAACCTGATTTTTGCTACTAAATGAAGCAATATAACCTTGTTAAATAATTTGGATTTTATCTACAAATTAGGAAAGGACTATTTCTTTCACTTTTCAAACTGTAACACTATCTTACAGATATATACATGTGAATTCATAAAATCTCATTCAATTACATTAGGTATTGAAACAAAGGTGCCTCTAGATGTGAATTCATAAAATCTCATCCAATTACATTAGGTATTGAAACAAAGGTGCCTCTAAGTGTCAAGTATACATATTTATGACCAATGACATAGATTCTGAAGACAATACTGTATTAGAAACTCTAAGACAGGGCTTTAAAATGTAGAAAATTAAATAGGCAAAACACACCAAATTAATAGTCAAGATCAAGTTTCAGAAGTGAAGAGTCAATCACCATCATCATCTTTACTTAATCTATCACTTAAAAACATGCTGATATTTACACCACTAAGTAATTCTCAAAAGACATGTTACTGAGTTTCTACAAAACTCTCCATCTAGAATTCTTAAATATAGTTAAGAAGAATGAGACACATGAAAAGGAGGTCCTATTTTTCCTATCAATGGCCCTTCCCAAAAAGTTATTCTGCTCAATTCTTCTTACAAGAAAATGTAGTTAAAATATTAGCACTTTAGAATCTTCAGTGGGGTTTCAGAAAAGAATCACGGGAAATGATTATCTTTAAAATAATTTTGTCTTATTTTCTAATACAAGTAAATGAGTAATTTCAGTAACTATTAAATTTGGAATTTAATTACAAATTAATGTATTACTAACAGCCTTTAGGAAAATACTAAATACTAATATTCTGACTACATTACTAAACCCATATTAAAACAAACATTTCCCCCAATTAAAAAAATTTTCAGCCATTTTTTCCACACTTGATTTTGACTTGGACAACAAACGACCACAGGAGATGAAAATGACTTCATTCTCAGGCAAAATAGTTCCAAATTAGCTTTTAATTGACAAACTTGTATTTTAGAATTGACAATGACACAATGCCTTCATTAAAAATGAAGACTTTCTGAAACCCTCAGAATGTTAAGCCTAGGGCAAAATCAATTTTTACGAGTTTTTCTCAAACACTTTTCTTTAAAATAAAAGTAAAGTGTAGAGAGTCAATAACTTTCAGTAAAAAATACATTCAAGGGCAGAGAACACCTATGGGAAGGTCTGCTCTAAACTCTAGATAAAAACTTTCACATTTTGGTTATCTAGCATGAAAAACAGCAAAGAATACTGAAAAACGACATGTCAAAAGTTCAGGTTCTGCTTGTTAGTTCTGCCACTAAGTAATAAAGTAATCTATTTATATCTTGACTTTCCTGTTAGTAAATAAAGGGAAATTATAATGAAATTATAATGTAAGGTTCCATGTCAACTCTAAGTATGTCAAGATTCTTATGGTCGAGTTTTTGGCTACTTAAAAACAGAAAACTGATTTAGCCCCCCACTTCCCACGAGACCATTCTTTGTCAAGCAAAGCTTGAGTCTTATTTTCATATTTTCTTCCAAACGAAAAAAATAATAAAAGACATATTTAGTGTTTGTGCATCTTCTAATCAGACACTATTAATCATTTCTTTTAAAATTAAATTACCTACCTCACTGGGGTGTTGTGAGGATTAATTCATTAGTGTTTGTAAAGCACTTTGAGATCCTCAGGTCAAAGGCGCTATAGAAGTGCAAAGTAGTAGTATTATTACTAGATTCTTTGCTTATTTAAGGAATTTCACAATCCTTTAAAACCTAACTCTGTGTTATGATTTAGACATGTATTTGTAAAACCCTGCAATTTATCCACATTACTTTAAACTTTTTAAATATATTATAAATAGGGGCAGAATGTTCCAAAACAACTGATTTTAATGGTTAAACTCTGATCTACAAATGGAAGGAGAGAATGAATAAGAAAAAACCAAGTGTGACAAATTTTGTTTAGCAAAAAATTTTTAGTGAGAAATCTGGTCAATTAAATTTAGAAGTGTGCCTAAGTTGTAAGAAAAACAAAACAAAAGCCCACTTTAATTACCGATTCTGCAATTTTCTTTCTTCAAAAAGCTAGCACTGCACTTTTAAGTTACTTTACATGCATGTACATGCAACTGTCATTTAAACCTTTACATTTAAATCATTGTAACAGTATTATTATGAACTGACATCAAAATAATTGAGCTGCTTTTTCTTTAAACTAGCCTCTCACCCCTCAATTGTACAAAGTAAACCAAGCATTGAGAAGAAGTCAAAGCAACTTTGCTTTACGGAGTTTCAAAGGAAAAATTATAATGAAGGGCCAAGGCTTCAAAACCGTTAAAATCTTGGATTATTCCATCACTTTCCACCCCCTTCTCTAATCAAGTATTTTTACAATTAGTGTTATGTTTTTAAACCAAAACAACATACGCTCATGTACACACATGCACACATACAAAGCTAAGAGAACCAGAGCTGTCTATATATTGGACATTGTATTCAATAAACACACACTTCTTTTAAAATTCCAACATCCTCTGATGAGATTCTCCAGTGCAACACAAGCTCTAGTCCTAAGATCAAACTGAAATTTAGACAATAAACTTTAAACACTTACCTCCTGCTCCTGTTGAAAGATGACAACTCTACCACCTTTATCTCCTGTTGCTAGTAATTCTCCAGAATGATTAAATTCTACTGTAGAAATTATATCTGCTGTATAATTGAGACAAAACAAAAAAAGATATTAGTTTTTCTTTCCCGACTCACTAGTTTCAGAACTTAGCGTGTTTTCCCAAACATTCCAAGTCTATGAAGTATATCTTTGAAGTACATCAACCACCCATCAGAAATAACATGAATCTAAAGTTCTTTCATAAATATTTTGATCCACTAATAAAAATTCTCCTCAGAATAAACCAGTATGAAACTATTTTAACAGAGAATACAACAAATACTAATTTATTAACATTTCACTAAATTTGTGAATGCAAAGAAATCAACAATTTGTGAATCATTCTGATAGCACCCTTAAACATTATCTTGCTAATTTTCTTATATACATTTGATAAGCTTGTTTATGCAAATGCAAATAATCATCTATAATAAAGGCACATATTACTAATAAGGAGAGGGAATTTTAAATGTAAAAATACTTTTAGATGGAATTTTAAGTCATAAATTCAAAATCATGGCTTCAAACAAGTGTTTGCAAATAGATCCCGCTTTTTTATAGCAGAAATGCTTCGTGCTATGTGCCTTCAATGTGCACGGCTCCTCCAGCTCCCCTACACTGCAGGACCACTAGAATCAGTCACGTCACATGGATTCTACCAGCTCAGTGCTGACTTCACAGTCATGATCAAAGAAAACTGTCAAGTTTTTTTTCTTGGTTTTTCACACTAGAGCCCTTTTCCTAAGAAAAAAAGTCTAAATTACAGAAATGGGCATAAGATAGAGCAGTAACATGGTAAAATTCATCACTGTGTCATTAAGAAGTTCTTCACTATAAAGCATTAAGCTGAATTAGAAAAGCCCCTATCATGTGCATTTAAAATAAATCAGCTTTATAAAAGAACAGACATCCTCTGGTCTACAGAAGCTCACTGTTAAGAATTTAAGAATCTGATGATATACATACTTTAAAATTTTAAATTTACTGACATGTATTTCACCAATAATCTATCCAGCACTGCATTTCATAATTTTCTTTTAGCAATTTTTTAAAGCCCAGATTTTGAGAAGGTTTCTTTTCTTCCTCCGTTGTCTAGGTCCAAGGCATTTAATCTTTTTGAACTCTTTCAGAATCTACCAAAAGTTACAAATGCTCTCCCACAAAACTGCACATATTTAAGTGCTCATAAAAATGTGCATATTATCTCAGACTGTTTGGACAACAACTCAACGCCAGGTTAAAAAACCCCTGGCTACACCACGGTGGTTACCTGAGTAACTGCTTACCTAAGTAACATAAAAGGCGTAAAACTGAATATACTGGGCTAGTACATAAAGCCAAACACCAGTAAGTACTGAGAAGTCATTTGATTAGGAGTTCTGTACTATACTACTGACTTCTACAGCGAATAAAGGATTAAAAATATACAAAGTCCCTGCACTTAAAGCACATTAGAGTACAACTGGGGAGTTAAGTAGGAGCAAAGAGTAGCAGACAAAAAATATTGAATCAAATCTGAGGGTTAGGCTCTAAAATCAAATAATAATACAAACATACAGAGTCAAGATTATCTTTAAATTCAAATCCCTCACACAGACACCCTGAAGACACAAATTCTTTCTCGTAAGTCCAGCTCAATTTTCCCTACAGCATTGATAATTTGCTGGGTTTTTTTTAGCCTAACCATCAAATGAACTAGTTAATTTGAATATGAAATCTTGCTGTACCAAAATACCTATCTTTGATCTCTAGAATATGCTCTCAGCTTGGTGAAATGCTCACATCTGAAACCAATACCAGACTCATTCTCCTGTTCAACTCAGTGGAATAATGGGCCGAGTTGCCCATTACTTATTTTATCTCTTTCCCAGGTCCAAGTTGTTGCATCCACCTAAATTAATTACAACTCCTTGTCAGGCTGATGAGCTGTTACAACTATCACTTAGTAAGGAGATGTCAAGGACCATGGCGTGACTAGCCTGACTACACTCTCTGCTAAGCAGTAAAGTTAGACAGGTAGGTTTGGTGCAGCATGGACTTTTTTTTTTCTTAAAAGAGTCTTTAAAAAAAAAAAAAGGCCTTTTGACCAGGCTGGAGTGCAGTGGTGCAATCATGTCGAACTTCTGGGCTCAAGCAATCCTCCCACCGCAGTCTCTTGAATAGCTGGTACTACAGGCATGCACCACCATACCTGGCTAATTTTTAAAAAATTTTTTTGTAGAGACAGGGTCTCACTATGTTGCTCAAGGTAGTCTCGAGCTTGTGGTCTTCAGTGATCCTCCCACCTCAGCCTTCCAAACTGCTGGAAGTTTGCAAGCGCTACCATACCCAGCCGGGCTCAATTTCTAATAAGGAAGAAACCTTAATATTCCTTAAGTGAACTGAACACGTAAAACCTAGAGATGATTAAGTCAGTAAGGACAGCATTACAGTAAAACAATTGAGATTTGAGACTGAGGGGTGGGGTGGGAAGGCACATTCCACGCCAATTTATTATTTTTTGAGATGGGGTTTCGCTTTGTTGCCCCAGCTGGAATGCAGTGGTTCAATCATACCTCACTGCAGCCTTGACCTCCCGGGTTCAAGCAATCTTCCCATATCAGCTCCCCAAGTAGCTGGGACTACAGGTGCGGACCACCATGCCAGTCTAATTTTTTTATTTTTATTTTTTTATAGACAGGGTGTTGCCATGTTGCCCAGGCTGGTTTCGAACTCTTGGCATCAAGCAATCCTCCTGCCTTGACCTCCCAAAGTGCTGGGATTACAAGCATGAACCACAAAACACAACACCCAGCCCTTACCTATTTTATTATGAGAAGACAGAACAAGAATCAAGTAATGATTGTAGGTACAATATTCCAAACTGAAGACAGGGGACTCTCACAACCAGTTATAATGTAATCACTGAACATGTGAATGGAAGAGGAAGGTGAAGGGTGTGTGGGGAGAAGAAAAAGACTTGATTGCAAGATGCAACAGAAACAAGACATTTGCTCCAATAACGTATCACTTCTTATGGCAGGAACAATTATTTTATGATGACATTTTTAGCGTACAGTGATGTGGTTATGTGTTTAGCAGTGAACTAGTTTTGTAGCAAAGGTAAAGAATTTTAAGAGGGACCCTTGTGTAGGGTGAGGAATCCTAGAAACAACTGGCCCAAACAGCAAGTGGCTGGATATCAGGAAAGGACAAGAACCAAAGATTTACACCACAAAAGTCAACTCACTGTAAAATCCTTGAGGGAAATAAACAGTAGGTACATGGATTACCAATTTTTAGATTTTAAGACACTGGTGTTTGTTACTATTTATCTTGCCAAAAGCCAATAAACAGAAAGTTTCAGAAACAGCCAACCAAGTCACTTTTTATCTGAATAGTGTAGAGTAATTTTATTTCGGGGAGGGGTAGATGGACAGATTCATGGTCTCCTTGCTGTGATCTTTATACCGCATATATTTAATGTAATCATATTTCTGGTAGGAAAACTATTTTCCTGGTTTCTAAAACAGAATTTAAATATATCACTACGTCATGGTGTTCCTTCCTCCTTTCTCCCTTAAACAAAAGAGAAGAGAAAGATCATATACAGTTACTCACTAAATCTCTAAGTTTATGGATGATGCTTTGAAAGCTCTTCTAAGTTGTGAAATGCCAATGTCTCACAGTCTCACTGGGAATATGACATATAAAAATGATGAAATAAGAAGGGAGAATGAATTCAAATTCCGCTCATAGACCAAGAAAAACATCCAGGAATGAGTTATAGGGAGCACGCTGAAGCAGCTTTGTACCGTATGTGCCACTGCATACCGGCATGCCAAGAATGGGGTATGGTCTTGCCTGGTGCTGCAGAGCACTCAGATCGGTAAGCCCTAGTTGTAAGCATCCTCGGCTGTGTATCCCAGTGTGCCATACAAACATCGCTGCTTTTTAGGAATGCCATGACATGCAAAAAGTGAGGAAGCACAGTCCTGCAAACAGGGATACCATTTCATGCTACACCCAAACAGGGCTGGCTAAATACTGGTATCCAGGTTTTTAGAAAATAATCTACTCTTAGAAAATATTCTTCTCATGTTCTGATACCCATATGTAGCTAGCGGCTACCAGACTGGACAGCACAGGTCTAAAACATTACAGAGTGGATACTGACTTTTTTTGTTTTTGTTTTTTGTTTTTTTTTGAGATGGAGTCTTACTCTGCCGCCCAGGCTGGAGTGCAGTGGCGCGATCTCGGCTCCCTGCAACCTCCGCCTCCCGGGTTCACGCCATTCTCCTGCCTCAGCCTCCTGAGTAGCTGGGACTACAGGCACCTGCCACCACCACCGGCTAATTTTTTGTATTTTTAGTAGAGGCGGGGTTTCACCGTGTTAGCCAGGATGGTCTCAATCTCCTGACCTTGTGATCCGCCTACCTCGGCCTCCCAATATGCTGGAATTTCAGGCGTGAGCCACCGTACCTGGCCGGATACTGACTTTTATTGCAAACCCAAGAATGCTGGAATTTGAGAATTCTGCACCTTTAAACAATGCACTGTGTATCATGTTTTTTAAAAGCAAAAACTGACATCACTGTCAGAGCTATCATACCGAATTTGTGCATACTTTAGTATAGTATATCAGTTGAGTTATATTCTCACAAACCACCACCACCAAAATGCCAAAGAACAAACAACTTCTTTAAAAGGAAAAATCTGTCCTATCACCAATCACAATGTTATTTTACAATGAAAAATGCCTGTATTAATCTTACAAAAGAACATTCTAATACAGTTAATAAAGAAGGACCTTTCAGAACATTAGTCCACTGCCCTACTATGCATTAAGTCAACCCAGCAATTTTAGATACACATTGACTTCCAAATTGTGCGATATAAAGGTAGTATTTAAAAGGCATAAGAGTATTTTTGTTAAAAAAAAAGTAATGTAATGTTCTTAAATTTTATCTATACACTATTAATGCAAACCAAGGGATTGGTAATTTATTATACAGAATGAAATTCTTACTTTTTCCACCCCCTCTTTCTAAACTGTCAGCACCCAGGCAGGTTTCACTCTTAGAAGGTGAAATAATTGCTTTCTTTTGTGAGTGGAAGAGCAATTGGTAGTGGGAATGACAACAGTGTCATTGGTCGGTTTTTACTTCATAAGGCCGTTTCCTTATTGCCACCTATCTTCTGTTTCTTATGTATTATAAGAAACACAATAGAACACATACAGCCAAAGGTTCAAAAATGTAACTCTCAGTATAAAAATCAGCAAGGGGAAATTCACAAATAGTATATATAAATGGGTGTAACAAATAATTACTATCCATTAAAAGACTAAATTATTAGTAGCCTTGGCATTCTCTAAATACCTCAGCTCTTGTGTTGTGAGGCACTTTATGGAGTCACTCTTTGATTTCATAATTCCACTTGAGGACTATGTCTCAAATAAGTGATCTGAAAGAAATTAATCAAAGTGCAAAGAGGGTTATAACTGTATTACCTATATAATTTTTAATACAGCTGAAGGTATTTGAAATACTCAATAGTTAAGAAATACATTGTACCAAAGCTGTCAAATGAAAACAGCAACAAAAACAAAAAAGACAAAGAAATACAAAAGTAACCTCTAGTCACAGGTTGGAAAACTACGGCCCACAACCTGTTTTTGTAAATAATTCTTTAATGGAACTTAGCCATGCCCATGAGTTGAATAGACGGCACAGACTGGAAACATTTACTATCTGGCCCTTTACAGAAAATGTTTGCCAAACTCTGCTTTATATTAACTGGATACTGGCATTAAAATAACACAAAGTCATATCAAACTAATGCCAAAGCACATACAGATGTTACAACCAAAATGTGCCAAACATTGTGCTAAGTGGGCATTTATTCTCTCTTAATCTTTATAACATCACTGTAATATGCATATCATTTTCAATGTATAGAAAAACAAATTAGAGTGATTAACCAGCCTAAGAAAAATCACACAGTGATCAACTGTCAGACTCAGGACTCATATTTAGCACTATAGGGATAAGGTGGCAGCACAGAATTCTATAAATCTCTGGATGATGAAAAAAGGGATAATGTGTAAGTATTCAGTTTATTGCCTCTTTTTCATTGTCAAAATGTCTGTGTTTAGTAAAATATTTAGAGCCAAGCAACATCAACTTTATACTACTTATTAATGACCACATTACAGTTACTGCCTGTCCCTACAACTTTTAAATATTTATTCAGAATCTGCTACATTCAAGGCACTGGGTGATACACATTCTAAATTCTACCCCCTAATGTGGCTAAGAGAAAGCACTGTAATCCCTACAGATGAAGCATTAACCAATAAAGGATTCAGTAAATGCTTAAGAAAAATCAAAGGAGTATCCTAAGGCAAAATAAACAACTACAGCATGAATTACAAGACATAAGGACCAAGTTAATATGTAAATGCCCGTTTTAAAAAAATAAAAATAAAGGAGGGGAAGAAACAACTGAGAGGAATTGCTTAAGTATTTTTTTTTCAAAAGGTATTTTGATATCAATTTGTATCTTCTTCTTTTTTTTTTTTTTTTTGAGACAAAAGAGTCTTGCTCTGTCACCCAGGCTGGAGTGCAGTGGCATGATCTCAGCTCACTGCAACCTCTGCCTCCCGGGTTGAAACAATTCTCCCTGCCTCAGCCTCTTGAGCAGTTGGGATTATAGGTATGCACCACTACACCCAGCTAATTTTTTTTTTTGTATTTTTAGTAGAGACAGGCTTTCAATATGTTGGCCGGCTTGCTCTTGAACTCCTGGCCAAGTGATCCTCCCACCTCAGCCTTCCAAAGTATTGGGATTACAGGCGTGAGCCACTGCGTCTGGCCTGTTTAAGTATTTTTAACCATCTGATTTATAGATTCCTGAAAGTGCCATTTGAAACAGCTGATGTAGGATCCATTCCTTAAGATGCTGACAAACCCTATTCTGTTATTTCCCTCAATATAATTAGGCTTTACAGTGAAATAGTAACAATTTAAAAGGTTAAAACTCATAAAACACTCTAAACATTGCTGTAGCAAATAAACAACACTGAAAATCCAGAAATATCTGTTTCATGCAACACAAAATAGCATAAATCTTAAGATAATCATGAAGTTTGTGAAAATTCTATTGAGTAACCACTATTTCTTAAAATTCTGTATTCCAAATACTGCCACAAAGGGCTGCATTTGTGTAAAGAGCACGTATCTACAAACAAATGGGGCTGCCAATGTAGTATTCTAATACGAAATTAAATGTTCATACCTGGAAGAAAATGCTCTCGTCAAGCTGGCTATAATAACTCGTATCTTTCTACAAATAACATTTGACTTCCTGTAAAGCTCTACTAGGTAATCAGTCTCCTCTACTTTTTGTTATATTTCAGTAAAAAAGACAAAGACTAACAAAGAACACTAAGACTACATAAACAAAGGCATTCAGAAAAAGTACCCAATAAAAATGTGTGATTTTTACCACTACTACTTTCAAGAGGTTAAAGTAAAAGATAAAAATCAAAATTAAAAATCTGATAACTGGTCTTGTTTCTGGCCACAAAGGAGTTAAGATAACCTGAATTTATTGTCCTGCTGTGAAAGATTAGAAAACTGAATAGAATATATGAAACAACTGTTTTTCAGACAACGGACAATGAATGTGGGTTGGATACTCTTAGAAAGGAAAAGAAAGTGATTCCTGTAGTAGCTCTTGCTTACTGACTGGAAGCACCAAGACAGCATGGTGAGAGTTATGAAGAATCCAGAGGCCAGAGGTTAAAGCAGCTACAACGTAAAGGCAGAGTACCCCAAAAAAGGTATCTATAGGCGGCTCACTTAGAATCTTTGGCTGAATACTGATCTGGGCATCTATGAAGTGACATGAGGCTCTGAAAAATTAGGGTCCCCACCAGCCAGAGAAGAGAAATCCCCACCAGCAGGTAGAGTTCTCACAAGAGTGTCACACCTTAGTAATCAGGCTAAATCAGCACTAAAGACTAAACTTGTCCTAACAAAGTTTAACAACAAACATTTGATCCTTGGAAAGGATCAAATCTATCCCAAGTGTCTCAACTATGTGCTAGAACAAAATCCAACACTCTACAATGTAAATTCACACTGTCTGGTTTCCAATCCGAAATTACCAGGAATATAAACAGGCAGGAAAATACAACCCATAATCAGAAGAAAAACCAGTGTAAACAGAGCCAGAAGTGACAAAAATGAAAGAATTAAGGTCCTAGCAGACACGGACCAAAAACAGCTTTTGTAAATATGCTCCATATGATCAAGAATAAATCATGGCCCAGGCACAGTGGCTCACGCCTGCAATCCCAGCACTGAGGCGGGTGGATCACTTGAGGTCAGGAGTTTGAGACCAGTCTGGCCAACGTATGAAACCCTGTCTCTACTAAAAAAACAAAAAAACTAAGCCAGGTGCTGTAGCGTGCTCCTGCGGTCCCGGCTACTCAGGAGGCCGAGGTGGGAGGATTGCTTGAACATGGGAGGATCGCTTGAACCCGGGAGGTGAAGTTGCAGTGAGCCAAGATGGTGCCATTGCACTCCAGCCTGGGCGACAGAGCCAGACTGTGTCTCAAAAAAAAAAAAAAAAAAAAGAAAAAAGAATAAATCATCAACATGATGAGAAATAAAAGACGAAAGACAAAAATGTGACTAAAAATAAAAAAACATACTATTTGAAGTGAAAGATACATTGGATAAGACTAACAGATTTAAATACTGTAGTGGAAAATATCAAGAAGTTGAAGAACTACCCTATAATCAAAACAAAATAAAGCAAAGACAGGAAGAAAAAGTAACCAAGACCTGACCTGTGGGATAACATCAAGTGCTCTAACGTAAGTATCACTGCAGTCCTGGGAAGGGGCAGGGCGGGACTATTTGAAAACATGATGACTAAATGTAAATACTCAAGGTATGATGACACTGTATGCAGAGTACTCAACACAAAGGGTTCAGTGTTAAATGTAGACTTACACGGGTATATGGTACCCACAACTCAAAATCCATTAGCAGCATTGCAGTAGTGATGTGATTTTGCAAAACTGTGAAGAATTCTTTGTAAAAAAAATCCCAACATTTCAAAGTATAACATTCCCTTGATTTACACAGTAAACTTTAGTACTAAAAGTCGTGGCCTCTATCCCCTGAAAAAACCCTTGGTAAGTAAAACAGTTTGTAGGCTTAGAAAATAACCAAGCTTTTTTCCAGCATCACGAACATTTGGCAGTATATTCTAAGCTATGCAGACCATCGAACAATTTTTCTTGTTCAAAACTGTCCTGCTAACTGCCAAATAGCTAGCATACTTGACCCATGCCTAATAAATACAGATGATGTCCCCAAAGTCTGGTGGAATTTTTTTAAAAAGAATTCAATAGGAAAAGGGGGTTTTGTACTATGCAGGTAGGTAGATAAAAGGTATGGTGAGAATGTAACAGTCATAAATTTTTATGCCCAATGCCCAATGCAGATTTTAACTTTACAATTTCAGGGTTATTAGGAATAAGGAGTTGAAAAAAAGGTAGTAGAAGACAGGAACAGTGATGGGAGCTGGGAGGGAGAAGGGATAGACACCTAAAAAATATAAATGACAAATACACAGAAAAATTATACCAAATTAAAAGTATATATTTCTTCTAAAAAGGTATGCAATTAAGAGTCACAGAGAAACTCCAAGAAATCAAATTATAAAGACCATACTGTCTGACCACAACAAAATAGCTAAAGATTAATAGCCAATGGTTAAATCAACCACTTAGGAACCTTAAAATCAGTACTGCAATAAAGGTACTTTAAAAAGTTTTATAGGAATCTAAATATGTAAATATTTAAGATGGCATTATGTTCATAAAAAAGATACAATTATCACTATAAACTAACCAATTCACAAAAAATAAAGTGTAAGAAACCCTGAAATCTCACCCCTGGAACAGTCATTTAGCAGATTCATGCAAACTGCAAATTATGTATCAGATGTGTTTATATACAATATGATTTTTAAAGATCACTTGTAGTAATGAGATTATCATAACATAGGTTTTTAATTAAAATTAACTTCATTCCTTAATCTCACAAATAAACTACTTTGTAGAAAAAGGATAATCATCACTCTTAACCCCACTTCTGAGGAAACCACTATTATTTTAGTAAATATTCCTCTGCTGTCTGGCCATATGTGCTTGCACATACCCAGTACAAAAAAATAACAAATCTCTAAGAATATGGTCTACGATGTATCACCGAGTTTTTAAAATGTTACAAAGTACATTTGATCCTGTTTGTATAAAATAAATAAAACAATCAGGGAATTATGGAATAGTTACCAGAGCTCGGAAAGAGAAACCAGGTGACAGGTATTTGATAGCTATTTGCATAAAACCATGGAAACTTTGATAATAGATGGATTTCCACAAGGTGGAAAAATGATATGCCACTACACACCATTCCAATGATTAAGATTTTTTTAAAAAGAGGCAATACTTAGTGCAGGTATTGGGCAATTACTTTCACATATTCCTGGTGGGAATGCAACTTTTACATATTAATATTACCATAAAATCACTTCTGTCATTCTATAGTTCATACTAAGTTTTTAGAACTGAACTCTCTCAGTGAGTTCTATAAAGAAGTATAAATATATTGAGAACAAAAGGACTAAATACATCAAAGGGTTAAACCCATAACTAACTCCTTGACATATATGGTTATGACTAAAATGTCTATCCTGGAATAATAGATGGATCATTTAGTAAACTGAGGCTCTGAAAAAGTTAAGAAACTGTATATGTTAGCTTACTCAGAAATTTTAACATATGCCTGCATCTTGCATTTCCTAATATTAATCTTCTGGAACTCACTGGTTTTGTTCAGATGAGGGGGAGGAGTGGGTGAGAACACAGCTGGTACTATAGATCACCTTTACCTCTGTTCAATTCAAAGGTCTACTGTCGAAACATTCCGGCACAAAACAGCACAGAAATCAGGTTCTCATCTTGATCTGGTTTGTTCCAATGGTTAGAATATACTATTCTGTTAGGTCACATGACCCATTTTCATGATCTTCTCAGCTGTATTTCTACACAGTAAATGAACTTTACAATTGGCCCCTCATAGCTAATTAGAGTATGATTAACCCAAATTTCTTTTCAAAGGCACCAATTTCTTCCCAATATAAGAGAACATTTTACTGGATAATACATCTATAAAATGATAGTTTCTTGCTGAAAGGTAGCTTAGCTAATCATTGTAAAATGATTTCCCTACAGACCACTACGACGCTCTTTTATCACTGCTGGCCTCTAGAGGGAGCTCGAAGTTCTTGCTATTTTTCCCAAAGGGCAGGACATTCCTCCCAGAAATGTGTGATATTCAGGATTTAAGAACGTTTTATTGTAACGCCCTGAAAAGCAAGTTTGGTTTGTCCTTTAGGAATCCCTTCCTCCTTAAAAGTGAATAAAGCTTGACCTACTCATCTGTTCCTGATGGGAACAGGTTCCAACCATTCCTTCCTCTCCTTTTAATACTCTTCAAAGGCTCTCCCCACTTGGGATTAATTAACTTATTTATTCCTGTAACCTGAGGCTGAAGGGCGGGAAGGGCAGTAGGCATGGAGGGGCAAATGTTCCCTCTCGCTGATGTGAGTGCAGCAGGCTGGTGAGCTTCTACTTTCCTTACGTCAGGGCACACCCTCGATTTAATGCTTATGTAACATACTCTAAAGAGAAGATGGAGCTGCTCTTGTCTGCCCAGGCACTCTAGTCAGCTAAGACCCCACTCAGGCACCCGCTTCCAAGGGCTGAAGGATCTTGGCACACCTGTAACACATTCTCAGGGTCCACAAGGTAACTTCCAGAGATGTGTCCTGGAACCAGTTTCCCTTCTTTGTAACTTGTTCCTGGATAATCTGATAGCCCGTTTGGATAAAATGGAATGGAATCATATCCTACTGCAACCAAGAACAGAAAGATAAACAGCTGCTAATACATTTAGTCTATAGGTGTGGTTTTTTAAACAGACAATAAGCCCTGGTATATAACTGTTACATATGTTAGAAAGAAGAGCTCTAAATTGAGCATTCTAGACTTAAAGTTAGTTATCATCTTCATTAGATGTTCCTCAACTTTTAACTGGCTAATTAACTTCACAAAAGCAAACCACCTCATTCAGTGGCCTTATTAAGTATAATGTAAATAGCTTCTCAAGGAGATTATACAAACAAGTAGTACAGTATGAAACTCTTGCATCTATGTATGCCTAATTAAGGTATTTTTATAATTAGAATGGGTATCTGGCTATTAATATCTCCCTAAAATCTTTACAAATTAGGATTACTATGGCTATGCTATAAGAATCAGAAAGCACTTCACTATCCATCTTTCTTGGTAGAGTCACACCCAATACAGTTTGTTTCCTGCCAGAATTGTTCTAGTTCACCCACAAACTGAAAACAAAGAGGCAAAATATTTAGAGAAAATGGCGGAGTCTTTAAGGTATGTTACAAAACATTTTACAGACTTTATTCCAATGACAAAAAGAAGTCCACTTGGGAATTTTAAGTAAAAGCAATCCAGTCAGACATGCACCTTAGATTGCTCAAACTGAAGTGAAGGAGACTGAGAACTGGGAGGAACCTAAGCAAAGGGAAAACTGGAGACCAACCTGGAGTTACTCCACAGAAATCCCAGTTTAGCAATGATAGTGACCTGAGCCAGTAATAGTAAAATATGGTTATCATTAGACAGCAACATTTAACATTTACCTAACAAGCCAACATGGTGGCTCACACCTATAATCCCAGCATTTTGGGAGGCCAAAGTGGGAGGATCACTTGAGCTCAGAAGTTCAAGACCAGCCTGGGCAACATGGCGAAAACCCGTCTCTACAAAAAATACAAAATATTAGCCAGGCATGGCAGCGCACACCTGTAGTCTCAGTTACTTGTGGGGCTGAGATGAGAGGATGGCTTGAGCCCAGTAGGCTGAGACTGCTGTGAGCCAAGATCTCACGCCACCACACTCCAGCCTGGGTGACAGGGTGAGGCCCTATCTCAAAAAATAATAAAAAATAAATAAAAATAAGTAAAGTTTACATACTCTATGTTAGGTATTTAATCATCACAACAAAACTATTAAGTTGGCTGTATCAATATACCCATTTAACAAATGAAGAAATTAAAGTACCAAGGCCAAAGAGGGGTCATAAGTGAACAAACTTTAAGATACATTTCCAAAGTACATAAAACAAGGCTTGATAATTGATAAAGTGTGGACAGCTACAGATGAAAGCCAAGAATAATGTTCAGGTACTTATGCAGCTGAATGCACCTAATATCATTAATAGGCAGATACTTATCTTACATGAAATATTATTTAACAGCATCTAAACAGGGAATACAACTGTATTAGTCCGTTTTCACGCCGCTGATAAAGACATACCCAAGATTGGGAAGAAAAAGAGGTTTAATTTAACTTACAGTTCCACATGGCTGGGAAGGCCTCAGAATCATGACGGGAGGTGAAAGTTACCTCTTACATGGCGGCGGCAAGAGAAAAATGAGGAAGAAGCAAAAGTGGAAACACCTGACAAACCCATCAAATCTCATGAGACTTACTATCACGAGAATAGCACAGCAAAGACCAGCCCCCATGATTCAATTACCCCCCCATGGGTCCACCCACAACAACATGTGGGAATTCTGGGAGATACAATTCAAGTTGAGATTTGAATGGGGACACAGCAAAACCATTTATCATTCTGCCCCAACCCCTCCAAATCTCATGTCCTCACATTTTAAAACCAATCATGCCTTCCCAACAGTCCCCCAACGTCTTAACTCATTTCAGCATTAACTCAAAAGTCCACAGTACAAAGTTGCATCTGAGACAAGGCACCCTAGATACAGTGGGGGTACAGATATTGAGTAAATATAGCCATTCCAAATAGGATAAATTGGCCAAAACAAAGAGGGTATAGGGTCCATGCAAGTCCGAAATCCAGCAGGCCAGTCAAATTTTAAAGCTCCGAAATGATCTCCTTTGGCTCCAGGTCTCACATCCAGGTCATGCTGATGCAAGACGTAGGTTCCCATGGTCTTGGGCAGCTCTGCTCCTGTGGCTTTGCAGGGTACAGCCTCCCTGCTGGCTGCTTTCACAGGCTGGTGTGGATTGTCTGCAGCTTTTCCCGGGGCATGGTGCAAGCTGTCGGTGGATCTACCATTCTGTAGTCTGGAGGATGGTAGCCCTCTTCTCACAGCTTGGCGAGGCAATGCCCCAGTAGGGACTCTGTGTGGGGGCTCCGACCCCACATTTCCCTTCCGCACTGTCCTAGCAGAGGTTCTCCATGAGGGCCCTGCCCCTGCAGCAGACTTCTGTCTGGGCATCCAGGCATTTCCACACGTCTGAAAACTAGGCAGAGGTTCCCAAACCTCAGTTCTTGACTTCTGTGCACCCACAGGCTCAACACCACGTGGAAGCTGTATTAGACACTATTTCTAGGTACAAGAGTAAGACAAACAAAAATCCCTGCTCTCATGGATCTTACATTCTTGTGATAAACACATACTATAAACAAATTAATAATATAAAATGTATCAGGCAGTGCTCAGTGCTCTAAAAATATAAAGCCCTAAAACAATAAAAAGTCATGGAGTGGGGAATACTATTTCAGGTAGGGTGGTCAAAGAAAGCCTCTCTGAGGTGGTGACTTAGGCAGAAACCAAAATGAAGACATAGGAATGAGCCATCCAAACTTGTTGAAGGAAAGCATTCCAGAATGCCAGGCCTAATGAGAAAAGAGGCTGGCAAACTTGATGCAAACAAGAAAGCCAGTGAGATTAATGTAGACTCTGTAAGACAAATGGTGGCAATGGCCTTGTAGGCCACGGTAAAAGGGCAGTGGACTTGTCCTAACATGTGATAAGACACTGGAGAGGTTCTAAATCTGTTGTGTGAAAACAATGAAAACTGGAGGAAGGAAGAAATGGTTCCTATGTTACTGCAGTAGCCTAAGAGAGTAGAGGAGTCAGAACTCAGGTGGTAGCCACAGAGAAGTGGAAGGGAGTGGGGCTGAAGACTGAGCAGATCACAAACGGCCAATGACTTAATCATAATGAAGCCTCCACGGAGTTTGGAGGGCTTCCAGGAAGGTAAACTAGAACACATCCAGGAGCTGCGTAGGTGGCGCACTCCAACTCCACGGGGATAGAAGCTCCTGCATTCAGGACCCTTCCAGACCTTGTCCTACATATCTCTTCATGTAGCTGTTCATTTGTATCCTTTAAAATGCCCTTCATAATAAAGTGGTAAATGTTTGCCCTGAGTTCTGTGAGCCACTCTAGCAAATTAATCGAACCCAAGAAGGAGGTCTTGGTAACCTCTATGTATGGCCACTTGGTCAGAGGCACAGGTAAACAACCTGGGGCTTCCAACTGGCATTGGAAAAAGTGGGGGCAGTCTTGTGGGACCGAGCCCCCTCAACCTGGGGAATATGATGCTATTTCCAGGTAGACAGTGTTGGAACTGAATGGGGGGACACCCAGCTGGTGTCTGCTGCAAAACTGATTGCTTGCTTGATGTACAGAGAAAAACTTACAGATGAATATATGTTATCAGAAGTGTTGTGCAAGAAACTGTGTGTGTGTTTTCTACATAGTCAGCTAGATTGATCTGACAGCAGATTAGGGAAAAGGAGATATAATTAGGGTATCATCAGCTCAGAGAAAACATTTAAAGTCACATGACACTTAAATGTGATTTCCTAGTGAATAAGTATAGATAAAGAAAGCCAGAGGTCTGGGCTAAGGATTAAGCCTGGAGACCAGGTAAAAAAGGAGACTGCACAGGAACTTCTAGTGAGTAGGAAGAAGTTTTCTGGAAGCTAGGCAAAGACCGTGTTTTTAAAAGGAGGCAGTGATGAATTGCATCCAAAGGTACTTAAAGATCAAGAGAGGGCTGAGAATGAAACTTGGTTTTGGTGACTTGGAGACTTTTTAGTGATTTCAGCAAAAGTGGTTTCAATGGATTAATGTCTTTAAAAACTGCTGCTTCCTGTGGCTTTATTTATCGTCAAAAGGAGAGGGGAAGCTCTGGAATTGAACTAAGTTGAAACCACCGTTCTGACGGTCTGAAGTTTGGCTTAAGAAGGGCATCCTCTTAATAGCTGTCAAAGATGAAGATTTTCCCCTACTTTTATATGTAAGTTTTGGGTTGTTCTGGGAAACAGGATACAGAGTTAAACAATGCTGAAGTTGACTTATCATGCTTCTGAGATGCTAACTACTCAGCTGGGTGTAGTTAAGTCTTTTTTTTTTTCCCAAGTAGTCGAGTGATATACTTTGAGTTCCTGCACACCTATAAAAAGCCATCTTGTTGCACTGCCTATGTAAAGGATAACTTCATCAATTTAGGATTCTTAGTTTATCATAGTTTTTTCCTCAGAGTTCTCTGGAAGACACTCTACCACAGCACTGTCCATCAAAACTTCCTACGATAGAAATGTTCTATTCTGCACTGTCTAGTACAGTAGCCACTAGTCACACACAGCTACTGAGCACCTGAAACGTGCACAATGCAACTGAGAAAATCAACGAAAACAAATGCTATGTTCCTTATATTTTTGTTACAATTTTCAACTTCTTTTTCCCATTGTATTGAGGGAATATTTCTAAAACCCTGCTGCTACTTGACTCCAGAGAGTCACAAATTTCACTTAAGAACTCCTTCCTGCTCTCTGATTCTTTCAAATTCTCATCAGTCTCCCAGAGCAACTAATTAGCTGCTCTTTAAACTTCAACAGTTTCTCTTGTTTCCTGCACTAAGTCTATTTCATAGGAAGTTACTGCTCATACTGGTCAACTTCTTTTACAGTACCTACTGAATCTGGATGTGTCTATCATTCTCTGTATGTATCTTTAAAGAAAAGGGCCTGTGTTTATGTAATATTGGGTACTGTGTTGGGTTCAACCAGAAAACACATTAGAACCAAGTTCAAATCTTAGACCGAGGAGGGGAAATGTTGACATTGTTACTTCCTATATAAGTTCTCTATTGCTGCCTTAAAAATTGTCCCAAAGGTAGCAGCTTAAAACAACAAACACTTATTATCTCATAACAGGTCAGGAATCTAGGTGTGACTTAGCCAGGGGGCCTTGCGTTCAAGGTCTCTCACAAAGTTGCAGGTATCCGAAAGCCTGACTGGAGGAGGAGATCTACTTCCAAGCTCGTGCGCCTGGCTGCTGACAGGTGTCAGGTCGCCAGCTGTTGGCCAGAGACAACAGATCCTTGACATGTGAGCTCCACAGGGAACCACACAAACATGGTAGCTGGCTTCCCTCAGCAAGTGAAATAGGGCAGCCCAACATGGATGCCAAAACCTTTCTGTAACCTAACCTCTGAAGCAGCATCCCAGCATCTTGCCCCACTTGTGGAAGCAAGTCACGAGAGGTCCAGAAACACTCAAAGGGACAAGGTTACACAGAGACATAAATACCAGAAGCCAGGGATCACTGGGGCCACCTTAAGCGGCTGCCTGACAAAGAAGGCAGCCTGGGGGCAGAGTTTCAACTTTGTGCTTCTCTCTCAGGTCACATTTCTCTGGTCACATTTCTCTTGGTAAGAGCCATTTAGTTTTCAATCCCAGTTTCAAAGTACAGAATACATGAACCAATTGTCCAGTGGCTCCCCCTTCAATTCTAACTCTGGCTATTCAAAGTAGGTCCTGTCACTTACTCCTACTAGCGCTTCACAACCACAGAAATGAACACTAAGGCCTTCTCTCACGATGTTTCTTGTTTGTACTGTTTCCTGCTAAAATTTTTTTAGTTTAGTTATGGCACCGTTCCAGGGTTTCCAAGGATACTGAATTCTCCTTATTATGCTCGTTGGTCATTTCAGTGTGTCATCTGTCTGTTTTAACACATGGGCTTAGGTAACCATCCTCCTCCCAAAGTCAAGACAAGCTATTTGTTTAAGTAAGGCCCTCTAGACATTCTTTAAAAGACTGTTTCGATAACTGTGACAGGAAGTGCTTGCTGGTGTTCCTAGCCATATAATTCAATTCTATTGTTGGATAAAACAAAGATTTTTAATCTACACCATCAATCCCCAGGATATTTTCTACCATGTTAATTTAAGTAACTGCTTTCTTTTAAAAAAATAATAATAATACCACCAAACTTGGTTCCGTTTAAAACATCACAAAACTTAGTGAGCACAGCAACACTAACAATATACCTACAATTGTAAAAGGCAGGGAGACACAGCTGCTCAGCAGTATGAACTAATTGCACAGACAGGATAAACTAGCCAGAGTTATAAAGAAGTACCTACAACTGCATGCCCAGCAGTGGGCACCTGGCACTGTGGAATATACATAATACTTAAAGACTAATCGTAAGTTAGAATACCAGCAGTATTTTAACTCACAAACCAAAATACCCACTTCTGGTTTAACAATTAAAAAAACGTTCCCTACATCATGTATCTCTTTTACCCTCTCCCAATAGCTTATTCACTCTATCTCCTGAGAATATTAATGATATCGGAGGGGAAGAATCAACCAAAACTGAATCAGGCAGCAACGTATTTGCTGATCTGACACCTTGGAGTACAACATGTAGAGTTTGCCAAATAACCAGGATTCTGCTTTTTCGTCTTCTGCTGATGAATACTCAAGAGAACAAGAGAGTTGACACCCACATAACGTCTACCACATATGGCTGTACAGGATATAACCAACACAGGTAGCTATCCTGTACAGCACATGTAAGGCACAGTGCCTAAGGGTCAAACCTGATCTCACCAGATTTCCAGGTGAGGTGTTGAAAGAAAGGTGATTTACAAACATTTTAGCACGGCACTTAGGGAATAAAATCACTTACCTTGGCAAAGATACAGGACACAAAATCACACAAAAATCAGTTGTTTCTACACACTACCAATGAACAACCCAAAAAGGAACTTAAGAGAACAATTCCATTCACAGTAGCATCAAAATGAATAAAATACTAAGGAATAAATTCATCCAAGGAGACAAAAGACTTTTACACTGAAAACTACAAAACACTGCTAAAATAAATTAAAGACATAAATAAATGAAAAGACATTCCATGTTCATGGATTGGAAGATTTAATTCCTAACAAAATCCCTAAAGCACTTTTTGTATAAATAAAAAAAAATCCACCCTAATGGGTTCTATCAATGGAATAGAGAGCTCAGAAGTAAACCCCTGCACATATGGTCAAATGATTTTGGACAAGGCTGCCAAGACCAACGAATGGGGAAAAGTACAGTCTTTTCAAAACATGAGAGTTAGGAAAACTGGATATCCACACACAAAAGAAAAAAAAATGGACCCTTGCTTTACATCATACTAAAAATTAGCTCAAAGTGGATCAAAGGGCTAAAGACCTAGAAGTATAAAATTCTTATAAAAAAAGTAGAAAGTGTTAATGAGAAATTAAAACCCTTGCGTATTGCTGGTGAAAATGTAAAATGGTGCTGCCACTATGGAAAACAGTATGATTGTTCCTAAAAAGTTAAACACAGAATTACTATATGATACACTAGCTGCACTTCTTAGGTATATACCAAAAATAATTCAAAGCAGGGACTTGAACAGATACTTGAAGATCAGTGTTCATAGCAACACTATTGAAATAGCCAAAAGGTGAAAGCAATCCAAATGTCCATCAAGAGATGAGTGAACAAACAAAATGTGGTACATACATAAGATTATGCAGCCTTAAGAAAGAAAATTCTGACATACGCTATAACAGTCACAAAAGACAAATACTGTAGGATTCCACCAATATGAAACATCTAGGAGTCAAATTCATAGAGACACAAAGTAGAATGGGGGTTGCTAGGTGCTGGGGAGACAGGAATGAGGAGTTAATGTTTTAATGGGTATAAAGTTTTAGTTTGGGAAGATGAAAAGAGTCCTGGATATGGATGGTGGCGATGGCTGCACAACAGATTTGTATGCACTTAATGACACTGAACTATACACTTTAAAATGGTAAACCTTATGTGTATTTTACCACAATAAAAAGATTGTCATCCCACATAAAAAGTCCCAAGGCATGGCAAGTAAACCCAGGGCTAGTTAATTCATTGGCTTAATGTTATCAAATATCCAGGTTCTGTCTATCTTTATATTCTGACAAAAAATAGTTACAGGGCTGGGAACTAAGGTTCTCACTGTGAGAGCCAAAAGACATAAATATAGAATGAGGGAAGTAAGGAATAACCCTGCGGTATCAATTTAAATTGGAGGTATCAGTATAAACTGGTATTTTAAAAGTTTCACTACAGAGTATTTCAATCATATACAAAAGTAGGCAGAAGAGCATCATATGAATTCCTGTGTACCTATCACAGAGCTTCCACAATTATACATTCATAGACAATCTTGTTTCATCTATAAACCCATGCCACATTATTTCATGTACATCCCAGACATCAAATTATTTCACCCATAAATATTTCAGGAAAGATTTATAAAAGACCACCATTTTCAATATAATCAAACACCATTACCGTACCTTGAAAAAATCAAAAGCACTTCCTTAGTATGAAATATCCAGTAACTGTTCAAATTTCCAATTGTTTCATGTCATAAAAAATATTAAACTATTTGAATTAGGATCCTATAAGGCTTTTACAGTAACACTGGAAGGAGGAAGGAAAGAGGAATGAACAAAGTCCTGAGTAAAAGTTCTAAGAATTAGTAGCTGTAGCAGAGACTAATCGTCCCTAAGAGTGGCCATTTCCCCCTTTCTCCTTTAGTAATGGCACATCCTGGCACCTTCACTCTCAGAACCCAAAAAACCACATACACACAGAGTTTTAACAGGAAATTAGAGGCTGCATGTTTCTCTAATACCAAGTTCTAAACAATAGGTTATGAATAAAATTTCTGTCACATCATTAAAAGGTAGCTACTTGCCCTTCTCTCTCTTTTCTCCCCCATGGGCTAGATAGAACACAGATTTGAGCCAGATCTGACCGTGCACACAAGAGCAATACACCTAGACCCTGAGCAGAACAAACCTGCAATCCTGGGTAATCTCTGGCAAAACCAGCTTATCCACTTCAGATCCCTCTCTGCCACCAATGGTCACGTGAGAGAGAAACAAGCTAATTTTTTGAACCACTGTGTATGTGGGTCTTTAAAGTAGTTTGGTCAATAATACATATACTAGCTTGTGTGACTGTGGGGATTTGTCTGGGTCTCCTTTTACTGGTTCAAAAAACTGGGAAGTGCTACTAATTTTTAGCTTATTTCATTTCCCTATTTTAAACAACAAAGTGTACATTTAGTAAAATAAACAACTGAAGTTATCATATATTTTAAAATGAGATGACATATTGCAGAATTTATCTATCCATTCAACAAATGCCCACTAAATGCCAGATACTGTCCTGTGCCTAAAAATGTTACAGATGCTAAGAATGAAAATCACAGAACAAAAAAATCAGGATTTCCTCATACGTGAAACTCACAAACTGGAGAGAAAGAAGCCTACATACAATAAGCAAGCAAACAATAAGTAACATCATTTCAAATAATAGTAAAGATATTTTAAAAACAGATAACATTAAATGTACATCTCTTTTGGGGTTGGAATGGAAATGAGTTAATTTACACAGGGTAGTCAAGATTATGAAGGAAGGTCTATTTCAGAATAAAAGGGGCAAGTTCAAAGCCCTCAAGAAAGCTCCTGTGGCTGGACCTACTAGTGAGCAAGGGGAGAATGACAGGAATGACCTCTGGGGTAGGCAGAGGGAGCACAGTACTAAACCTACGATACAAATGTTGTACTACTAGTAACAGGCGAGTATTCCTGATGGAAAACAAAGAAAGCCATTACTCTCTTAATCCTTTGTCTTAGTTTCAAGACAAATCATCTTCCCAATGGAAAACTGGTATTTTAGTTGCCCTGCAATCAGTAACTGACTATAATCTTATGTTCTACTTTATGTTGCTATGGACTAAATGTTCATCCCCCACAAAATTCACATGTTGAAACCTAATATGATGTATTTGGAAGGGAGGTCTTTGGCAGGTGATCCGGTAATAAGGGTGGAGCCCTCATGAATGCGATTAGTGTGTCCCTATAAAAGAGACCTAAGAGAAAGCCCTTGTCCCTTCTATCATGTCAAGACACAGTTGTCTCTGAACCAGAAAGTAGGTCCTCACCAGATCTGCAGTTGCCTTGATCTAGGACTTCCCAGCCTTCAGAACTGTGAGAAATAAATGTCTGTTGTTTGTTTGTAAGCCACCCAGTCTGTACTATTCTGTTAACAGCAGCCCAAAAGGTCTTTGACAAATGTCTTCATTCTAAGACAAATATATGTGTTAATTTAAATTATTTCAGGAGTAAAAAAATATAAACTGATTTTTATCTAAGAAAGCTGAAGTTTTCTCTGATATATTAAGTTCTTTAAAACCTCACGGCTTTTGGCTGACTGCTTCATGCCTGAAATTTAGGTCTAAAAATGCAGGTTAGTATCTTAGACAAAAGCTATTTTAATTTGTATCATTTTTTTGCTATTAATTGAAGAAAGAAAAGGCCATTAAAAACAGTACACAAGCTGGGCATGGTGGTTCAGGCCTATAATTCCAGCGCTTTGGGAGGCTGAGGCAGGTGGATCACCTGAGCTCACAAGTTCGAGAACACCTTGGCCAACATGGTGAAACCCCATCTCTACTAGAAATACAAAAGAAATTAGCCGGGCGTGGTGGCAGGTGTCTGTAGTCCCAGCTACTCGGGAGGCTGAGGCAGGAGAACTGCTTTAACCCAGGAGGCGGAGGCTGCAGTGAGCCGAGGTCGCACCGTTGTACTCCAGCCTGGGCAACAACAGTGAGACTCCACCTCAAAAAAAGAAGTACACAATATCAGAATTTAGATTTAAGAAAACAAATCTACTTTTATATAAATTCTGTGAATTCCCCTTTTCTATTGCATAGAAAGTGATTACCAAGTGTTCTAGACATGAATGAAAAGAAACTATAAACATTTTGATACACTTGTTAAACATGTAGATGTAAAACACGCATTTATCTTCTAAACCCACTAAAATGACGGTAAACTAATAAAAACAGTCTAAAATAAGAACAAAGAAAACGCAAGGCAACAGCAGAAGGAAGGTAACAACCAATGTGCTGAAAAATAGAAAACTCAGCAAAATAAAGTGAAACCTCTGAGCATGCAAAAGGGGTTGTCAAGTCAGGACACAGAAGCACCAGGTACCTTGCAGGGCTGCAGTGAAGCATGAGACTCAAAACAGCTATTGGTTGAAACATCTATGCAAGACACAGAGAAGCTAGACTCTAAAATAGAGAACACATTTACCTTCTGGAGAAACTGAACCTGACCTTGAGAAGGTATCAATTTGAGAGGAAGCTGGTGGTGAGGCGTCAAATTAAAAACAAGATTAAATGAAAGGCTGCATAGTAATCCATGAGTTGCTCGGTGATCTTCCTGGCTCCCAGAATGTCAGCAGCCAGGCTTAAGATGTGACCCATCCCACTTACCCACCTCCCACTGAGATAAGACACTAGAAGTTCCTTCTCATCTAGAGATACTGACTGCGGGTCCCTGGCTCATCACCCTACAGTGAAGCCCACCAGCCGAATATCTCTGCCAGTGGACACAAAGCTCCTAATTTACTCTTACTACCTCATTCTTAAGAACTAACAGACAACCAAGGATTCCCAGATACCAGTCTACCAATATGAATAAGAAAAAAGAAACTCAAAGGAAATAGATGCTCAGATTAGAAAATGAAAAGAAACCCAAAAAACTATTAATCTTCTCAAAGACAAGATACTCCATTTATAAAACCGGGGCTGCTTAAAACTACCACCACCAACATTATTTCCAAAGAGCAAAAGAGCTCTTAAAAATGCAATGGTAAAAATAAATGAAAGAGTTGAGAACAAAACTGAGGAACTCCCCCAGAATGTAAAGCAAAAAGGAAATGGAAAATAGTTGGGGGGGGGGGGGGGAAGGGAAAAAAAAAGAGGACCAGTACAAAAAGTCCAAGATCCAGATAAGTTCCAGAAAGAACAAATGAAACAGAGAAGGAAAAAACAGAAGGAAATGAATCTACAAGCTGCAAGGGTCCAATGAGTACGAGTCCAATTAATGAAAAAGACCCACACCAAAGCACATCATCCAGAAAGGAAAAATCAGTAAACAGAATGGCATTAGTGTTCTCAAATGTAACACCGGAAGCTAACAGACAAAAGAAACACCTCCCAAATTCTAACGGAAAATGTTAACCAGCCAAACTTGAAAGTGTGGAAGTAGAATAAAGACATCTCTTCCAGGCAGGCAAGATCTCAAAAATTTTACCTCCTATGAAACCTTTCCCATAAAGCACTGGATACTGTGCACCATCCCAAAATAATAGCATAAAACAAGAAAGAAAAAGATGTGAGATCCAAGAACAAGGAGCTCCAACACAGCAGAGGCAAAAGAATTCCCACGATGATGATGATCACAATGATAATGATGAAGGAAAATCCCAGGACAACAGCTGTGCACCAGGCTTAGAAACTGCCCAGATTGAAGCACGCGGGTTGGAGGGATAGAGCTTAAGGCAAAAGTAAAACTGATACAACATCTGATGTGCTTCAATATACTAGGAGGGGATTCAGTCTCTGCAGAGGATTTGAAGATGATTTAGTGACAGATTCACAGAAAACGAAACGAAGTACTCCAGACTGAAACATGATGGAGAACTCCAGGAAGAACATAAACTGATTCTTCTTGATCATGTGGAAAATTACATTAGAAGGCTTTTGAAGGTGCAGAAAGAAAACAGTGATGGGAGATTAAAAGCCAAATGAATAAGGTAATTTTTAACTCTAAAGAAAACAATAATAGAAAAAAATCAGAATTTATTATACAGCCCGTATGTACAATGTCCACTCCTGCGTGAGTTTCCTATGGCTGCTGTAACAAATTACTGCAAATTCGGTGGCTTAAAACACCATTAATTTTTTTCTCTTACAGTTAAAGTCAAAAAACAGTTTCACTGGGCTAAGGTGAAGTTGTCAGCTGGGCTGGTTCCTTCTAGAAGCTTTAAGGGGAGAATCCATTTTCTTGCCTTTCCTCGCTTCTGGAGGCCACCTGCATTTCTTGGCTTGTGACCCTTTCCTTGCAATCACTCCTATCTCTTGCTTCCTCCTTTGATTTTCTTGCCTCCCTTTTATAGCATCCTTGTGCTTACATATTTACAGCCTACCAGGATAACCTAGGATGATCTCCCTATCTCAAAAATCCTTGATTTACTCACATCTGCAAGTCCTTTTGCCATATAAGGTAACAGTCACAGGTTCCAGAGATTAGGACGCAGATTTCTTTCGGGGACCATTATCCAGTCTACTACAACTGTGAACACTGGCTTAAACAATCAACACAGTGTAACAACACCAAGAAAGCTGGGAGGAGCAGTAGGAAGAGCCTAGCGGACCTCAGTTCTTAGCTACCATTTCCATCTGTGGATTGCTTTTAAAAACAGCTGTATGAGCATGTAGTTTAGAAATATGAAAATAGGCCAGGCACGGTGGCTCATCCCTGTAATCCCAGCACTTTGGGAGGCCAAGGCAGGCAAACCACCTGAGGTCAGGGGTTTGAGATCAGCCTGGCCAACATAGTGAAACCATGTCTCTACTAAAAATACAAAAAATTAGCCAGGCATGGTGGCGCGCATCTGTAGTCCTAGCTACTTGGGAGGCTGAGGCAGGAGAATCACTTGAATCCAAGAGGTGGAGGCTGCAGTGAGCCAAGATGGTGCCACTCCAGCCTGGGCGACAGAACAAGATTTCATCTCAAAAAAAAAAAAAGAAAAAAAAGAAATATGAAAATAAACACCAGAAGAAATAGCTAAAAGAGTTTGGGAAAGTGGATCAAGATGAGGACAGGTGAGAGAAACAGAAAACTGTTCATTTGCCTTGTAAGTATTTTGAAATATGGACTTTTATTTAAAAACTATATACATGAGCTACATGGATAAAATAAAAATCAATCTAAAACAACATTAAACTTAGATAGCTGGTAAGGGAGGCCCTGATCTGAGATGAACAGGTGCCTCAAGGGTAAGGAAGCAAACAGAAAAATGGCAAAGATAAAAATTTAAGGGCAAATTACCAGCAAAAAACACACCTTTGCTAAGTATAGTAAGGTCTTAGACCGAGCCAAACTTGAAATTGAAATACAAATTTAAAGTAACAACTAGAGATGGCTAACGTGTTGCAGTATGATGCAATCTGCTCTTTTAAGAGCTAGTGCAAAACTCCCAAAGAGGTATTTTATTCATTTACAGAAGAAATGTTAACTGATGTGAGAACAGCACAATAGATCTATTTATTCTGTCAAAAATGCTGAGTAAAAAAATTAAGCTACTAGGTCTCCCTTACCCTTAAAGAGAGGCTATAAGCTGCCTTGCCACTCAAAGTATAGTCTGGGGACCACCAGCAGCAACACCAGCATCACTGGGAGCTGATCAGAAATGCAAAAATCACAGGATCCCCCACAAGACCTAAATGCACCATCATCATCTGTATTTTAACCAGATTCCCAGGACATTCACATGCACATAAAGCTAGAGAAGTGTTGATTATCAGGCCAATACAACTCTTTTAACAAAACAGCACACTTCTGAATAAGGAATTGAGGGGAATTAAGCATGTTCACTGGTATAATAACATTTGCTTTCCATTTCTATTCTCTTCAGACTTCTGGAGAATTTTCCAAGGGCTCTAAATATATTTGTCAGCCTACTTGAAACTCTGATAAAAGATTCAGATCATCATACAAACAAGTGAGTAGAAGAACGAGGAGAAAGAGAAAATATTTATAATGTAAAAAATATGCTATTTACAACGTTGCCCTAGGTAGCAAGGGGAGCCAATAGCAGGGTGTTTTAGAGCCTCCGTGTGCCTGACACCATCCCTTCAGATGTTCCCAAACTCCATCCCTCCCTGCTATGAGAAACTGACACCAATAGTGAAGGGTGCTTTGGACCCTCCTGCATGTTCTAGGTGCACCCCACCCCACCCAATTATATTACTCTTGAGGGAAGATGCAGAATATATAATTATAGGGAAGAATAAAACACTGGAGGAACTGGAGAAAAAAGGGAAAACAAGAGAGAAAAAAAGAAGCTTGAATTTCTGTTGTCACACATTATTTTTCGTTCATTGTTTCAGAGACAGGGTCATGCTACGTTGCCCAGACTGGAGTGCAGTGGTTGTTCACAGGCATGATCACTGTGCACAACAGCTTTGAACTCGTGGCTTCAAGTGCTCCTCTCACCTCAGCCTCCCAATTAACTGGGATTACATGCTTGCACCACCGTGCCCGGCTCAGCACAATAATTTTAAATTAGTCAAATTAATAGTCAAAGTGCCAGACCCTAAACTAATCCCAATTCTGATGAAGCTGGGAAACTAATCTCTCCCTAGTTTTACCAAATGCCTAACTCAACCAAGCTGAAATGTTAGTCATTAATGTAACGTATATTTATTGGAAGTGCCTAAAATGTGCCCAAAACCTCAAAAACTAGTTGATCTCAATTTGTGGACCGGAATAGGCTTTTATTCTTCTGCTATCAACTGTTAATTCTGTTAATTGGGTATCAGATAGAAAAATAACTACATCAATTAAATGTTCTGAGGCTTACTATGTGCCAAAACTAAGCATTCATGTATATTTAATCCTCTAAATAAAAAGACAAGTACTATTATTCCCATTTACAGATAAGAAAACTAAAACACAGCAATTCTCAAATGTTTGTTTCCTTACTCTCTGGTTTCCTTTGCTTGAACAAAAAAGAAAAAAGAAAAAGGAAAAAAATCCACTTCATTTAGGAAGTCTTTCCCATGTAATACAGACCCAAATTATTTCTTTGAGCTTCCCTCCAACATTCCTCCACTACAATGTATGATTCAGAAGGGGAAAAGGGCTGTGATACTACAAATAAATTTAAAAAAGCATCACCAAAGAAAACTAGACAAAGAACACAAAAAGGCTCCAACATTTGAACGTGCTCAAACAAATAACTGGAAAAGATTTTTCTGAATGGTGAATATTGTGCCAGGTATTGTCAAGAGGTCAGGAAATGGCCACTCCCATTCACTATTGGAGGAAGTGAAAAATCAACACCAACTTTCTATGGTGATTTGGCAATAAATACCATAAGCCATTAAAAAAAAAAAAAGGAAAAAAAAAATCACACCTTTCGACCCAGCAATCCCATTTCCAGATAATATATCCTAAAGCAATAAGATTCTCACAAGGATGTTCATCATGATCTTTACAATAGCAAACATTATAAACAATCTAAATGTCTAAATGAAATACATTAGAGATCCAATTAAATATCATACAGCCATTTATCTTCTCATATATGTTAACTGGAAAAAAACATAATACAAAACTGTACGTCTGATAACAGTTTTGAAAATACATATTTGCTGTGGAAAAAGAACTATATGCTGGAAAGATCTATGCCCAAATATTAACAGATATAATATAAAAATTGCGAGATTATACAGGCATACTTTTATTGTGCTTCATAGACACTGTGTTTTTTTTTTTTTTTTTTTGAGAGGGAGTCTTGCTCAGTCGCCCAGGCTGTAGTGCAGTGGTGTGATCTCGGCTCACTGCAACCTCCGCCTCCCGGGTTCAAATGATTCTCCTGCCTCAGCCTCCCGAGTAGCTGGGACTACAGGCGTACGCCACCACACCCAGCTAATTTTTGTATTTTTAGTAGAGGCGGGATTTCATCATGTTGGCCAAGATGGTCTAGATATCTTGACCTCGTGATCCGCCCGCCTCAGCCTCCCAAAGTGCTAGGATTACAGGGGTGAGCCACCACGCCTGGCCGAATGGCACCATTTTTCCAACATGTGCTAGCTTTGTGTCTCTGTGTCACACTTTGGTAATTCTTGCAAAACTTCAATTTTTCCATCATTATACCTGTTATGGTCATCTGTGACCAATGATCTTTGATATTACTATTGTAATTGTTTTGGAATGCCATGAAGCACCTCCATAAGACAGCAAATGTAATTCTTAAAAATGCTGCGTGTTCTGACTGCTCCACCTACTGGCAGTTCCCCTCTCTCTCTCCCTCCTTGGGCCTCCTGGAGACACAATACTGAAATTAGGACAATTACCCTATGGGCCTCTTAAGTGTTCAAGTGAAAGGAAGATAATTTAATTGATAAAGGTGACTACACTAAACAACAGATTTTCAAAGTCAACTAAACAGCTCTGTATTAACAGCCCTGTATTCAAAGAAGATACCACCTAGGACTCTCATAGCTGGAAAGGAGAAGCTGATGCCTGGCTTCAAAGCTTCAAAGAACAGGCTCTTTTGTTAGGGGCTAATGCAGCTGGGTGACTTTAAGTTGAGGCCAATGCTCATTGACCATTCTGAATTCTAGGGCCCAAATCTACTCTGCCTGTACTCTAGAAAAAAGCCTAGCTGAGAGCACATCTGTTTATAGCACTGTTTACTAAACATTTTAAGCCCACTGTTGAGACCTACTGCTTAGAAAAAAGACTCATTTCCAAATATTGCTGCTCATCCAAGAACTCTGATAGAGAGGGACAAGGAGATGTTGTTTACATGCCTGCTAACACAATATTCATTCTGTAGCCCATGGATCAAGGCGTGATTCTGACTTACAAGACAATTGTTAGCATTATTAAAGAAATATAGGCTGCGCATGGTGGCTCACTCCTGTAATCCCAGCACTTTGGGAGGCCAAGGTGAGTGGATCATTTGAGCCCATGAGCTCAAGCCCAGCCTGGACAACACATTGAAACCCCAACTCTACAAAAAGTAGAAATATGAGCCAGGTGTAGTGGCGCACACCTGAAGCCCCAACCACTTGGAAGGCTGAGGCAGGAGAATCACCTGAGCCCAGGAAGTCAAGGCTGCAGTGAGCCATGATCACACCACTGCACTGCAGCCTGGGCAACAGAGACCCTATCTCAAAAAAAGTATATATATATATATATTTTGTAAGGCTGTAACTGACATAGACAGTGATTCCGCTTAAAGATCTGGGCAAAGTCAACTGAAAACCTCCTGGAAAGAATTCAACATTCTAGATGCCATTAAGAACATCCATGATTCATGGGAGGATGTCAAAATATCAACATTGACAAGAGTCTGAAAGGAGCTGATTCCAGTACTCACGGATAACTCCGAGGGGCTCAAGACTTCCATGTAGGAAGTAACTGCAGAAGTAGTGGAAATAGCGAGAGAACTAGAATTAGAAGTGGAGCCTAAAGATGTATTGGTCCAATTTCATGATACCATCAATAGATGAGCAGTTTCTTTTTAAAGAAAATGGTTTCTTGAGATGGAATCTACTGCTGGTGATGACACTGTGAACATTGTTGAAATGAAACAAACAAAATTTAGAATATTATATAAACTTAGTTGATAAAGCAGCAGTAGGGTTAAAGAATTGTCTCCAATTTTGAAAGAAGTTCTACTGTGGATAAAATGCTATTAAAGAGCATTGCATGCTACAGAGAAATCTTTCATGAAAGAGTCAACTGATGCAGCAAATTTCATTTGGCACTTTTTAAGAAGTGCCACAGTCACTCCAACCTTCGGCAAACACCACACTGATCAGTCAACAGCCATCAACATCAAGATAAGATCCTCTACTGGCAAAAAATGTAAACTTGCCGAAGGCTCAGACTATTAACATTTTTTAGCAATAATGTACTTTTTAATTGTCATGTACACTGTTGTTTCAGACATTAACGCTATTATACACTTAACAGACTACTGCATAATGTAAACATAACTTTTATATGCTCTGGGAAACCAAAAATTTGTGACTCACCTTATTGCAATATTTGCTTTATTACAGTGATCTGGAACCAAAGCAGCAATATTTCTGACGTATGCCTATATTTGATTTTATTTTTTCATTTACATATAGTACATGGGCTGTGAAGTCAGAAGAACCAACAAGGTTCAACCCCTCACTCCCCCATTTTCCAACTACGTGACTTTGAGCAAGTTACTTTATCTAAGCCTTGATTTCCTCATCTATAAAATGAAAGTAATAATTTATCCTCAGAGTGAGAGGATTAAACGAGATAATGCATATAAAGCACTTATAGACAGCTCAGTCTCTTGAGCACTTATTTTTTAAATTTCTCAGACATTTATAATCAAAGTTGTTTTTCCTTTAACAAACAAAAATTCTTAAAGATTAAAAGAATTCTGCATAGCAAGAATTTAACAAAGCTTTATTCCAATCAACCTGAGCAGTATACAAATTATGACATTTTGGCATTTTAAGGAATATTAACAAAACTCCCAAGAAATTAGGTCGAGAATTAGACATGGTGGACAAGTGACCAAAAAGGCCTACGTGTTTACTGAACACTTAAGAACACACATTATGTCTTTAGGATCTAGCCTATTCTATAATGTGTAGTACAGTCTTAATTAAATAAATCACCAAAATGAACCGATCACTTTACACACTGCCAGGAACAATCAGATTCAAGTGGAGAAAGAAGACTTAAGGTCTACAATCCGAAGACTCCAGTATCTGTGAACCCAAACTGTTATTTTTAAAGACTTGTATATCTTAGATATTATAGATTTTACTTAGCTTTGTTTAGAGTCCACTAATTACACATCTAGATGTAAATTCCAAATGTGTACAACCTTCTCAGCAACTCTCCATATAGAAATCTGTATGGTTTTAATCTACTGGTTAAAAGAAAATGCTAATTTCTCAGGCAACTCATCAGATCCTCTTTAAGGCAGGGCCTATAGACCTTGCTTAATAATTCATGGATTCCTAGAATACATTTTCCTACTTTCAAGTCCAAAATGATAAAGATGCGCTGTTAAAAACATTGCAAATACAAAATAAAATACTTCTGGAATGATATATAAGAAACCTGTGATGGCATCTCTGGTGAGAGGACGAAGAAACTGGGAGAAAGAAGAGAGAAGCATACATTTGCTGTATTCCTCTTGATTTACCATTCTATATATGTATTAATTTTTTCTGTCACCCAAGCTGGTGTGTAGTGGCACGATCATGGCTTACTGCAACCTCGAACTCCTGGGCTCAAGCAATCCTCCTGCCTTGGCCTCTTGAGTAGCTGGGACTACAGGCATGCATCATCTAATAAAGCCCAACCTTTATTAGATTTTTTTAACCTAGTTACTAAAACATAAAAATCTTTACCTATATTTGGTTTGTAAAACAGACGTACAAACTAGATTTGATTAATACAGTGGGAAAAGTTAGATGTAAATGTAGTCTGTGTATGACTCAGAAGTACAGTGCTGTAAAATGTTTTTCTTTTGTAAATGCAGTTTATTGGCTCTAGAAAACTTTTTTTTTTTTTTTTTTTCAGACAGAGTCTCGCTCTGTCACCCAGGCTGCAGTACAGTGGCGCGATCTTTGCTCACTGCAACATTTGCCTCCTGGGTTCAAGTATTTCTCGTGCCTCAGCCTTCTGAGCAGCTGGGATTACAGGCAAGCGCCACCAAGCCCAGCTAATTTTTGTACTTTTAGTAGAGACGGTGTTTCACCATGTTGGCCAGGCTGGTCTCGAACACCTGACCTCAAGCAATCCACCCACCTTGGCCTCCCAAAGTGCTGGGATTACAGATGTGAGTCACCACGTCCAGTCTAGAAACTCATTTTTTTTTTTGAGATGGAGTCTTGCTCTGTCACCCAGGCTGGAAGGCAGTGACACGATCTCGGCTCACTGCAACCTCTAACTCCTGGGTTCAAGCGATTCTCCTGTCTCAGCCTCCTGAGTGGCTGGGATTACAGGCACGTGCCACCATGCCCAGCTAATTTTTGTAATTCTGTATGGTAGCTTGTAGGCTACCATAAACATTCACCTAGAGAAGTCTCTAAAAATACTAATTGGAAAATTCCAACTCACGACCATTTGAAAGCAGTAAAAGACAAATTTATGGTCTTAGACCTGCAATATGGGATTTTTTAAAATTTAACTCCAAGAAACAAGTAAATATTTGTACTACATCCCCATCTCAATATCAAGCAGCATAAAATCAACTTAGAAAAGGGAAAGTAATTTACTACTCAGACTCTAGTATCATCTGTAAAATTTTTACATGGCATTAGAGAAGGTTTTCACAGTACCATACGTAGGGTGTAATACCAAATGCCAAGTGCTATGGGAAATGTTTATTTCAATAAAATGGACCTCCATGTACCTAAAATGAAGGAATAATGTCTTCTATCTCCTTCACATTCTCCACAGTGCTGGGAACTCAACAGATACCTGTTGACTTGTGGCTGTGTCTCACCTTAGCTCTGCCCCCTCCCCATAAAAATCAGAGATGTAGACTCAATCAAACAGGAGTTTTAAAAATAAAACTACACCAATCTCTAAATCCTTTAAACTGACACTTTCATGTTCTACCTAGACTACTCAAATTAATTACAGAAAGTACCTACCTGGTTCCTTCCCACCGAACCCCATATATATAAAAAGACTAGGAGCTCGAGAGTTAAAACATGAAAGCAACCAAAATGCCCATCAAAGAATGAATGAATAAACAAAAGGGATATATACACACAATGGTCTATTATTCAGCCTTAAAAAGGAAGGAAATCCTGTCACATACTACAACAGGGATGAACCCTGAAGACATTATGAAATAAGCCAGTCACAAAAAGACTGTATGATTCCACTTGGAGGAGGAATCTAAAGCAGTCAAATTTACAGAAACAGAAAGTAGAATGGTAGCTGCCAAGAGCTGAGGGGAGGGGAAGAAGGGAGTTATTTAACGGGTATAGAGTTTCAGTTTTGCAAGACGAAAAAGTTCTGAGGATCTGTTTCACAATATGAATAGAGTTAACACTACTGAACAGTGTATTTGAAAATGGTTAAGATGGTAAATTTAATGTTATATGTTTTCTATAATATGCATAAAAACATTAGGTAGCTAAAAATTTTCATTAAAAATTGGTTCTGTTGCTAGAAAAAAAAATAATGCTCATTTTATGTCAAGGAGAAGAAAGACAGAACAAGCAATGCCTTTGCTACTACCAATTCCTTTAACAAACATTTTTGCATGTTGCATGCCTTGATAAGAAATTTGGTCAGAACTATTTATTGCCTACAATAGCCTGTTTCTCTTGAATTAGAGCCTTCCCACTCTATTAGCCAAAAGGAAAGATTCCTCTTTTGTTCCCTTAGAAAGTCATCCACCCTTAAGAATCTTACCTTGTGGTAAGCAGGAAAAAACAGACACGCAGGGTAACACCAAAAAGGTACTATTTCTACTTTCATACAGAGCAGACAGACCTACAATGAGCCTGCAATGGCAGGTTTGAAAAGTAACACTGCTCCAGATCTAACCATGTTCTTCTGGATCTTTAGAAAATTTTTAAAATTTTGCCCCCAATCCCTTTTACCTACTCTGATTTCTCTCTTAATACAAGCTACTGAAAAACTTAAATTTCCTTCTGATTAAAGTATAAAATAAGCAACTGGTTCAAAATCCAATATATCCTTCTAATGTTTTTACCCATGAGAGACAGTTTTTAATAAAGGAAAAAAAAAAAAGATGGGAACACACTAAATCTGTCAAGTCTGGTATTTTACAGATGATTAATCCCTCCCATATTATCTCAGGAAAAAGTAATAAGAGGACCGGTAAGAAAAAATACCCTCCTAAATAGTCTAAACACCATTATTACCACACAAATATCCTTGATTCTTCCAAATTTAGAATCCAGCACAGAAGTTTCAGTAAGTGTGTAAACACAGGCATAACTCAAGATTAGAGCAGAAGTTCTTAAACCAGATCACCGGTCCACAGACCCTGTGAACTGGAAAAAGAGAGATCATTCGAAGATTCTAGAAGAGAAAACTCCATCTGGTATTTGAACATACAGAGAGGATTTAACCAATAGAAACTAAAAGCTACAAGAGCGTAACTCCCGGCAATGTGGTATATAGAAGTATTCAACGACTTGCCAAGGATTCCACATATGCCAAGAGCAAAGATCTAGATGATATTGTAATCAACTACTGCCAAAATTAACTAAAAACATTCATATTCATTTTTAAAAATTAGCGGAGTTTTTTTTTAAATTACATTCAGTGTTTAAACCTGGACAGAAAACTGCTGAAGTCTACAAACTTTGGCATTCAAGAGTAGAAAACAGCCACAAAAATACTGAAAATATTAAGCAATAGTTGATACTACATCCTTAGAATGGGAAATTTAACTATTTAAAATATAATTATGTTGTTCACTTCAGGATTTTCAGAAAAACATTGTTCCCTCTCTCTCTTCCCTTCAGTAGTTAAGTTGGGAAAGTTAGCAAGCCAATTTTATGCCTTCTTTCCTAGAACAGACAACACATCACCAAACTGCTACAAGTTGGGCTCAAAATAAAACACAATGTCAAGGTCACCAACTCACTTCTAATGACGAGGCAGGCAACCTAGGAGTGGCACTAAATTAGGCTGTGAGAATTTCAGTGTTCCTGATAGTTGGACCTGAGCAGACATTGTGGGGAAAACCGTAAAAAATTATTTTATTCTGGCAAATATGTTACTGGTATTTAATCTCTGTAAGGGAGAGGTAAGTTTAAAAATAGATACTTTAACGTCCTGAAGGTATTCTTCCTTCACCAAGATCACCAGCTGAAGGAGCTTAAGGCAGATCTAATTTGGTATCTAAAAGAACAGGGAGGGAGGAGACTGAAACAATTTCAAGTCACAGAAACTACTTTCGTAGGCAATTTTTTAAGACATTCATCCACAAAAGCAGTACACTATTCTGATCACTTACCTTGTGGTTCATGAGACTTGTAAAGCATTATTACTAAAATGAAATCTATGAACAGACTAAACCAACAACTCAAATTTTCTGAATGACAGGATCCCCTTAACTCTTAAAATCTTAGACCATCAAAGACCTTTTAAACTTTAAAATATTTCTTCATTGTAAAATAGTAATAAACCTCACACATTAACAAAAATGTTATGAAAAATGACTACATCCCCCTCCCCACCAACAAAATTAATGACATTGCTTTACACTGCTGCAAATCTCTTTAATTTAATCTGGCCTAACAGAATGAAGATTCTCTTAATTGCTTCTGTATTCAATGTACTGCACCACAATATATTCTGTCAGTTAAATATATGAAGAAAATCCAGCCTCACTCAGATATGTAGTTAGAAAGGGAGGAATATTTTAATAGGTGTTTCAGGTAGTTATGGATATACCTTTGATACTACACCAAAATTCCACAGTGGTGGATTCTTGAAGGTTTGTGGAATCTCAAAACATATCGGTAGTCTGTCACATTAAAATTCAATGCTCTAGCACGCACTTTTACTGATGTATGACTGTTTAACATCACATGCATCGGTCACCCGTAAAAGACTGATTTACTGAGTTATACAGATCTTCCAAATGTTAACACATTACATAGTATCAAAAAATCACATTCGTTAATATGACTACTGATTTTATTTGAAAAAATATTTTAAGTATTGGGAGGCTGTCAAGCTCACAATGGCAGAGACGTGTTTTCCAAAATTCTAATTTTTGCTTGAAAGCTCAAATTTCATCATGGGCAACAAACACTGTACACTGAAGTATCAGTTTCACTGTTCTTTTGAGAAAATGTCCACCAAATATCCAAGTCTGAATAACTATAGTTCATCAGTTACTTCAAATAAAAGTGATGTTCCATGAAAACTGCAGTTGAAACTCAAAACAGCTGCACCAATGCTGTTCCTCCAGACAACCACTTTACCCCCTTGCAGAAGTTCTTTCTCTAGGTATACCTTCCATTCTGTCATGCAGAACGTTTAATAGACATGTGTTCAAGTAGAAATTTAATCAAATTAAGTTTTCACTGCTTCAAGGACATTCTTAAAACTGATGGTTTTTTAAACTGCTAGTACATGGTAATGAAGATTACCTCTACAGGTACTCTTTTGTGCTACTGTCTTGATCTCATGCTAAGATGGCTTCTGCAGCACTGCTGCAAAGTCAATGTATTGAAAAAGGCAAGTATCACCTGAGTACTACTGTGAAAATAGTTTTTACTTCACAGACATTTGGAATGAGTTCAGGGGTTGCCAGACGACATTTAGAGAACCACTGGACTAAATGATATCAATTTTGATGGCAGCTACGGACTCCGACCAGAGAAATGCACATATGTACAATCACACACAATTTCACACACATCATCAGAGGGTTCACAAAGCCCTTATAACCCATCTATATATAGCACATCTCAGCTAACGAACGCCATCAGCAGACCAGCCTGGGCAACATGGTGAGATCTGTCTCTACAAAAAAAAATTTTTAAAAACTAGCCGGGCGTGGTGGCCTGTGCCTGTAGTCCCAGCTACTCAGGAGGCTGGGGCAGGAGGATCGCTTGAGCCTGGGAGGTTGAGGCTGCAGTGAGCCATGATCACGCCATTGCACTCCAGCCAGGATGACAGAGCAAGACCCCGTCTCAAAAAAAAAAAACAAAAAAAAGAAAAAGGAAAAAAAAAAGAATGGCATTAGCTGAAAATTCAACAAATCTCCAAATTATATTTAATTACTTCAAAATAAAAAGTATCTACTAGGCATTACAAATAAACCTTGTTATAAACAGGAGTTGCAGTTCAACATCAAACGCCTTCACCTGAACTAAAAGGAGATTAAGTTTTGAAATAAAATTATATTAGGAAAAGTGAAAGGTCTAAGGTAAGAATCCCAGCTTCACCACCTGCTCAAGATTATACAGTTAATTAACTTTCCCACCAGTATCTACTTATTTCACAGGGTATTTGTGAAGAACAGTAAATAAATAGATGTAAAGGACCTAAAACAATGCCTGATACATAGTTAAGCACTCAAAAAATGTAGGTACTCAAGATGGCCATGCCATGCCTTCCTTACAATGACTATATAGCAGTTTATTTATAGAAAATCTAATTTGCACCTAGGCTTTTTCTTTTCTTTTCTTTTTTGAGATGGAGTCTTGCTCTGTTGCCCAGGCTGGAGTGCAGTGGCACGATCTCGGCTCACTGCAACCTCCACCTCCCAGGTTCAAGCAATTCTTCTGCCTCAGCCTGAGTAGCTGGGACAACAGGCGCGCACCACCACACCCGGCTAATTTTTGTATTTTTAGTAGAGACAGTGTTTCACCATATTGGCCAGGCTGGTCTCAAACTCCTGACCTCGTGATCTGCCTGCCTCCGTCTCCCAAAGTGCTGGGATTACAGGCGTGAGCCACCGCGCCCCGCCAGCTTTTACTTTTCTTTCTGTCTGCTGAGGAAGCACCTTATGGATACTTGATTACTTAATTACAAATTCCATCATCACCTTAAAGGGCAACGAGATTACAGTTGAGGATATTAACTAAAATTTTTTAGCTATTTCCAATCCTTCAGTTTTCCTATTTAACAGCATTAAGAAACGTACCTTTCTTCCTACAATCAACTTTAAGATAAACTAGGCAAACACTTATATGCAAATACGTAACATACTGTAACCTCTTCACTGATTTAATACATTTTTGCTTCAACCTCTCATCATTCTGCTTATTCCACAATTTTCAAGAACTTGATTTTAATATTTTGTTCACTATTACAGAGTACTAAGAAACACCTAAGGCTAATTTTTGTTTTATTTTAATAACATGACAAAATGTCAGCAATATGTTTTCAATGGCCATTCTCTCTCATAATTTTTTGTCAAATGAATGTGAAAAAACTTAGTATTTTAAAACAAAGCAAGAAAACTATTTGATGCTAAACAGATACTATCATTCATGGTATTTAATGGGTAAACTTACACTACTACTTTAAGTGACTGTACTGAGTGAGGTCTACTAGACTTCAGTAGTAATGCTAGTGTTAAGAAAAAGAAGTGTCACATGTCATACAAGGTAAGGATATTAAATAAGACCTTTACCATAGGTCATTAGGTTTCGGAATACAGCTAATGTGCCACTATTTTTAAATCCACAAAACAACAGGGTTCTACTTTTTCTACTAACTTACCTTACTGCCTAAATCTAACATGCATACTACTCTAAGAAACACAGAAGACGGCCTGGGCAACACAGCAAGACCTTGTCTCTAACAAAAAAAAAAAAAAGAGATGCAGAAGAGAAATGATTTTAAATTGTTTACATTATAGCATTAAACATATGGAATGGACTAAAACCATTAAATTGTGTGAGATATCATAATATGGACTGTTTTTCAAATTTTTACTTATGTCCTTATTTGGGGCATATTTTAGCCTCTACCATTTAAAAAATATTTTTTCAAGACCCAGTCCACAAGGCTAAATCCTACCAAAAGTAAACAGAAAGCAAAGAGTTGAAAACACACAATGTACTTGGATCCAAGTTTCATAAAATAAGACTTTATAAGATAATATCCTAAAATAATTTCCTGTGAAAGTTTAAGACTATCAAATATGCAGATGAGGTTCATTATTAAATATTTAATAACATCTGATATTTTAAGATTACTAAACAATGAAAAATCTACATTAAAATAATTAAAATAACTATCTTGAATGGTTAAGTTGTTCCTTTTTTTTTTTTGAAACAGAGTCTTACTCTATTGTCCAGGCTGGAGACCAGTGGCACAATCACAGCCTAACTGTAGCAGACCTCTCAGGCTCAAGTCTCAGCCTCCTTAGTAGCTGGGACTACAGTTGCACACTGCCATGCCCTGCTAATATTTTTAATTTTTGTAGAGAAAAGGTCTCACTATGTTGTCCAGGCTGGTCTCAGACTCCTGGATTCAAGAGATCCTCTCGCCTGGCCTCCCAAAGTGCTGGGATTACAGGCGTGAGCCACTGCACCTGGCCTGTTCTATTATTTTGACCAATTATTACACACTTCAGATTATCCACATGTATTTGAATTTTTAATAATTTATTTCCACAAGTAAAATTTAAACACATTATCAAAATCATTAGAAAAAATTTCTTACTGTTCGACTTTAAGAAATGAACTTGGCTTTCTATTTTGTTAAATTCAGATTTTAAAAACAAGTATTACATTATTAAATAACAAAAGGATGGGAAAGGGTCCAGTGATGGAACCATACATGGGGCAACACTGGCCATTGACAACGCCGGGTGACAGGGGTTCATTATACTATTCCACATACTTTCTGTAATGTTCCAGATTGATTACGTTTTTTAAAAAACCAAATAGTCAAATTAACAAACAAGCAATTACTGTATTACCTTGAGGATGAAATAAACACTGCAGAGCACTACTGGTTCAGCAGAGAATGTGTGCGTGGTCATAACAATTTAAGCACTGACGTCCAATTTAATCATAGTGTGTGATGTAACATCGGGGCACAATGGGGACAGAAATGGGGGTGATAATGTGAATAGCTTAGTTATCATCTACTAGAGGAGCAAGTCAGCTGGAAATACTAAAATTGACAAGATATAGAAATACCATTTTATTCCCAAAAAGGAAATGAAGCACCAAGGAACCCAGCGGAAGAGTTGAACAACTGCTCTTAGGAGATGGACTAGGGATTAAGGAGTGGGGAGGTAGGGGACTGCCATTTTTCATCCTAAACCCTTTAATACATTATTAGATTTCCAAAAACTTCTTACTGTAAAATGTAACAGATAAAGAAAACCAAAAATTGAAACAAAAATGTCCAGGTTACTCTTTACAAACATCTGTACAACCACCATCCCAGTCAAGATAGCCCACAAGGGCCTCCCCAGCCCTTCCCGATCACAACTCCTTTCCAACAGCTTAAGGGTAGCCACTATACTGACTTTTATAGTACTTTTTACAGTATGTTTTTTTCCTTTTACTTCATAGCTTTTCTTCATAGTTTTACCAGCTGCATATGTGCCTCTAAACCTATAGCTTAATTTTGAATGTATTTTGTAATTTACTAGTGGAATCAAAGAGTATGTATAACACACATATATGCTATTTCCTTCACTTTGAGAAATTTTTAGTAGGCTTTAAAGACAAATCCTCAATATACTCATACTCCAAAGACTCTTCCTTCAAAGTAACAATAATATGAAGGTTCAAGTAATAATATCTAAATCCTCATAAGGCTCTTTTCTGCTGGGTACTGTTCTGTTTTATGTGTATAAACTCATTTAATCATCAAAACAACACTGTAAGACAGGTTTTATTGTTATCCTCATTTTATAGAGGGGAGCTAGGCACAAAGAGATGACCACAGAAATGATAAATGACTGAGCAAGATTCAAACCATGTAGCCTAGCACCTGAGTCTGTGCTCTTAACCTACTGTCTCATGACAGACAGTTTTCAATAAAAGAAAAATTAAAAATGTAAAATATATTACTAGCAATAATTTATTTTTTATTTAAGGCCTCTAGAGAGTACGGTATCTCAAACAATCTAGCTTACCAGTAGTATTAATTACCAGTAGTAATAATTTTGTGGCCGGTGGCTCACACCTGTAATCTCAGCACTTTGGGAGGCCGAGGCAGGTGGATCACTTGAGGTCAGGAGTTCAAAACAAGCCTGGCCAACATGGCAAAACCATCTCTAATAAAAATACAAAAATGAGCCGGACATGGCGGGGTGCACCTGTAGTCCCAGCTTCTCAAGAGGCTGAGGCAGGAGAATCACTTGAACCCGGGAGGCTGAGGATGCAGTGAGTCGAGATCGTGCCACTGCACTCCAGCCTAACAGAGTGAGACTCTGTCTCACACACACACACACACCAAAAGAATTTGGGCTGTTTTTACATGCCTTTGGAAATTAACAAGATTAAAGTACAAGGAAGAGCAGAAATCACCTAATCCACTCTTGTTATTCCATTGCTAAACACACAGGAACCCAGGAGAGTACTTATCCCCAGTGACATACACTAGTTTGTGCTGGAGCTAGGGTAAAAACCCAAGGTCTCCTGATTTCTTTGCATTATACGGTTGTATAACATCAATCTGGTTATAAAAAGCCTACCGATGATTCTGCAGAAAGCGTTTTAAATTTTTATTTTAAAAAGCCTACCAAGTAAATAAATCCATGACTGCTAGAACTACATCTCAATCATCCTGCCTTTTACCATTTCTCTTCCCCTTTCAAAACCTAAGAACAATAACATTTACGTTCCTTCATTCAAACAAATATTCAACTACTGTGTGCCAGGCACTGTTCTAGACAGAGCAGCTTCATGCCTGCATAAGGTACGAAGATAAATCAGTCCTACACTAAACTCTGTAGTATGTAACAGTAGAGATGTGGGGTACCATATGATATCTACGTAACAAAGTGCTATAAAGGAAGACTTTAAAAATAGGTTATTTCCAAAAGAGGAAATTAGCAAAAAGGTTAAAGGCGTGACTTGAGAGATGAGCAGGATCCTGGTAAGAGAACTGTGGGATGATTGTCAGGCATTCCAAGGTGGAAGCAGCAAAAACAAAGACCCTAAAGTGAGAGAGCATAGAACGCCTTTTAAGAACAGTATCTGTTTAGCTGGGTCATTAGCCATAGCAGCAAATAAACTGAGAGCAGAGGCCATATTGGGCAAAGGTCATACATTCTAGACTGAGATGTTTGAACTTAATTCCTAATCCAGTGGATACAGTGATCCACTTGTAGACTTATGAGGAAAATGACAAAACTGGGACTGCATTTAAGATTAACTTTGAAGCAAAACAGGACGAAGAAGCAGGGAATAATTTAGGAACTTACTGCAATCTGGATGAGGGAGAGTGCAAACCTGAATAGAGGTGAAAGCAGGTATGCAAAGAAGATTAAGGCATTACAGAGTAAAAATGGTATGCCCTGGCAGCTGACTGCATGTAGACGGGAGAAAGGCAGGCAATATGGAGACAATCAAAATGTATCATTAACAGAAAACAGGCAAGTAAAAGTTGAGCTACATGTAACCTGTTGAAGAGATCAGTCTAAAGGTAGGGGGGTGGGGAATGTGTTAATAACCTTATTTTACTTCAGAAAAGCAAATCTCCCCTTAGTCAAATAAGCAAGACTATAATATGCAAACTCTAGTATGCAGAAATATCCAAATTAAAGCAGTGTCATTTGAAAACTGGATTATTTTTATACTTAATACATTTGTACAGCAATACCTATTAGAACTAGTCATATTTTTACTAAGATATGTTATCTTACTAAAATGTATATACCAAGTATCAGCATTTTACGATGCTAAGAATATGCTTACGTTAAAATATTTAACAACCTCTAAAGAAAATTATTTAACCAATCAGTAGAAAAATGCAGCTACTAAGTATCAGCAAAGGGGAACTATAACTGATTTATCTCCTAACTTCACGTCAATAGGTTCTTGAAAACTTTGACTTTGTTTTCTGCTCAGCATCTTTTGTTATGGTATGGATAAAAAATGGTTTTGTTATAAGTTGCTTTCTTTGCTTAAAGTCACAGAACCTATTGACATTACATTATTGACAGAACCTATACATTAAGGGAGGACTTAATGTATATCACAAGTTATTTGGTTCAGGTAGGTAAATGATGTTCACTTTGAACTATCAATTTCTTCTGATTAAATAAAAGCCATGTGATCTTTCTGCGTAATGTTTAACAAGCAAACTATGAGCTCCTTGTGGGCAGAGTTTATGTTCCAGACACCAAGTACCCTCAGTGCTCAGCATTTAGGGGAACTTTCCTAAGGGAATAAATGGAATTCAACCAAAGAACATTTTCCAAGTATACAGCACTTTCATAACTTGGTGAGTATTACACAACTGCACAGAACTAATGATCCAATACTGGAGTGTTTACTATTCAACAGGTAATGTAGTTACAACATGAGTAATACACAACTCCTCCCTTGAAGTCAGGACTTACTTCTCTGAACAAGTCAAACACCACTGACTTCATCAGAAAACCTTGATTTACACTATGTGCATGACCATCAGTCAGTCTCTTTTGTTTCTGGTTTCTCATCTAAGAAACAGATGAGGATCCAATAGAAAAGGAACGTGAGAGAGCTCTGCAAAATATGACAAGTATAATCTACACCAGTTGGCTTGCCATAGGATTCACCACACTCTAAAACAGACAATTAAGGATGACACTGACACAAGCAAATAAGAGAGTTCGGCTACCACCCACCACCTGAAAAAAAATCTCCAGAACAAACAGTACCCTACAGACAGGTCAGAAATATGAGGACAACACAATCTAGGGAAAAAAGGTTTATGAATTTTCACCAAATTTTTAAAACTCACAAGTACATGTTTAAATTTATCTGAGTTTTGTTTGGAAAATTCCTACTGTAATTCAAGACACACAATACCATTAAAACTCAAACTTCAACATTTCTCAGGAATGAAACAATGCAACAACTTTGTGGAAAATGCCTCCGCTGCCTAAGACCATCTCAAATGAATGCAAAACCTTGAAGTTTCAAAACTTAAACTTCTGAAACACGTTAGAAAATAAATTTGGGGAGAAAATTAGACGTAAGTACTTCAACTGATCAAACACAGTTTCTACCTGCACAAGAATATACGATTCCTAAAAGACAAGCGATATATGCATAGCATTGTTACTGTCTTATCCACCTAAATACCAGAAAGACAACAAAATGAATAATCTGAGCTATCATCTCTTCACAGAATATGCCAAGCAGCATCACACTCCCAAAGTGGACAAATTCAAAAGTAGTTAAAAAATCTTCCCATAAAAATCAAAGATGCCGTTAAGAATGTTTCTGAGCCAAATGTTGATGGCACCTATTTCAATTTACTTATCTAAAACCAATGTACAAACATAAAAATGCATCACCATTTATTTGTATGTGGAATTTACATAACAAAGAAACCCTTATATGGAGCTCAGAGCTTTCATGTGAGGATCTTATATGTCTCATCATCTACCGCTCCTTCCATGTAAATTCAGAGGAAAAAATAATAAAAACAAGGCGTAAATAACAAATGAAATTTAAGGCTGTTTTTCAGAAAGGTATCTTTTAAAACTGTTCTTACATTTCTTGGACAACAAAATCATCTTGAATTTATAGCAGTCTCGGCTTCAAGGAAATCCTCCAGTAGGAAACATTTCTGCAAAAATTATATATCCAAATTTTGCATTAAACGCTTTCTTACCTTCTGCTACATCATCATCTACTGCTCCTTTCACCTGAGAAAAACACCACTGAATATCATTCCCTCCTCCAGCTCCTGGAAAAAGAAAACATACCAATTAAAACCGAGTTCTGCTTATGTTGACTCTCGTAAACACAAAGATGGTATCCATGGTTGGCATGATACTAACAGCCTAGTTCTGCCCACACATACAACTACCACCAAGAGCACCAGTTTGGAAAGAGGTTAGTCCCCAATACTTGGTACTGCATTAGAAAGAAAAAAAAGATTCCAGGTACGAAATATTTAAAGGCACATGTTCTGTGGTCATTAAACATCTGTTCACAAACTTCCTGTCAAATACAGTAAAAGCCTTACATTCAGGCAAGACCTACCAGAAAAAAAGTAAATACCAAGAGTTAAAGAGTTTTCTTAAGTGTACAAAAAGCCTGCAGAAGAGTTAATAAGGTTAAACTACCATGAAACATAGAACGAAGAGAAAACTTCGGGAACATTACTGCCTGGGTAAGGAGTAATGATTCATATGAACCTTATCACCAAAGTGCACACACAGCAAACACTACACCCATTTCTTTGCATTCATTACCAGCAAATCACTGGCTCCAGACAGAGAGGAAAAGAAACCGAAATGAATGCTGCTAAAGAGACTGTCAAAGGAAGCTTGTTCTGCCTCCCTTCACCTCATCCCTTGACTCCAAAGGACCTGGCAAAGAATTCATTTTGCTAATGTCATCTCGTGCAAAACAATTTTAATCTCATTTCATTTTTCAACAAGGCCAACAAGCAACTTGTTTATAGCAAACCGTAAGTCAATCCGACATGTTAACTTTTTCAAAAGGTTTAATTATCTAAATAATGAATACAGCACGGAAAACTGGTCTCATCTCGGAATGTTTCTATTTCACGTGCAAGTACTGAGGTCGAAATGATTGAAAATGTCCTGGGGCTCTAGGGAGAAAGAAACTGAATCTAAATCTGCAACTGATTCTACTACATGAAGGAAAAGATTTAGCAATACCAACATGTACAAAAAGAATTCTCAAAGCAATTACATTACTTCTCTCTCCCCCATCACCCCTATTCCTTGCTAAATTTATTTCCAAACTGGTTTTCTCTCTACATCCTTTCCCCTCCCCTTCAAAGCTTCTACCTAAATCTCTCTCCTCCTTGCTATTTATATCTCTGAACTCCGCAACTATTTTAACTAACTCTACCAAACCCTTTTGGGAAAAGGACATCTGCAAAAAAGCTAACATGCTAAACGCAAAGTTTAAATTATTTTCATGCAACTTGCTGTACATGAAAGGCCTTGCACTCTTCGGCGGTAAAAGGGAAGAAACGGAAACGAAATGGTTCGAAACAAAAAATTTAGGCTTCCAGTCTCAAAAATATTGGCATCTACAGTGGGGAAAAAATACACATATGCCCCCACTGTATTTTAACTTATAAGGCGCTCTTCCTTCTCGAGGCAAAATAAATGTGTATATACACCCAAGAAGGCTTGCAGCAGGGGGAAAAATAGAAATTAAATGAAGACCTGCAGGAAAAAAAAATAAAGGCGGGGGGCAAGGTGGGGAGGTGGGAGAAGATCCACCAGGCTCCCGAGCGGGAGGGACAAATCTGCACGCACCCCCACCCCGCCCCACCCACGCCTCACCCCAAGCTCGCCGGCACACCCCACCCCCACCCCCGCCACGGCGCCAGCCCCGTTCTCCAAGCCCAGTGACTCTCACCGTGACCACTTGCCTCCCGGGAGCCCTCCCCGCCCCCACCCCACCCCTCTGGACCCTACTCCCTCAAACCCGAGGGGCGCCCTGTGGCTCTGCGCGAGGCGCGGGCGGTCGCTAGGGGGTGATGGAGGGAGGAATAAGGAAGCGGTGCCTTGTCAGGGGGCGAGGGGGATTTCTCCTTTACCTGCCATGTTGCGCTGCAAATGGTGACCCTGCTGGGTTCCTCGGGGTCTCCGCTTCCTGAACTCACCCCCCTCACCTGGGGATGGGGGGGTAGAGAGGGCGGATGGCGGCGGATGGCACCTGCGGGGGGAGGGGACGGGGGCCGGGGGGAAAAGGAAGGAGGGGCGGGCAGACCAGCCGGCAGGATGCTAGATTTCACTCTGGGGCTTCCCCGCTCGTGCTCTTTCTCCGGCAGCGGCGGCGGCGACTACGACAGCGACGGCGGCGGCGGCAGCGGCAGGGGCAGGCGACTCCACTTTCAAAATGGCGCCGGCTGGCCTGGCCAGTGACGTCACCTAGGGGGCGGAGCCGCCGGGCTGGGGCGGAGAGCGGAGGGGGAGGGGCGGGGGAGCGGCCGGGCGGCTCTTGGCCACGCCCCCTTCCTGCTGCGCCTGTGCCCCGCCCTCCGTGTCCCGGCCGGCAGGGCCTGCGCCGCGCCAGCGTCTCGCCATGGCATACCCTCTGTCCGCACCGCCTGCGCCAGGCCGCGGCTGTGTGCACCTAGCAGTGTCCCAGCCTCGAGCACTAGCGCCGGGGCTCTGGGGCGGGCTTAGGAGTCCAGTTTACGTGCTCTCCTGCAAGGATTCATGGGGTCCTATGTCTTCTAGGAATACCTGGGCCGGGCACGGTGGCTCATGCCTGTAATCCCAGCACTTTGGGAGGCTGAGGCGGGCGGATCACAAGGTCAGGAGTTCGAGACCAGCCTGGCCAACATGGTGAAACCCCGTCTCTACTTAAAAATATACAAAAATTAGCCAGGCGTGGTGGTGTGCGCCTGTAATCCTAGCTACTTGGGAGGCTGAGGTGTGAGAATTGCTTGAACCCGGGAGGCAGAGGTTGCAGTGAGCCGAGATCGCACCACTGCACTCCAGCCTGGGTGACAGAGCAAGACTCCGTCTCAAAAACAAAAAACAAACAAACAAAAAACCCCGTACTGCTTCTTAGGAAATTGTCACTTTGGATTAGCCCTGAGACCACAAAGAAAGGGACAGCGGTGCAGACTTACTGCTCAGCCGGGGTGAAAGTTCACGGGGTTCAGAGGGACACGATTGGGCTGGTTCTATCTGGGTGAATTAAATTACCTTCTCGTGGGCCCCAGGATCCAAGGCGGGAGTCCTAGGCACTGCGGACACTAAGAGTGATTTCTAAGAGAAACCTGAGTTTGTGATGAGAGGGTATGGCCCAAGAAGTGACCCGGCGTCTCTCCAGCTAAACGTGTTGGACTGCGTGCTTAAGAGCTGGGCTCAGGGCCGGGCGCGGTGGCTCACGCCTGTAGTCCCAGCACTTTGGGAAGCCGAGGTGGGAGGATCGCTTGAGGCCAGGAGTTCCGAGTTCGGCCTGGAGAACATAGGGAGACCCATCTCTCCAAAAAAAATTTTTTTTTTTAAATTAGCCAGGTATGATGGCGTGCCTATAGTCCCAGCTACTAGAAGGCTGCAGTAGGAGGACTGCTTGAGCCCAGTAGGTCAAGGCTGCAGTGAGCTATGTGATCACATCACTGCACTCCAGCCTGGGAGACAGAATGCGATCCTGTCAAAACAAAAACAAAAACACAAAAAGTGCTGGGCTCTGAAGCCAGGCTGCCTAATATGATTCCAAGGCTCAGGAGATGAAGATGACAGTCCTACCTGATAGGATTGTTGGGGAGATGAAATGACTTAATTTGAGCACATGATAAATGTTAGCTGCCGTTATTATTAGATTTGTATTGAAAGCATCGTCAGTAAGGTTAAGAGGTAGAAGGAAAAAAATGAACAGGAAATGCCAGTCATCAGCTATGAGGGGATGTGCACTTCTGTTGAAAGATGCTCTAATGATGCAGTTGCTATATACAGCACACTTTACATATCCCATTCCATCTCCACGATACTCCTAGGAGATAGATATGCACATTTTACACGTGAAAAACACCTGTAAAAGCATCCAGAATTTGGCCTAAGGCTGAATGGAGTGATAAAGGCGTTTGGAAACCAAGAAGGGGGAGTTAAAGATATTTACACGTCCTCCCCACCATCTCCACTTTCTACCATATTTTTGATTTCCAGGACAGTTGAACTGTAATGCAACGTTCAAAATTCCTTCAAAGGAACAACTGCACCACTGCATGATCATTCCTCTGTTTCTGCATGAATATTTCCCACGTTACCAATGAATTAATCAAAACTAAAAATCCACCCTCTATGTGTCATCTTTTGGCTACCTGTACAACAGGTACAAAACTTCAGTGCACTGCGTGCTGTATTTTCTTCAATGCTGGTGTTTTTCATAAATGTATTTCTCTGGGTATGCCTTCATTTATTTTCCTTTTTGCTTGCTCTGCCCTTCTTTGGTGGTTCAATCCCAGACTCTCCAGGGAGAGCTCTCCATCTTAACCAGAACCCAGAAGGAAGGAGAGAGAGAGAAAGGAAGACAGAAAAAGAGAATATAGACTTTACATACCCTGAAAATGATTTGGTTTACATAAATGATTTGTTCTTAGAAGCCAATAAAGCTTGCCTAGAAACTGGGATAATTATAACAAAAATGTATATAGCACCGACTTTGTGCCAGGTGCTGTTTTAAGAACATTATTTGGAGCCTTGGGGGTACTGCATGCCTGTGGAATGGGCTGACTTGGGTCTGATAATCAAGGGCCAGTGCACCCTGGCACCCTGGTGTAAACGACCTGGCTCTTTTTGGGCCCTGGTCAGCCCTTTCAGAGGACCATAAGCCACCTCCCTTTCATCAGAATGGCCATTAGGAGGAGAGGCCAGAACACCCGCTAGCCCAGAGTCAAGGGTTGCTCTTGTCCATCTCACTTCCATATCTATCTTCCACTTAAAAAAACATTTTTGCCAGGCACGGTGGCTCACGCCTGTAATCCCAATACTTTGGGAGGCCAAGGCAGGTGGATCAGCTGAGGTTGGGAGTTCAAGACCAGCCTGACCAACATGGAGAAACTCCATCTCTACTAAAAATACAAGAAAAATAGCCTTGTGTGGTGGTGCGTGCCTGTAATCCCAGCTACTCGGGAGGCTGAGGCAGGAGAATCGCTTGAACCAGGGAGGCGGAGATTGTGGTGAGCCGATATCAAGCCATTGCACTCCAGCCTGGGCGACAAAAAGCAAAACTCCCTCTCAAAAACAAAAAAAAACAAAACTTTTTTTTCTTTTAAAGACAGAGTCTAGCTCTGTCACCCAGGCTGGAGTGCAGTGGCATGATCATATCTCACTGCAGCCTCAAACTCCTGGGCTCAAGTGATCCTCCTGCCTCTGTCTCCCTAGTAGCTGGGACTATAGGCATGTGCTTCCACACGTGGCTCTACCTTCCACTCTGTCCTCTGCCCTTACCACTGCACTTAAATAGCCTCTGTCAAGGTCATTAATGATCTGTATGTTGCTACAGTGGTCACTTCTCTGTTTTAATTTTTCTGTATTTCCCAGCAGCATTTGAAACCATCCATCAATCCCTCTTTTTTGAGACTCTTTTTTTCCCCTTGACACTTTATTTGTCACCCCCCCTAACCTATCCACCTGTCTAGCCATTCCTTGTAGTTTCTTTTGCTGGCTCCTTCTCCTAGACTACCCTCTAAATATTAGAGTGGTGGCCAGGAGTAGTAGCTCACACCTGTAATCCCAACACTTTGGGAATCTGAGTTGGGAGGATCACTTGAGCCCAGGATTTTGAGACTAGCCAGGGCAACAAAAGGAGACCTTGTCTCTACAAAAAAATACAAAAAAATTAGTCAGGTGTGGTGGCACGTGACTGTAGTCCCAGCTACCTGGGTTACCTGAGCCCAGGAGGTCGAGGCTGCAGTGAGCCATCATCACACCACTGCACTCCAGCCTGGGTGGCAGAACAAGATCTTGTCTCTAAATAAATAAATAAATATTACGGTGATCTGTCTCCCCAGCCTCCGTACTGGGGTCCCTTGTGTAACTACACATTCTTCGAGCAACCTCATTTAGTCTTAAGTAAATATCATGTAATACCATGTATATACCAGGGACTGCTAAATTTAGATCTCCAGCTATGCCCTCACCCTGGAACTGTAGACACACACCTCTGCATGCCTATGTGACATTTCTAGATGCCCATTTAGCATTTCAAACATAGTGCTGCCAGGCACAAGTCTTGATTCCACATCCCCTCCATACCATGGTTGATGCTGTCCCTTTCCTGAGCACTACCATCCACTCACCCCGCCACCCCCACCCCAGCACTCCCACACACCCTGCCAACCCCACCCCCAACACTCCCACACACCCCGCCACCCCCACCCCAGCACTCCCACACACCCCGCCACCCCCAGCCCAACACTCCCACGCACCCCGCCACCCCCACCCCAACACTCCCAGCAGCCGTCCTTCTTCCTCCTCAGCCAGTAAAACTACTGTTCTTTAAAAAACAATTCCAATGTTAACTTCCTCCAGGAAGGCTTCTCTGACATTGTTCCCCATTTCCTACCCACCTTAAGCTGGGCTGGGCACCCTTACTCAATATTCTTGTAAAATCCAGTTCACTTCTGTCTTTCTAGACCACACTCAAATTATCTAAATATTTGTCTGTTACTACACTGAGTTCTTTGAGGGTAGGAAGTATGCCATTCATTGCCATATCATCAGCCACATAATTTGTGGGATTAATGCATGAATGAATAAATCTCTCTGGCTTAAAGAAAACCACTGAAATGTTGACTCCTCAATGCTTGCCATATCATAAATGTTGTCACTCACCCTTAACTGTGGAAGAAAGACGTTTTACAATGATCTCAGTCATTCTGATCTACATTTGTCAGGCAACAGTTGTTTAAATATGTAAGTTGCTTATAGATAGATTCATCCCAGCTACTTCCACCTGGTCCTTTGTCTCCTGAATACATATTATCCAAGAGGATCCCGTAGGACACCATTCCCTCATCCAGATGCTATCATCCAAGTTTTCTTTAATGTGAGCCTTTAGCCAGAACTTCAACACCTGGCCACATATAAGATACACAAACTCATAGTTTCCTGCAGAACTGAGTTCAGCTTAGGCACAAACAGGGAGACAACTCCCTCTGGAGTTTCCTGGTGAGGTTGTAGACAGCCTGTTTGTCTTGGAAGTGTTCTGCTTTGGGTCTGAGCTGAAAGGTACTAAAGACACTCACAATCTCACCAGCAGGATGGAGCCAACAGGATTTAGCCATGGGTTACTGCAAGATGGCTTTTTAAAGTATACTGAATGACCAAAGAAGAAACATTTGAAAGTTACTCTTTTCCTCGATGAAGCATGTTTGGAGTTGAGAGGAACACAACCCACGCCCCCACCCCACCCCCACACACTAAATGAGAAGTGGCACTTTTCAGCTGCTTTTCTCCTCTAGGTGGTTAGACCAAGGGGTATCCAGGAAAGTCCATGAATTCAAGAGTAAGGGGAGAGGTCCCTGATTAAAAATGGTTACAGTTTAGAATTTTGACAAACCCACCATAGCTATGCCTTCTGACCTGAAGCAATTGCAAGGGCTTTACAGGGAAAGTTATAAGGACTTGTCAGTTTTTTATATACTTTTTTTTTTCGAGATGGAGTTTCACTCTGTTGCCCAGTGCAGCGGCGCAATCTTGGCTCACTGTAACCTCCATCTCTGGGGTTCAAGCGATTCTCCTGCCTCAGCCTCCTGAGTAGCGGGGATTACAGGCATGTGCCACCACACCTGGCTAATTTTTGTGTTTTTAGTAGAGATGGATTTCACCATGTTGGCCAGGCTGGTCTCGAACTTCTGGCCTCAAGTGATCCACCAGCCTCAGCCTCCCAAAGTGCTGGAACTACAGGCATGAGCCACCGTTCTCAGCCTACTTTTTTAATAGCTACACATTTGGCCTATAAGTCAGTTTCCCAAAACTCTGCAGAGTCTACACAATAAAGACAATTCATACCATGATATTCAAGGTATAGAACTGACTATAAAATAACTAAGATATCTTACACTAGAAGGATAAACCCAAAAATGATAGTGAATCTACCAGGTGGATTACTATGTAGTAGTCAAATGTTTGTAAGGCACATTGCTTGTGCCTTAGAAGCAGGATAAAAAATATAGATACAATATGAACGCAAGTATGTACAACAAACAAACACAATATATGCACAGCTGAAAGAGACAGGAAGGAAATGCACCAAGGTGTTCTCAGTAATGTCTCTGGACAGTGACACGATGGGTAATTTTTTCTCCTTTGACACTTGCGTTTCTCTAAATATTCTATAATTAACATATATTAAAGGGAAAGAATAAACTTAATTATGAAAATTCATTCTAATGCTGGTATTAGAGCTTGATAACATCTATGCTACCTATTTTCTACCTTAAAGTGAAAGTTGTAGTCCGTTATAACTGTATGCACAGATGTGACTTAATCCATGGTTTTAGCATAAAATAGAGAAACATTTTGTCTTTGTCTTTTAACAGTGTTCAGTGTTGCAATGAACATTCATACCATGACATTCAAGGTATTCATTTCCGTGCAATGTATAATGTAAGGCAGAATTACTTCATGATTACATTGCAATGTACATTGCGACAGTGTCATTTAACGAAGGAAACATTAGTAAGTTCATGCAATTACCTTCTGTTTGTAAATTGCAACCGAAAATGTTGTATTATACTTTTGTGGCAGGTACATCCTGTAAGGATATAACCTGAATATCTGGTATAAAATGCAAACTTTGTGAAATTAAACATTATCTCTAAAATGTATTTTCAGTGTTGCATATTGAACGATCATAAATGTCCTGTAATGTAAACTATTACATTACAGCCTATTTGTTTGAAGAATGAGTGTATGTCCATGCTGCAGATTTTTTGTTGTTGTTGAGACAGGATCTCACTGTGTCCCCCAGGCTGGAGTGCAGTGACACAATCATGGCTCACTGCAGCCTTGACCTTCCATGGCTCACTGCAGCCTTGAGCTTCCAAGGAAGCTCAAGAGATCCTTCTGCTAAGCCTCCCAAGTAGCTGGGACCAAAGGTGTGCACTACCACGCCCAGCTAATTTTTGTATTTTTCATAAATGTTGGGTTTTGCCATGTTGCCCAGACTGGACTCAAACTCCTGAGCTTATGCAATCCACCTGGATCCCAAAGTGCTGGAATTACAGGCATGAGCCACCACACCAGGCCCATGCTGCAGATTTTTTAGGTGGCATTTGAGGTTATTAGCCATGACACAAGTGTGTGTTTTATGCATGTATGACAGAAACACACAAGCTTAAGGTTGGGAGGAAGTTCAGGCATTAACTAACCCAGTTCTCATAATGGATACTTAAATTCCTTATGTAACATGTCCTTCAGTGCTCATTCAGCCTTGGCTTAAAATTTGCAAGTAGCTGAGAACTAAGACGCATTCTGTTTTTAGAGAGCTATGATCACGAAGTAATTCGGCCTTACACTGTACATTGTACAGAAATGAATACCTTGAATATCATGGTATGAATGTTCATTGCAACTTTAAACAGCAGACCCTGGCTGTCCCATCTGAGCCCTCTTCAATGAAGGTCATTTAGATCTTGGAACATAACTACATCTCACAAGTTTTCTCTTCTCTACAATAATCAATGAGCTTCTTCCAAGCTTCTTCATCTGCCCATCTTTAATCTCTGCATCTCATCTTGGGCGTACCCTCTACATATAGTGTACTTGTTCCAAATGCCTCAAATAGTGATGCCCAGAACTAAATATAATAATTCAGGCCTGACGATTATACACCTGAGTGAAACTGTTACCTGTTCTTTTCTACAAACCGGACTTCCTTGGATTTGACAATCACACAGACTGCACCTCCTTATATTGTGATCGAGCCTTTTCCCATGCACAGCTGTTAACACACATCTCTCTCTAATCTTTTTCCCAATAGGTCATTTTTTTTATTGATACATAGTCCCTAGAACATAGTAGGAACTTGGTAAATACTTGAACAAACACATATAAAGTTTTGTTATTCTGTATTATTTCCTTCATCATTGAGATTTTATTATTATTCAATATAAACAATTTGTACAGAATATCTAAAAAGCCATGTAATTGTAATTCTTTCTAGAGAATTAATGACTTCAGTTTAAAATTTAGTGCCAAAATGTTTTTTGAGAGAGGATTTCTGGCCGGGCATGGTGGCTCATGCCTGTAATTGTAGCCCTTTAGGAGGCCGAGGCAGGAGGATCACTTGAGCCCAGGAGTTCAAGACCAGTTTGGACAATATAGTGAGACCCCTGTCTTTATGATAAAATTTTAAAAATTATTATTTAAGGCCGGGTGCGGTGGCTTACAGCTGTAATCTCAGCACTTTGGGAGGCCGAGGCGGGTGGATCACCAGGTCAGGAGATCGAGACCGTCCTGGCCAACATGGTGAAACCCCATCTCTACTAAAAATACAAAAAAATTAGCCAGGTGTGATGGCAGGCGCCTGTAGTTCCAGCTACTGGAGAGGCTGAGGCAAGAGAATGGCATGAACTCAGGAGGTGGAGCTTGCAGTGAGCTGAGATCGCACCACTACACTCCAGCCTGGGTGACAGAGCAAGAGTCCATCTCAAAAAAAAAAAAAATTATTATTTAAAAAAAGAGGATTTCAAATATATAATCTTAAAATATTGATAAGTTGTTATATTTAAAGTCTCCTGAATTCACAATGTAGTATCCGTCTCACTGCATGCTCAAAACTACACTCAGTCAGGTGTGGTGGCACATGCCTGTAATCTCAGCAACTTGGGAAGCAGATGCAGGAGGATCTCTTGAGCCCAGGAATTCAAGACCGACCAGGACAATATAGGGAGACCTCATCTCTACAAAAATTTTTAAAAATGAATATGGTGGCATGTGCCTGTAGTCCCAGCTACTTGGGAAGCTGGGATGGAAGGATAGTTTGAGCCAGGGAGGTAAAGACTGTAGTAAGCTGTGATTGCATTTCTGCACTCCAGCCTAGACTACAGAGAAAGACTCTGTCTCAATTGATCAATCAATCAATTTGCACTCTTTCAGAGCACATTGACAAATTATTGGAAAAAAATATTGCCAAAAATGTTATGGGTAGTAGTACCCTTGTCTGATGGGAAGAATTTTTTAAAAATATTTTATTTTATATTCACTGCTGAGTAATGGGAAGAATTTTTTAAAGAGAGATCTTCTTGGGCCCCAACTCCGAAGATTCTGATTCATTAGGTCTTTTAAGAAGCCTCCAGAGGAATCTGATGTGTAGTCAAATTTGAGAATCACTGACTTAGTCTATCTCCTATGGTACAAAAGATTTGATCAACACACTATAACTTGTCTGAAGTCATTAATCATGAAGGTTGAAGGACAGGATACTTACAACCAACCTACTGAGTAGTTTCTTGACTGATCTGCCATAGATATTAAGTATTCTGTGGGGAATAAGAGGTTTTACAGTCAAAAAAGTTGGGCAACACTAGGCATAAAAGATTCTTCATTATATGATTTTTTAATGTACGTGCCAAATCTGCAGCAGATGAGCTATAGTATGAAGCATTTCCCATGCCTGTGGGGCAAAAGAAGTTGATCATTAATGAGCATTATTTAAGTAAAATCATTCTACAGTTATGCATTAACTTATATGAAGAATAATCTAAACCCACCTTTCTCTATTTTTTCCTTGTAAGTAACGAAATCTTTCACAGCTATTCCTTTCTCTCTCTCTTTTTTTTTCTTTTTGAGACAGAATCTCACTCTGTCACCCAGGCTGGAGTGCAGTGCTGCGATATCAGCTCACTGCCACCTCTGCCTCCGAGGCTCAACCTGTCCTCCCACCTCAGCCTCCCGGGTAGCTGGGACCACAAGCCAGCACCACCATGCCTGGCTAATTTTTTTTGTATTTTTGGTAGAGCTAGGTTTTCACCATGTTGCCCAGGATGGTCTTGAACTCCTGAACTCAAGCGATCCACCCGCCTTGGCCTCCTAAAGTGTTGGGATTACAGGCGTGAGCCACCGCGCCTGGTCCCTTTTTCTTTTCATCTTTCCCTAAAGATGCTCCGATGTCCTTTCACTCACAGGCAGGGGTGTGCTGGAGCTAGTTCATACTAGCTCGAAAGAGATGATTGTGAAATTTTTGGGAATTTTGTGAGCTTGTTAAAAACAGACAATAATAAAAATTAAATTATATAAACATAATTAAGTTATATTATAAACAAAGGTAATAAATATTCAAAACTCATCACTTCCTAATTATTTTACTATGTTTTACTATTATCTATGCTCTTGGGGTTATTCACATCTATTATATCTGTATGGTAGAAATTGGTTACAGAGGGAATATTTATACCTCAGAAATCAATAAATGCTAGAAACTGGGGCTCCCCCACACTCCCAGAAAGCTGGTTATCAAACATTTACCAGCACACTACCGCCTGTGGATTCATTGACTTCCACATACATAAATCTCTGCCCACAGTTATATCAGCCTTCCTCTCTAATCAGTGTATTTTTACCCTAAAGCATTTCCTTTCATTGACATGTTCCACATACGATGACCTTCCTTTCCGTGATAACTCTAACCGTTTTATTTTAAAATTTCAATTTTAGGATGTTCCTGAAATATGCCTGTACATTGGTTGTGAATCTTTCCTATTGAGATGGTGAAATAGTGATGTTAGAATATGTGTACTCTTGAATGAAGACCAACCAACCGACATCAAAACAAATCTATGATTTCAAATAAAGGTTGCTTTTGAGTTGCAATAAAGATCTATTTGGATATGCTACAGGCTATTCCTTGCATTTCTAACTGTACTGCCAGCTAGTGTTTGCTCCCATATTTCCCCCAGAAGTCTGCCCACAGCTCTGCCCCAATGCTTGATAATGCACTTTGGGACTTACTTCAACTATTGCTTCTGTGCTTTGACCTCATTTTGGACATCCATTACATTAGGTTTATTGTATCTTGCCGTTATTCTCTAATGTCTAGCTCAGGGCATTCTGTGACAAGTCATGGGCGATTCTTCAGTGCTGATAGCTGTTCCAGTGCCCCACGACGAGATTCTGCACTGTCCTTCATTATTCCACTGGACTCATTGACAACACTGATGAAACAATACTTCCATGAGCCCCAGTACCTTATGTACACACAGTCTTAGCTATGGGGCATTCAATCCTAAATACTAGATTCTATGATGTGCCTCTGCTGACCTTCTAAATCAGTTTTCACTAGCTATTGCGTCTGATAAACTCAAGAACCTATGAGTTCTTTAATATGGTTTACTGCATCCTGTTCCATCATATCCAAGTTCAGCCCATGTTGCTTCTAGACCCCCTCAGAGCAACAAAAATTCAGTGGCCACTTAACCATCTGGGAATTAGCCTTTGATATCGGCGTACACTTCACAAAGGCCTATCTCAACCACAGCACTTGTGAATACCAAGCCTGGTCCAACATTGACTGAGGCTGCCTTGAGCACTGGAAGCCCCTGGACATATGGGGAAAAGGGATGTCAATGCAGATCTTCCTCAGTTCGCCTTCCAAATTTTGGAGTGAGCCAAAGCCCTGCCCACTTCCATTTTTACCATAATTCAGGTTTCAAATATTATATTATTATAACAAAATCAAGAATAATACTCTGCATTCGGCCAGTATATTAACTTTGTTTGTCATGTGCATGATCTCAAAGACTTTCATAAGAGAAATGAGGAAATGGGGGTTTTAAGAGATTAAGGCATTTGTTATTAAAGGCTGGTAGCTTGCATGCAGTTCATTCAGCTAGATGGAGGAGAGGCTGGGAGCTGGGAGCCAGTCTTTGGCTCTCAATCCACTCAATCTAATGCTTCTTACATTATCCCACCAAGCTGCTTATTCCATACCGTTTATCTTTGTACTGTACTCTGATCCAGAAGATGTGTCCTCAAACACATTTTAAAAATAAACCATAACTGGCAAAGTAAAAATTCCTTGGGGGTGAAATATGTAAACTCACCCATGAGGACCCCAAATGTCTTAGTATGACTTTACTGTACCCTCGTCTTTAGAACAGACTCCCCCACCCTCCCTGAAAAAAGGTTATGAATGCTTCCACAAACCCTTGAACACGGCCTTAGAGAAAATTGAAAGCTTAACGAATCAAATCCAGCTTATGCCTAACAGATCTGCAAAAACCTCTCTGACATGGTATATTGGTAGCTTTGCAATAAAAATTTAAATGTAATAACCTCTTAATATGGAAGACAATAAAGCTATAACAAAAGTTAGACTTCAAGTTGCTTTCAGCAAGGGAAATTAGATGAGACACCACCTTGCAAATGCTATTTGAAGCACCCACCTCCACAATCTAACCTCCTCCACCACAGCGAAGTTCTCAGTCCCAACCAAGTTGCAGAAGGAAAAGTGTACGATTTCTTTTTGAAGGTCACATGAGGATTCTATAGGGTGTCCCACCTATGTTCCTGCCAGAGTTCTTTCCAAAGCTAAGATTTCCCTCTGACACGGGTTCCCACTTCCATAATGTAACCTCTTTTATCACAGCAGGTTTCACGGCCTCAAGCAAGTTATCCAGGGGAAAATACTGCCTTGTGTAAGGGACGGGAAGCTAATAAACATCAAGACCACGTGATAAGGCAGTAACATTTCCACTGAAGTCGGGAGACAGTGCTGTAGCTCAGGTACAGAGACATCCAAGAATAAATGGGCATAAGGTACTTCCATATCACAAGAGCCTACAGTGACAGCAGATCAAGGAGTGCCAATGGTGGGTAAGCCGCAAAGAACTCGGATGATTTAGTCAGCTGCCATGTTAGGAGAGCTGAAGATGAAGCAACAATCGCTTGAGTGAATAGGAAAGTATTGATAACTGAAATATATATATATGTCATAGGGATTGTGTAACCTTAATTGAATCCTGTTCCCGATTGGTCCCTATTTTGATTTGGAAATGGAGTCGCCAAAGCCACAATCTCAAGAGTTTTATAGCAGGAATTCACTTCATATCAGAAGACTCATAAAAAGGCTTACCAAATATCTCGGAGTCTGTAACTACCTTACACTCCTTGGGGAAAAACCAGGTGCTACAGGAGAGATGTTTAACTAGCCCATTTGGAAACAGCATTCCTTTCATTTAAGAAAATGCTACTCAGGCCAGGTGCAGTGGCTTATAGCCGTAATGCCAGCACTTTGGGAGGCAGAGGCAAGCAGATCATTTGAGCCCTGGAGTTTGAGACCAACCTGGGCAACAAAGTGAGACCCCCGTCTATACAAAAAATACAAAAATTAGCTGGGTGTGGTGGTGTGCATCTGTAGTCCCAGCTACTTGAGAGGCTGAGGTGGGACGATCGCTTGAGCCCAGAAGTCAAGTCTGCAGTCAGCCATGATTGTACCACTGCACTCCAGTCTGGGTGACAGAGCAAGACCCTGGCTCAAAAAAGAAAAAAGAAAAAAAAAAATAAATAATACTCTGTTCTTAGAAGGTTCCAGAAGAGTACATTGTTAACACAAGAACTTAAGAACAGCACCTACGGAAAACTGACTAGAGGTGCCATTGTTGCTGGTGATCAACGTTTGATGGATACTAAATCCAGTCTGAGCTGAACTGGGCCCTGTATGGAAAGAGGACAGGCCTGTCTTCTAACAAGCAAAAAAGTCACAGAGATCAAAACGTTGCCTTTTCAACAAGGAAAAATCTATTGAGGAAAGGAGAAATATTGTGCTCACCTGGGAAGGAACACTGCTTGTCTGGGAAAGAGGGAAGTCAGCTCAGAGAGACCTCAGGCAGAGTGGAGGGTTCACAGGCAGAAAGTCCCCACAAGGAAGAAAGTGGAGAGGGGGCAGAACACACATATCTGAGACCTTACTACCACTGCAAGTGTGTCTGTGAAGCCCTTCTCCCAAGAGTCCATGTTGCTACCCTATAGGAATGCTTGGATCCAGATGGAAGCAAGGAAAAGGAGAGGGAAGTAACGGGAGTCAGAACCAGGAAACTTTTCTTTTGATTGACAGCTCAGAATTCGCCCCTGGAAGAACCCACAGGTGAGTTCAAGGTCACTGTACAGCTACTAAGAGCCACTCTTTCACAGAAGTAGTATTGATGGTAGAAATATCAGTAAGGTGACAGATTATGTAAAAATGAAGAAAGATAGCAAATGGATTTTTGAGACAAATAAGTCCAGGTTTACCTGTTGTCTCCTGCTATGGTCCAAATGTTTGTGCCCCTTCCCTGCACCCCAACCCAGAACCAACTTCATATGCTGAAATCCTAACCTTCAAAATGATGGTATTATGAGGTGAGACCTTTGGGAGATAATTAGGTCAGGAGAGTGGAGCTCTCTTGTATGGGATTAATGCCCTTATGAAAGAAACCCCTGAGAGCTAGCTAGCCCCTTCCCACATATAAGGACACAGAGGGTGCCATCTATAAGCCTGAAAGTAGGCCCTCACCAGATGGCACATCGGCCAGTGCTTGATCTTGGACTTCCCAGCATCCAGAACTGTGAGAAATAAATTTCTATTGCATATAAGCTGGCCAGCTTATGGTATTTTGTTATAGCATCCCAATGAACTAAGACATCTCCTTTACCCTTAAAAGTGTCTAGGTTTAGACAAAAAAATATATATGGTCACCTTATTAATATGTTCTATTAGCTTTCTCTGCTCACCTAGTGTCTCTTAGCCATAGGAGCCTCTGTCAGCCTAGCACTGTGGAAGGTGGGAGAACACTCTAAATTCAGGAGACCTAGCTATGCCAGCCCCTATCACTGCCCCCATCAGCTGAGACCTCAGAGACATCACCAACCTTGGTTGCTTTCTCAGGTTGGTGATGTCTCTGTCTGAGGCCTCAGCTGGTTGGGGCAAGGATAAAGAGGACTGAAAGAAAGAGGACTAGTGTATCTCAGTGGTATCTTCTAGCTCTAAAATTATGACTCTACCGGAAAAAAAGAATTGATTTGGGGCCTACTCAAATCCCACCTATTCGATCTTCACCTTCTACGATGAAAGGAACCTCACTCCTTAGATGTTTCTGCCTTGTGTCTCTGGTCTTCTCCGCTCATGCAGGTTTCATTGAGTCATCTACGTCTTCAAAATCATCTTTAGTTATTTATTTATTTTTGCCACCACCTCCTCTCTGTCTTCGGCTCTTTCAGTAAAGCATACTCATGAGATTGGATGGGGTTTAACAATCCTGAACAGCATGTGCTTTTCCTTCTGCTTCTTTTTCTCCCCATCATAAGCTCAGAGTTAAATGAAGTCTTAAGTGGTAGTTGAACAATACACGTCTTTGTGACATACTAAATAACAGGAGATGAAAGCCAGTTATTAGCTTAAAGAGAAATATGGCATACCCTACACAGAAAAGATATGGAAAGAAAAATGGGGATTTGTAGGGGGCTGGAAGGCCCAGATCCACTGAATTATTCTCTTAATTAAGGAGAGGCAGTACAGCTGTGTTTCTCAACCTTGGTTGAACACTCAAATCATCTGGGGAGCTTTAAACATTACTTATGCCTTGGTCCCATCCTCCAGATATTCTCACTTAATTGATCTAGAGTGTGGCTTGGGTATTGGAGTTTTTAAAAAATCTCCATGTGTGATTCTAACATAGAACTAGGGCTGAGAACCACTGCAAGAGAAGTTAAAAATAATGGAAAAAATAATTGAATCCCAAGGTTCATCTTATAAAAGTGTGGCCCTAGAACTTGACATTTGAAACAATCACCATGGAGATGTGCCTCAAAGAATTTTGGAAAGAAGCTCCATTCCATAACTTTCTTTTTCTACTTCTCCCATGTACATAGCAGTGATATCTTAACTTGAGGTCAGTGAACCTCATGCTTTTGCATGCAAAATAGTCTATGCATATGTGAATATGCACTGTTCTGAGCAGAGGGTACATAGTTCATAGTTTTCATCAACTTTTTTTTTTTGTTTTTTTTGTGATGGATGAGAGTTGCACTTCTCACTGTGTTGCCCAGGCTGGTCTTGAACTCCTGGGCACAAGCAATCCTCCCACCTCAGCCTTCCAAGTAGCTAGGACTAGAGGTACAAGCCACCATGCCTGGCTTCATCAGATTTTTTTAAAGGAGTCCATGACCTAAAATATTAGGAACCACTGATTTACTGGAACGAGAAAAACCATATAAGATAATGTATTTGGGATGGCAAATACCCTTGTACTGGTAGAATACTGGCCCTTTAAGGTTAGTCCCTGTGAATCAGTCCTCCTGGTTAAAAGTTCACTTGCAATAAAATGTTGCATTTTTCTTAGACTTTGTTCCCTAATTAAATAGGATTAATATGTCCATCCTGTCCCACAGGTGGGCTATGTAAAGCATCAGCATGGCCAGTTTTTTCTTGTCTTTTATTTTCTTTTGAGACAGAGTCTTGCTCGGTTGTTCAGGCTGGGGGGCAGTGGTGCAGTCTCGGCTCACTGCAAACTCTGCCTCCCAGGTTCAAGTGATTTTTCTTCCTCAGCCTCCCAAGTGGCTGGGATTACAGACATGCACCATCACGCCTGGCTAATTTTTGTATTTTTAGTAGAGACGGCGATTCACCATGTTGGCCAGGCTGGTCTCGAACTCCTGGCCTCAAGGGACCCACCCGCCTCGGCCTCCCAAAGTGTTGGGATTACAGGTGTGAGCCACCGTGCCTGGCCCGGCATGGCCAGTTTTTGCTCCTGGTGCTCACTAGGTGAATTGGGAATCACAACAGCAACACAAGCAGCAAAAACCTCCCTTGCATTTTCTAACAGTGCCAGCACATCTTTTCACCCTTTGCACACATTCTCACTTGTGCCTCAAAACAGCCCTATGAGGTAGGTACTATTACCCTCATTTTCCTGGAAGAAAATGAAAGCAGCACAGAGAGTTTAAATAACTCTACAAGGTCCCTCAGCTAATAGACATCAAATACAAACCCAGATACAGCAGATACAAACCCAGATAGTCTGACTCCAGGGTCCATCCTTAACTAAACACCTCAAAAACGAGATGGCAGACTGGCCAAAGGGTAATGAAGGTTTTGAAAAAATGTCACTGCTGCAGAGGAACTGCCGCCTTTCATCCTCCTTACCGTTATTACTGGGCTAGAAATTTAGGATGACAATACAATCGGATAAATTAAGGTGACAACACTCCAGCTGAGGGAACTGGAATAAGATGCAATGAAATGTGTTCTATTTATTTACAAAGGGCTTCTTTCCCCTCACTTAAAAGTTACTGCCAGGCCAGACATGTTGGCCCATGCCTGTCATCCCAGCACTTTGGGAGGCTGAGGTGGGAGAAATTGCTGAGTCCAGGAGTTTAAGACCAGCCTCAGCAACATAGCAAGACCTCATTACTATAAAAAAAAATTCAAAAATTAGCTTGGCATGATGGGGTGCACCTGTAGTCCTAGCTGCTTGGGCGGCTGGGGCAGGAGGCTCATTTATGCCCAGGAGTTCGAGGCTGCAGTGAGCCATGATCACACCACTGCAAAGTTGCTTCTGAGAACATGAACAATTTCCTAAGTGGCCAAGGGTGACATGATTTTGAAGAAAAGTGATACTGTGACTCCAAACCTTTGTTGATGAAAAGAGTCAAACTGTAAAATATTTGAAGAGATTTATTCTGAGCCAAATATGAGTGACCATGGCCTGCGACACAGCCCCAGGAGATCCGGAGAACGTGCTCAAGGTGGTCAGGCTACAGCTTTTGGTTTTATACATTTTGGGGAGACATAAGTTATCAACCAATACATGTAAGATACACATTGGTTCGCGGTTCAGTCCAGAGAGGTGGGACAACTTGAAGTAGGAAGAAGAGGTGGCAGGAGGAAGGGGGCTTCCGGATCATAGGTGGATTCAAAGATTTTCTGATTGACAGTTAGTTGAAAGGGTTAAGTTATTATCTAAAGACCTTGGAATCAATAGAAGGGAGTGCCTGGGTTAAGATAAGGGGTTGTAAGCCTGGGCACGGTGGCTCTCAGCTCTTTGGGAGGCCGAGGTGGGCAGATCAACTGAGGTCAGGAGTTCGAGACCTGCCTGACCAACGTGGAGAAACCCCATCTCTACTAAAAATATAAAATTAGCCAAGCATGGTGGTGCAGGCCTGTAATCCCGGTTACTTGGGAGGCTGAGGCAGAAGAATCGCTTGAACCTGGGAGCAGGAGGTTGCAGTGAGCCGAGATTGTGCCATTGCCCTCCATTCTGGGCAACAAGAGTGAAACACCGTCTCAAAAAAAAGATAAGCGGTTGTAGAGACCAAGGTTCTTATTATGCAGATGAAGCCTCCAGGTAGCAGGCTTCGGAGGGATAGTAAATGTCTCTAATTGGACTTTAAAAGGTGCCAGACTCAGTTAATTTTCTCATGGACCAGGAAAAAGACCCAGAAAGGGAAAGGAATTCTCCATAGAATGCAGCTTTTCCCTATAAGACAGCTTGGCAGGGCCATTTCTAAATATATTAAATAAATATATTTTGAGGTAAAATGTTTCGATTTACTTCACGGCCTGCTCTCTTTCATGTTGGTATCTTAATGCTATAAAGAGTGTATTTCGTCGGTCTTAAGGTCTCTGTGTTAATGTTAATGCTGGTCAGCTGTGCCTGAATTCTGAAAGGAAACAGGGTATGAGGCAAGTTCGACACCCCAGCCTATCCCATTATGGCCTGAAGCAGTGTTTCAGGTTAACTTTCGAATGCCGTTGGCAGAGAGGAGTCTGTTCAGTTAGTTGAGGGGCTTAGAATTTTATTTTTGGTTTACACATTGATGATGACTTTGCAATCATCTTTGGTTTTACCTGGAAGGTTAACTCACCCCTAGTCTTCTTTTTTTTTTTTTGAGACAGAGTCTCATTCTGTCACCCAGGCTGGAGTGCGGTGGTGCGATCTTGGCTCACTGCAGCCTCCACCTGCTCGGTTCAAGAGATTCTCCTGTCTCAGCCTCCTGAGAAACTGGGACTACAGGTGCACAACACCACACCCAGCTAATTTTTGTATTTTTAGTAGAGATGGTGTTTCATCATGTCGGCCAGGCTGGTCTTGAACTCTTGACCTCAAGTGATCCACCTGCCTTGGCCTCCTAAAGTGCTGGGAATACAGATGTGAGCCACCATGCCTGGCCTCAACCCCGATCTTCTTGTGATTGGACTGAATCCCTCTGAAGAAAGTCTGCAAGTACCATCATGAAATCTGTGCCCTTTTATACCATCCCCATCCGCGGGCCCTGCAGAAATGGTTCCATCTAAATTCAAGTCCTCCTTGTTACAGAAGGAGCCATCTCCTCTAGGCCACGTGTGGAAATGTGCTTTGCAGCTTTGGATCTCAAAGTGGAAGGCGCTTGGATGTCCTTCAGGGCAAACTTCTGGCCCTTCCAGAGAAATAAACTCTGTGGCCACTTTCAAAATGTCTGTGATCTCCATCCTATCACTTCAGCCTTTAAAAAGGGACGGAAAGCATGGTATCTGTGCATGTCTCATTCTTTCACTCAGCCAAAGCTTTGTAACTTAGTGCACTGTTAAATCCTGAGCCTTCTCCTGCAACTCGATGGTAGGCAATTGCTCTGCCAGTGACTTGCTAGGAAGGGGCTCTTGGGAAGCCCTGTGGGCAGCAGTATTGAAGTCCATGCCCTCCACTGCCATCAAAGAGACCATCCTTGGGGATCTTGCAGCCATGTAACTGATCTTATCTTGCCGTGTTGGCACCAGAAGCCACACAGTGACATTCACAAAGCATGGGGACACAGAAAGGCAGACACACAACACCCTGCTGCCCCACAAGACCGAAACATGTTTCTGTAAGTGTCAGAAACACCCTAGAATGGTCACAAGTTTACTAAATCTCCTGTGTGTTGTAAAATGTCACAAGTTTGTTATTGTTCAGTGACAAGGTAAAAAACTGCAACATTTTTCGTCAAAATAGAAAAGAAAAACAAAGAATAGCTATGAACACGCTGGGATAATTCAACCGATGAGCACAACGCCTCCTTTGTCCCATTCCAACTTGGCCGGTGTTGTGCCTGGCTGTCATCCACGTCTTTGGCGGTGTGTCTGCCTGCAGGCTTTGTGGTCCTTTGTGCACATATTTTGGACGCTCCCTTGGCCGCCCCCAGCTAAGAGAAGCCGACTCTCTAGAGCTTCTCCATCGGGCTCCTCCCTCAGTCACTTGGGAGGGAATTTGATGCAGTTCAAAGTAGACCCACTTCCCTCCTCCATCCCTGACCTCTTCTTCCCCAGCCTGCACAGTTGTGTCTAAAACACTGACCTGGGAGAGTGAGAAAATATATTTATGAGGGTGCAGAGGTGACCTTTTGTTATCTAGTTAGCACTTGAGGTGCAAAGAGGCAGACCAGTGGCCACCTGGGATATCAGTCTAAAAGGTGTGTTAAACCATTGCTGGGGCTGAGTGCGGTGGCTCACACCTGTAATCCCAGCACTGGGAGGTTGAGGCAGGTGGATCGCTCGAGCCCAGGAGTTTCAGACCAGCCTGGCCAACATAGTGAAACCCTACAAAAAATATAAAAGTTAGCTGGGTGTGGTGGAGCATGTCTGTAGTCCCAGCTACTCAGGAGGCTGAGGTGGGAGACTTTATTGAGCCTAGGAGGTCGAGGTTGTAGTGAGCTGTGATCGCGCCACTGCACTCCAGCCTGGGTGACAGAGTGAGAGCCTGTCTTCAAACAAACAAAACCATCACTGGAATAAAGTCAAGCAACCCCAGCGAGTTAATTCAGGTTTGTTACCTAATTTGTGAATCTAAATTGGTCTTGTTATCACCAAAGTAGAGATTACCCTTGAATAAAAACAAAACCCTGCGTCCTATCCTCCCCGCTCGCCCCCCCCCCACCCCCCACCCTTTAGCATTTTGTGACACATGCATGTAGGATCCAGGTGCAGCTTCATTCAGGTCCTGCCTTGAAGGCAGCTAGCTGACAGTTACCTGAATAATGGATGACACCGTGTTCTTTATTTGGAACAATTTACTTTCATTTAAATTTGAAATTACAAAGGAGTCTCTCTAAACCAATTCTCGTTTGGGAGGCTGCCCAATTACAAAAATTTTTTTAAAAATTATGTTGTCTTCTAAGAAGTCTGGTTCAGCAATTCAGAAAAAAAATATATGTAATAAATTTCTTATTTTGGGCCAGGTGTGGTGGCTTATGCCTGTAATCCCAGCACTTTGGGAGGCCAAGGCAGGTGGATCACTCAAGGTCAAGAGTTTGAGACTAGACTGGCCAACATGGTTGAAACCCTCTCTCTACTTAAAAATACAAAAATTAGGCCGGGCGCAGTGGCTCACGCCTGTAATCCCAGCACTTTGGGAGGCCGAGGCGGGTGGATCACGAGGTCAGAAGATCAAGACCATCCTGGCTAACACGGTGAAACCCCGTCTCTACTAAAAATACAAAAAATTAGCCAGGCGTAGTGGCGGGCGCCTGTAGTCCCAGCTACTCAGGAGGCTGAGGCAGGAGAATGGCGTGAACCCGGGAGGCGGAGCTTGCAGTGAGCCAAGATTGCGCCACTGCACTCCAGCCTGGGCGACAGAGCCAGACTCCGTCTCAAAAAAAAAAATTAGCTGGGAATGGAGGCAGGTGCCTGTAATCCCAGCTACTCGGGAAGCTGAGGCAGGAGAATTGCTTGAATCTGGGAGGCAGAGTTTGCAGTGAGCTGAGGTGGCACCACTGCACTCCAGCCTGGGCAACAGAGTGAGACTCTGTCTCAAAAAAATAAAATGTAAATAAAAAATACATTCCTTATTTTGAACATAAAGAGGTATATAATATGTATTAATATTTATTTCTTTAAAAAATCAGTTCTTGGGCTGGGAGCGGTGGCTCACCCGTGTATAATTCCAGCACTTTGGGAGGTAGAGGTGGGCAGATCCCTTGAGCTCAGGAGTTTGAGACCAGCCTGGGCAATGTGGAGAAACCCCGTCTCTACAAAAAATGCAAAAATTAGCCATGCATGGTGGTACACGCCTGTAATTCCAGCTACTCAGGAGGCTGAAACGGGAGGATTGCTTGAGCCTGGGAAGTAGAGGTTGCAGTGAGCCAAGATAGTGCCATTGCATTCCAACCTGGGCGGTACAGCGAGACTCTGTCTCAAAAAAATAAATAAATAAAAATTAAAAAAATCAGTTCTCCTGAACTTCTCTGATTAAAAAAAAATCAATTTTTCTGTAACCCTGCTAAATACAGGATTTAAAAAGTTCATCGGTTTAAAGGGTGCGTGATCACTAATCCTCCCGAGGCACCATTTGTTTAAATTAAGCTCTATATACTCACATATCAGCCTAGAAAAACACTCTTGATGGCCTGGAGTCTTTTGAAATCAGTCAAAATGACATATATAATCATACTACTTGCAAAATTATTGGAAACATCTCGTACAGTGAGGTCTAAGTTTCGTCCTGTTCCAGAATCATCTTTAAAGCTTTTCTTTTTTCCTTTCTTTTTTTTTTTTTTTTTGCTTAAGTACAAACATCTAGGCCCTACCCCAGACCTATTGAATTATTCAGGAATGGAGTCCAGGAATCTATCTTTTCTTTTCTTTCTTTTTTTTTTTTTTGAGACAGAGTTTCGCTTTTGTTGCCCAGGTTGGAGTGCAACGGCATGATCTCGACTCACTGCAACCTCCGCCTCCTGGGTTCAAGCGATTCTCCTGCCTCAGCCTCCTGAGTAGCTGGGATTACAGGCGCGTGCCACCACGCCCGGCTAATTTTTTGTATTCTTAGTAGAGACAGGGTTACACCATGCTGGCCAGGCTGATCTCAAACTCCTCACCTCAGGTGATCTACCCACTGCGTGAGCCACCACACGCAACCTGGAATCTATCTTTTCAAATCTGCCCAATTCTGCCGTGACCCACTGGAGAACTAGGATTAGAGCACTCAGTCCACTGACCCCAGTGAAACACTCTGACACGGATGAGGAGCTTGAGGCCCCGAAATCCCACAGTGCTGTTGCAGCACAAGTAACAGCACCATGCGACATGCATGGACTACACCAGTGAACAGAAGAGGCCAACGTTGACCTACCCCCTAGGTATTTTGTTAGGCTAAATTCTGGAGATACAAAGATAAAGGAGGCATGTCCCTGCCTTCTAGAAGCATTCTGCTGCAGTTCTGGAGGCCGGAAGTCTGAAATCAAGGTGTTAGCAGGGCCATGCTCCCTCAAAAGCGGGTAGGGAAAGTCCTAGAGGTGGAGGTGGGGTGGGGGAATGATATTTTAACATTCTAAGAGAAAATGAAGAAAGTATACATTTTCGAACTATGAAATAAACCAAGTTTTGGACAGGATAGACTCTAGTCTTGTAAGAGACAGTATGGAAACAGATCATTCCAGCCCAATAAGATAAATTTTATGTAGTAGAGATACTAGGCAGGGCAAAAACAGCAGTGAACTGGGTGCTGTGGCATGCACCTGTAGTCCCAGCTATTTGGGAGGCTGAGACAGGAGGATTGTTTGAGACCAGGAGTTAGAGGCTAGCCTGGGCAACATAAGAGACCTTGTCTCAAAAAAGCCAAGCAAAACAGTTGGGTACTGGAGAGGACTAGAGGCTCCTGTTGCCCATGATGTTTTTAACTTCAGTCTTCATTTTTAGGTAGTTTTGTTATTCTGTTAGTATCTCTTTAGTTGTTCATTTTGGGAGCTACCAATAAGGTGTTAGACTGGAATGCTGATTTACGTTTTTGGTGCCACTAAGAGAACTACAATACAGTGGCATAAAATTAAGTGCGAAGGTCCTGATAAAAACTGCCATAAAGGGCTGGGCGTGGTGGTTCACACCTGTAATTCCAGTACTTTGGGAGGCCTGGCAGGCAGATCACTTGAGGCCAGGAGTTCGAGACCCGCCTGGACAATGTGACAGAACTCCATCTCTACAAAAAACACAAAAATTAGCTGGGTGTGGTGGCATGCAGTTGTGGTCCCAGCTACTCCGGAGACTGAGATGGGAGGATTGATCGAGCCTGGGAGTTTGAGGCTGCAGTGAACCATGATTGTGCCATTGTACTCCAGCCTGGGTGACAGAGCAAAACTTCTCCACTACTTCCAATGCTTCAGGCACATCTTATCCACGCTTTTATTAAATCCTCCTTAGAACCTGCAAAGCAGTTGTTATTATCAATCTCTCCTTTCAGATGAAACTACAGAGGTTCAGAGAGGCTGGGTAACTTGCCCAAGGTCACATAGCTAGGAAGTGAGAGATCTGGCATGGAAATTCAGGCATCGAGGATTGCCAACTTGGGGATTCTCCTACTTTACCTTCCAAGAATCCAGCACATGCCGAGGGGCAGGGGCAGGGCTCTGAGTGGTTCGTTGGTCTAACAAAGCTCTAATCATTGATGTTTGACCGGAAGTTGCATGTGAGAGGGACTGGAGCCCTGTATGGATGTCCCAAACCTCTAGCACGGAGCCTCCTTAGGCGTTCTAGTCATCAGTGGGGTTCAGCCAGAGGGAAGCATTGTACGAGGAACCAGGCGGCTGCGATGGCCAGGGTGAGATAAAACTGCTGAAAGGCCGAGAGACGCTGCTTCAGGGGCCTGCTCCATTCAGGCAGGAAAATGTGTCACTTCCTCCCTGGCTCCTATATAATTTCTCGTGGGGGAAGTGGAGGGGGATCGGAGCCTTGAAAGAGTTTAGAGTGGGTCCGGGTGGGGTGAGGGGAAGGCCAGCTGAATGTAAAAAGCCAGGCAGAGTGGAAGAGTAGGATGGAACCAGCTCTGGCTACACCCTATTTAAAAGCCCTAGCATATTTTTACCTCTTGCCTCATTCTCAGCCTACTCTTCTAACTGCATTCTTATCCTTTTTTGAATTCAGAGCTGGAATATCAGCTCATGCACTCCTCCCCCACCTCCTTCTCCTGCGCAAAAATCTGAATCCTCTCTCTTGGCTGCATGCAATTTTCTGCAAAGCTGAAACATTTAGAGCTGACTGAATGCTTCCCCCTCTACACTGCAGAAACCGCTTCCTTGCCCCACCTAATGGAAACGTGTACACACACACACACACACACACACACACACACACACACTTGCAATGCCTGATTCCCACAGACTAGTTATTTTAAAGAGTCTGGCTTGATCTAACAGCCAGCCTCAGCTATTTCTCCCTCATCATCTCATTGGCAAAGTCATGGAAGAAAAGGAAAAAGTGGGGTCATGGTAAACTGATTTGAGTTTGCAATGCAGCTACAGGATTCAGAAGTGGAAGAGCTCATCGTGTTTAATGCCTTCTTTTTGCAGATGAGGAAATGAGGGTCTACGGAAATTAAATGACTTATCCCAAGTTTCAGCTCCTTAGGAATAACACCAGACTAGAGCTTGGATCTCTTCAGGGGACTGCAGGGTTGTTAGAGATTGGGCCAGAAGTGGTAGACATTGTGTAGACATTTCCAACCCCTAGAGCTCCCTTCCTTCTGCAATTCACTGCGTGTGCATACTTGTATTACCAGGGCTTTTGTGGCATTTAAGGACCTTCCTTGAAACCCACCTTAAGCTTCATCTTTCATCAAACATCCGCCAAAGCTGGGCTTGCCGCTCAAGTGCATCTTGAGTTTCATGGGCAGTAACTCCTCCAACCTCTTGCATTCTGAAGCCACCTAGACGTTGGCAACAACCAGTTTCCTTATTTGCCCTGTTCCTTATTTGGAAGCAGCTCAGCTTTCCCCAAAACATGTTGGGACACTTCTAATTGACAAGGTGTGTGTCAACAGTTCTGAACTCACCGGCCAACTCGCATTGTTCACCTTTCAGAGTGGTTCCAGGAGAGGAGCCGGCTCCCTTCCCAGCCCTCGCTCGATACCACACACACCCAACCCACGGATCAGAAGGGCTTGTGCAAGGAGAATTTCCTGTTCTGCTGACTCATCTCCTGCCATGAGATGGAAGACAAGTTTATATTTTGTTTTCCAGCTTGTAAAGGGAAATGAGAGTTTTATAAGTTCGGATCTCTCTGAGATGAGATCAAGTCTAGGCAACTCCCTGGCACATATTGGGACTAAGTAAATGAGAGTTGGATATATTAATGATGGCCCAATCAGCCGACTCAAGAGTAGTGAGCATTCAGGTGGGGGCTGCCAGGTTGTCTGGGGAGTGGGACATGGCTAAGGGATTCTGAGCTTCCCTTTTGGAAGGAGGCTCTTGACTGTGGCCCAGGGAGATGGTTTGAAGGAGGCATACCTGGATGTCACTGTGAGTGCATAACAGTGCAGCAGCCAGACTTGACATCCCATATGCTTTCTGACTGAGAACAAAAGCATTCATCCTCTCCCAGCTAAACCTCAAGCAGGGGAAGGATGATTCAACTCAGGGTAGCAAACAGCAGGAAATCCGGCAATAGCATTTACACTTGGGAGGCAATAGAGCCAGATTTTTGCTAAACAAGATGGGAATGTTTTTAAAAAAGGATCCTGATAAGATTTGTGCATGTTATTGTATATAACTTTTTTTAATAGAGATGGGGTCTTGGCATGTTGCCTAGGCTGGCCTTGAACTCCTGGGCTCAAGCAGTCTGCCCACCTCAGCCTCCCAAAGTGTTGGGATTACAGGCGTGAGCCACTAAATCAGGCTAACGTATATAAATTTTTACCTTGAAAAATATATATGTAAAATAATCAAGTGAGGTATGGGGAGTGACAGGTAGGTACATAAGTCTCCATTATAATATTGTATTTACTTTATAAATATTTAGAATTTGTCATAATAAAAATTTTTAAAACTTGGATCCTGGCCAGGTTTGGTGGCTCACACCTGTAATCCCAACACTTTGGGAGGTGGAGGCAGGTGGATCGCTTGAGGTCAGAAGTTCTAGACAAGCCTGGTCAACATGGTGAAACTCCGTCTCTACTAAAAATACAAAAATTAGCTGGACATCGTGGTGCACACTTGTAATCCCAGCTACTCGGGAAGCTGAGACAGGAGAATCGTTTGAACGCTGGAGGTGAAGTTTTCAGCAAACCGAGATTGTGCCATTGCACTCCAGCCTGGGCGACACAGCGAGACTCTGTCTCCAAAAAAACAAAACAAAACAAAAACAACAACAACAAACTTGGATCCTATTTTTGGCTCTAATTTCTTTTCTCTCCCTCCCTGCCTTCTTTCCTTCTTCTTTCCTTTCTTTCTTTCTTCTTCTTCTTCTTTTTGAGACACAGTCTTGTCTGTCACCCAGGCTGGAGTGCGGTGGGGTGATCACAGCTCACTGTAGCCTTAACCTCCCAGGCTCAAGAGATCCTCCTACCTCAGCCTCCCCAGTAGGGACTACAGGCATGCACCACCACATCCAGCTAGGTTGTTTTAAATATTTTATTTTGTAGAGACAGGGTCTCCTATGTTGCCCAGGCTTCTAATTTTCAATGTTTCTTTATGGTCTTTATTTCTGTGCTTAACATCTTTATCTGTAATATGGGATATCTGAACGTATCACTTTTTGCTCAAGGATGTTTAGGCCAGGCACAGTGGTTCATGCCTGTAATCCCAGCACTTTGGGAGGTCAAGGTGGGCAGATCACCTGAAGTCAGGAGCTCAAGAGCAGCCTGGCCAATGTGATGAAATCCTATCTCTACTAAAAATAAAAAAAAATTAGCTGGCTGTGGTGGTGCACGCCTGTAGTTCCAGCTACTAGGGAGGCTGAGGCATAAGGATTGCTTGAATCTAGGAGGCAGAGGTTGCAGTGAGCCAAGATTGCACCATTGCAGTCCAGCCTGGGTGAAAGAGTAAGACTCTGTCTCAACAAAAAAGGATGTTTAGAATATGTGTGAAACCATGTCTATCAAAGGGCTTTGTAAATTATAACATCCTCTTGAAGTGTGGTAGTTAGAAAAGGCTCATGATTACTTTGCCATGGTAAAGATTAATATGGGCACACACACACATATAATCAAGCAGTATGGAAGGTATAACGTGTTAAAAAATAAAATTGCAACAAATTTAGTTTCAATATATAATTGGTTTTTATTAACTATTCATGAATTGGAAAGTATCCCATCCAAAGATTTAGAAAGGATCTCCTGTAAGCTGAGTGGAGGAGGTTGGCTTTATAGGCACAAAAGGGCTGAAAAAAACAAAAGCAGGGAACTAAAAGCAGATTGGTTGTTTCAAAGTTATTTTCCTCCCTGGATTCAGACAGAGGGGGCTTCCTTATTATGCCAGCATGGGGAAACTGGGCCCCTTTTAGTTGGTTGCTGTGATTGGTTCCTGTGTTTTGGAATATCAGCCTGTTTGAGAGTTCAGTTTGATTGTATGGCCCCTGGCATGAGCGACTCCATTCTGGTTTTGTCTGGTCTGTTGGGCCTAGTGCAGGCAAGAGCTTAGTCCAAGCCAATGACAGTCCCATAAATTTCACTTAACACATGAAAATTTCCCTCCTCCAGTACTCTCCTCTAGACACAATCATTGTTATCATAGAAATTCTATGGATATGAAATATCATATATATATATATTTTTTTTTTTTTTTTTTCACCTATTGAATTAGAAAAGCCATGAACTGGCCCGGTGCAGTGGCTCACTCCTGTAATCCCAGCACTTTGAGAGGCTGAGGTGGGTGGATCGCTTGAGCTCAGGAGGTCAAGACCAGCCTGGGCAATATGGCAAAAACCCTTCTCTACCAAAAAATACAAAAATTAGCTGGGCGTGGTGGCACACGCCTGTAGTCCCAGCTACTTGGGAAGCTGAAGCACAACAATGGCTTGAACCCAGGAGGTAGAGGTTTCAGTGAGCCAAGACTGAGCTACTGAGCTCCAGCCTGGGCGACAGAGTGAGACTCCATCTCAAAAAAAAAAAAAAAAAAAAAAAAGAGGAAAGCCATGAAATATCATATTTTCATATGAAATGTTTAAAGTAACTTAAAACTTTTAGGTCCAAGGGTCTCAAACTGTAGGGAAGATTCACTGAGGTGGGACTTAGAAGCGCACATTCCTAACCAGGCCTCCAGAGGCAGAGGAGCCTCCTAGGGATCCCGCTGAGATGCGAATTCTGACTCAGCAGATGTGGGGCGTGGCCTGAGAGTCTGCATTTGTAACCAGCTCCCACATGATGTGGATGATCCTGATCCAGAACCACACTGTGAGGATTTTTAACTGCCCCAAAAACTCCTTATAAAAACGAGGCTGACCAGGCGACGTGGCTCACACCTGTAATCCTAGCACTTTGGGAGGCTGAGGCAGGAGGATTGCTTGATCCCAGGGCTTTGAGACTAGCCCTGTCAACATAGGAAGACCTCGTCTCTACCAAAAATTTGAAAATTTGCCAGACATGGTGGCACACGTCTGTAGTCCCAGCTACTCAAGAGGTTGAAGTGGGAGGACTGCTTGAGCCCAGGAGGTTAAGGCTGCAGTGAATTGTGATCACACCACTGCACTCCGGGCTGGGTGACAGAGTGAAAGAAAATAAATAAATAAATAAATAAATAAATAAAATTAAAATAAGGTTAAGCGGGGCCAGCTACTTGAGAAGCTGAGATGGGAGAATCCTTCAAGCCCAGGAGTTTGAGGCTGCAGTGAGCTATGATTGCACCGCTGCACTCCAGCCTGGGCAACAGAGCAAGATCCACCTGTAAAAAAATAAAAATAAAACAGACAAATCCCCTGCCCGCAAAAACAAAAAATGAGCCTTATTCCAAATACTTTTAGTAAGATAGCAAAGCACATAGAATTCTAAGAAAACAATATTTTTACATGCTTTTAAGTAGACAGACAACCTCCCTGAAAGCAATTCAGGCCTGCATCCCTCTGGCGCTGAGAACCTATGAGCATCCCCTCCAGGGAGAATATGTCTTTGTCATTTTATTTATTCTGGGCTCTAGAATCCAGAGCCAAAATAAAATCCTCTGTGCCACCCAGCTGGTACCTCTCAGATGTAAAAATCACATTTTCATACCAACATACAGCCCCCAAGTTTTTCATTTTATTGCTGTTTTCCTATAACAATTGATCTCAAAAGCTCTTTGGAGCTTTTAGCTTCAGTCTTTTGTGGGCCAACAGTGAACTCACAGGCCGGGTTCTCACAAATTTATATTTCTATATATAATTTTGGGGCTCCTTTTAGGGAAGGGAGAGGCTCATTTGGCATACATATTAATTAAAGTTTTGGGAAATAGAAAAAGCACCTTTGTCAATATTTGGAAGAGTGCCTATTACAATAGCTCACATTTAATAGAAAAAAGCTCTTGATGGAGAACACTCATTAGTTCTTTTCTGTCTGATTTCTTTTTTTGAGATAGTCTCGCTGTGTCGCCCAGGCTGGAGTCCAGTGGTGCAATCTTGGCTCTCTGCAACTTCTGCCTCCTGGGTTCCACCGATTCTCCTGCCTCAGCCTCCTGAGTAGCGGGGATTACAGACACCCACCCCACCTGGCTAATTTTTGTATTTTTAGTGGAGACAGGGTTTCATCATGTTGACCAGGCCGGTCACGAACTCCTGATCTCAAGTGATCCGCCCATGTTTGCTTCCGAAAGTGCTGGGATTACAGGAACGAGCCACCACGCCTGGCCAGTCTGAATTTTTTAACAAAATGAATACTCATTCATTGAAATATTCTGAGTCAGTGTTCCATGGAGGTTCTTATTGTCAGATTTTATTTTAGTTCAGAAGATTTTAATAGGAATAATTTTTATTGTGTGTGTGTGTGTGTGTGTGTGTGTGCGTGTATTGTGCCTGTTTGTATGTTTGTTTGTTTGTTTGTTTTTGAGACAGAGTCTCACTCTGTCACCCAGGTTGGAGTGCAGTGGCTTGATCTTGGCTCACTGCAACTTCCACCTCCTGGGTTCAAGCGATTCTGCTGCCTCAGCCTCCTGAGTAGCTGGGATTACAGGTGCCCGCCACCATGCCCAGCTAATTTTTTGTATTTTTAGTATAGACAGGGTTTCATCATGTTGGCCAGACTGGTTTCGAACTCCTGACCTTGTGATTCGCCCATCTCGGCCTCCCAAAGTGCTAGGATTACACGTGTGAGCCACCATGACCAATTTTTTCCCCACATCAAGGCTGGTACTTCTCCTTCTGAAAGGCTTTAAGTGACTCATGTCATTTTACCTCACACTATTCCTGTTAAATCATGAAGCTAAAATAAATACAGATATTTCAGAAACAAGTGAGTTACTGGTTGCATGTCACATTCCAGGACTGTTCTGTTTGCTGCTCTATTGGCTTCAGCACAGTTCTAGGGGTAGGTAAAGTCTTGGTTATAATCCCTGAGTGTAATCCCCCCCAAAACTAGGGACTGTATGTTGGTACGAAAATGTGATTTTACACCTGGGAGGCACCAGCTCAGTGGCACTGAGGATTTTATTTTGGCTCTGGATTCTAGAGCCCAGAAGAAATGAAATGACAAGGACATGCTCTCCCTGGAGGGAATGCTTATGGTTTCTCAGGACCAGAGGGATGCAGGCCTGAATTGCTTGAAGGAGAGATGTCTATCTTTTTTTTTTTTTTTTGAGATGGAGTCTCTCTCTGTTGCCCATGCTGGAGTGCAGTCTTGTGATCTTGGCTCACTGCAGCCTCTGCCTCCCAGATTCAAGTGCTTCTCCTGCCTCAGCCTCCCGAGTAGCTGGGATTATGGGCCCGCCACCAAGCCCAGCTAATTTTTTTTGTATTTTTAGTAGAGACAGGGGTTTCACCATGTTGGCCAGGCTGGTCTTGAACTTCTGAACTCAAGGGATCCACCTGCCTTGGCCTCCCAAAATGCTGGGAATACAGGCGTGAGCCACTGAGCCTAGCCATATATCTTTCTATTTAAGAGCACTTTTGAATGCTGCTTTGATTCTTAGAATTCTACGTGCTGAACTGGGCACGGTGGCTCACGCCTGTAATCCCAGCACTTTGGGAAGCTGAGGCGGGCAGATCACCTGAGGTGAGGAGTTTGAGACCAGCCTAACCAACATGGAGAAACCCTGTCTCTACTAAAAGTGCAAAATTATCGGGGTGTGGTGGCGCATACCTGTAATCCCAGCTACTCAAGAGGCTGAGGCAGGAGATTTGCTTCAACCCGGAGGTGGAGGTTGTGGTGAGCCGAGATTGTGCCATTGCACTTCAGCCTGGGCAACAAGAGTGAAACTCTGTCTCAAAAAAAAAAAAAAGAATTCTACATGCTTTACTACTTCGCTGCAAGTATGCAAGTATTTGGAACAAGGCTCATTTTTATTATATGAGGAATTTTCCAAGTAGATTTAGGAATCCTCAAAGTGTGGTCAGCTCTCTTGTGTGTATGACCTGTGGCACCTGTGTTTATATCTACCTCCACCACCCTGTTGATCATGGGAGAGGTCTCCAGAAAATTACTCAAGGCCCACATTCTGTGAGCTCTGAGACAGTGGCATCATATCTGTGAATAAGAACACATTCATGTCCCTGGCTCCCTCCCAAATGCCCCTCGATTCCTGCCAGAAGGAACTGGAAACAAATGAGGCTCCATCTTCCAGAAAATTGTCTTATTTTTATCACTCAGAATGCTAATCCTTTGAGGAGGCAAGGCCAGAGGTCCTGCAGTGGGAGAGGCCTGGGACAGGGACAGCAGGAGAGGGTGGAGCTTGATTTCTAGCCCTGGCTCTGCCACCCACATCCCTGCCAAGAACCCACTTGCTGCCGAACTCCAGTGCTGGACTCACGGAAGATGCTCAATAACTATTTGTTAAGAAAAACAAATGTATTTTCCATGTGACTTCGGCCAAACACTCGACCTCCCTAGACTTCTGTTTCCTTCTCTGCAAAATGAAGTCACAAGCTAGAATGAGCTTTGTTTTTCCTCTCTGCTTGAGTATTCTTTGATTTGAGAAAGAACTTTCTAAATTTAACTATTATCACTTCTATGTCAGCATGTTCTGGATAGGGATAAATTCCAAGGGAACAGTTTTAAAAATTTATCTTCCCAGAGAAATAAAATTTCGTTTTTCTTCTTAGGGTAACACTTAGGAGCTGGAGGTTGGGTAGGGAAGAGCAGCAGAATCTGAGAGATTAGTCATCGACCCAGAATTAGTGTCTATAGATGACTGCTTGTCACAGCCTCAGGTAACTTTTGTGACATCAGGAATATTTTGGTAAGGAGGACAGGAAAATGCTCTGTTAAAAAAAATGCCGGCCGGAGGGACAGTGGCTCACACCTGTAATCCCAGCATTTTGGGAGGCTGAGGCCAGTGGATCATCTGAGGTCAGGAGTTCGAGACCAGCCTGGTCAACATGGTGAAACCCCATCTCTACTAAAAATACAAAATTAGCCAGGCGTGGTGGCATGCGCCTGTAATCCCAGCTACTTGGGAGGCTAAGGCAGGAGAATCGCTTGAACCCAGGAGGCAGAGTTTGCAGTGAGCTGAGATTGTGCCACTGCACTCCAGCTTGGGCAACAGAGCGAGACTCTGTCTCAAAAAAAAAAATCTTTTTGCAAAAGAGAACAATCAATAATCAAACTTTTGCCTTTCCCAACAAGGATAATATACGCTTGTGTGCATTTCAAAGACCTCCATGGCTTTTACAGTATACTAAATATATCAGTGTTATACAAGGTTTTGACCAATCTGTGCTTAAAGAGCAAAGCAAAACAAAACAAAACAAGCAGCAAGAAAGGAAGTCTGGGATAGGCAAAGTTTTCCTTCTCTGATAAGCCGATTGTTCTGTGGAGTGTTGGGGTGGTGGGTAACTCACCAGGACAGCTGCCTTCTAACAGAACAATGAGACAGCCTGTTTTGGTCCTGTTTTACAGCTGGGCCATTTCCGGTATAGGCAGGTTCAGTATAAAATGAAAGTATAACTGTAGTGTTGTTTAAAATGATGTTATTTTCCCTCCTGGAGAAGGGTGTGTACTTCTTATTACCAAATCCTAAGAAAGACACAAAAAAGCTAGAAATATAGACACCTGAACACCCTGATTTCAGCATTATCCTTTTCTGCTTAATTATCAAGTGGCTTTGATATTGAAAAGCTTTAAATGAGACAGAATTTTGTTGGACAGACTCAAGGCACTTCGTACTGATCCCTCACAATAGCACTTGTTTGTCTTAACAATAGCAACAGTTCAGAAAGGCCTAAAAGTTTTAGATCTGCATATGTAAATACACAGAGTGTATCCACTTTAAAAATCGCATCTTATCTGAGATACTTCTGAGGCCATCATTGGTGGACACACATCCCATACACTGGTGCTTCCTTTTCCTTCCAGCTAAGCAGTAGCTCCATGTTCATGACTTTATTTTCATCTGAATGCACAGGATAACACTTTTTTGGGCTGGGCATGGTGGCTTATGCCTGTAGTCCCAGTACTTTGGGAGGCTGAGGCAGGTGGATCACCTGAGGTCAAGAGTTCGAGACCAGTCTGGCCAACAGGATGAAACCCCGTCTCTACTAAAAATACAAAAAAAAAAAAAAAGAGAGAGAGAGAAAATTAGCCGGGTGTGGTGGCAGACACCTGTAATCCCAGCTACCTGGGAGGCTGAGGCAGGAGAATCGCTTGAACCTGGGAGGCAGAGGTTGCACTGAGCCGAGATTGTGCCATTGTGCTCGAGTCTGGGCAACAAGAGTGAAACTCCATCTCAAAAATAAATAAATAAATAAAGCAAGGTTTTTTTGGGTTTAAAGTTGATGTTTCAGGGCAAAAGAGAGTGGGAGGTAGAAGGGAGATGTCAGTCTATGAAATTAAAAAGGTAACAAATCAACAACAACAATAATAAATCTGAAAACTCTGGTTGGCCTGTGTAGCCTCAAGAGTCTTACTTATAGCTGATAAATCCCACCATTTTATGAAAAGTTAAGTAATTATATAAGGTATCATTAAAATGGGAGGTACAAATAATAAAGAATTTAGAGGTAGGAGTGCATTCTGAGAGCTGTTGTCAGAGACATTCAGTTAGGCTGGGGGTGGGAGTACCTGCATATGTATAAGGCAGGAATAAAAGCCAGCTGGAGACTGCAAAGGAACAGAGCAAATTGGGTTAAACTATTCAAGAGAATTTGAAGATGAAGTTTCTTCTATTTTTTTTTTTTTTTCTGAGACGGAGTCTCGCTCTGTCACCCAGGCTGGAGTGCAGTGCTGCGATCTTGGCTCACTGCAACCTCTGACTCCCGGGTTCACATCATTCTCCTGCCTCAGCCTCCTGAGTAGCTGGGACTACAGGTGCCCACCACCATGCCCAGCTAATTTTTTTTTTGTATTTTTAGTAGAGATGGGGTTTCACTGTGTTAGCCAGGATGGTCTTAATCTCCTGACCTCATGATCCGCCCGCCTCAGCCTCCCAAAGTGCTGGGATTACAGGCGTGAGCCACCGCGCCCGGCTGAAGTTTCTTCTATTAATTCTGGTCCTTCAAGCCACTGCCTTCGGAGCTATTCCTGTGGCTAATAGTACAAGTCCAGAACAAAATGATGTGTTTGCACAAAGGTACATGGGCATCTTTTATGGTCTCCTGAAGGAAAGAATTCCAATGATCACAAAGAGAGCCAACAGAGAATTCAAGGCACACAAAATCCAGGAAATATAGCAGTTTTTGGGGCCAAATGTGACCGGGCAATTGGATGCATCTACTCTGGCAATGATGCATGCACCTTGATGAGCAGTACCTAATGTTCATCAGGTTAACACAGTGATGGGGAAACCAGTATGGATGAAATGTCATATCACCTACACAATCAAGAATTATACTACTGGCATGGTGTAGAAAGATTTTGACTATGCCATCCAGAAGGCTTTCAAGTATGGAGTGATATGGTACCTGCCACCCCCGAAATTCAAACAGATTGACCCAGGTGAGGCTGACATTTTTATATATATGTATATTTTTTGTTTGTTTGTTTGTTTTGTTTTGTTTTGTTTTGGTGAGATGGAGTCTCACTCTGTCACCCGGGCTGGAGTGCAGTGGCGTGATCTCAGCTCACTGCAATCTCCACCTCCCGGGTTCAAGTGATTCTCCTGCCTCAGCCTCCTGAGTAGCTGGGATCACAGGCACCCACTACCACGCCTGGCTAATTTTTTGTATTTTTAGTAGACACAAGGTTTCACCATGTTGGCCAGCCTGGTCTCGAACTCCTGACCTCAGGCGATCTGCCTGCCTCGGCCTCCCAAAGTGCTGGGATTACAGGCGTGAGCCACTGCACCTCGCCACATTAAGATATATTTTGCATAAGGAGATCATGAAGACAGGAATCCTTTTGATGGCAGAGGTGGAACCTATTGCCTATGCTTATGGTCTGGGAGCTGGTGTTGATGGATACTTGCATTATGAGGAGGCTAAAATCTGAATTCAACACTCCAAAGGCATAAACTTGCTTCTTGATGCTGCTGATAGGGCCATTCCTTGGGTCTTAGCCACTCCAAAGATCCAAAAGCTATTTTTCTCTCTCTAGAGTTATGTTGATCCAACCAGATTTTGCCTCTCTACTGATGACATCTATGATATTCAGTTTCTCCGTGGAAGCCCATAAAAGCACCAACCCCTGTCACATCCTTATACTCTAAAACCTGCTACCTGTGACTCCAAGTTAAGCTTTGATGCTGTCACTATAATTGAAGGAAAAATCTTTTTCTTTAAAGACAGGTTCTTTTGGTGTAAGCTTCCTGAACTATCAAAGAGCAGTGTTAGTTTAATTTCTTCCTTATGGCTGATCTTGTCATCTGGCATTCAAGCTGCTTATAAAATTGGATCCAGGAGTCAAATTCTTCTTTTTAAAGATGAAAGTACTGGTTAATCAGTTGTTTAAAACCAGACTATCACAAGAGGATACATTCTCCGAGCTTCCTTGTCTCTGTGAAAAGATTTGATGGTGCCGTTTTTAATTCACTTAACTACAAGACCTACTTCTTTGTGGATAAAGAGTATTGGAGGTGAGATGAGAAAAGGCAGTTCATGAACCCTGATTATCCTGTACTATTTACCAAGAAATTTTCAGGAATTAGACCCCAAATTGATGTAGTCTTCTACTCCAAAGAATATTACCGTGTCTTCTAAGATTGTAATCAAGTTAAATATGACATACTAACCAATTGTGTCACCAAAAGGCTGCAAAGAGTTAACAAGTTCCGTTGGTGTACATGGATTCACTTCAGTTTATCAAGTATTTATGGCATATATTCTTTGCACCCAACAGCCATTGTATAGTAATAAGTGTCTTTAAATAAAGAAGTAAAATTTATATGGAGACAATAGATTAGTGATTTAGAAAGATGTAAACTAATGTTTTCATAAACCTTTTCAATTTTGAAAACCCCCAGGGTAGAGTCTCTTCATTTTCAACTTTTACTTGGCTCTCCTGTTAAGTTTAAAACTAGAAACTCTCAAAGACCAAGAGAATCCCTTCTGAAGAATGCTTAATAAATTGATTTCTAAAATCCTTGGGCTGAGAAATTATAATTACCTTCTCTGGGCCTGCCTAACACTAAGAAACAAATAGTTTTGATGACTGTTACATTTTTCAGCAAAATGTACTGTAATTTTACTCTTTTTTTTTTTTTTGAGATGGAGTTTTGCTCTTGTTGCCCAGGCTAAAGTGCAATGACGCAATCTCCGCTCACTGCAACCTCCGCCTCCTGGGTTCAAGTGATTCTCCTGCCTCAGCCTCCCAAGTCGCTGAGATTACAGGCATGCACCACCACTCCTGGCTAATTTTTGTATTTTTAGTGGAGACAAGTTTTCACCATGTTGGCCAGGCTGCTCTCAAACTCCTGACCTCAGGTGATCCACCTGCCTTGGCCTCCCAAAGTGCTGGGATTACAGGCATGAGCCACCAAGCCCAGCCTAATTTTACTCTTAATTAAAGTAGAATATACTCTAGAACTTAAAGAAAAATGATGATTATGTAAGTAAACTATTAAATAGTGATAGTATCATTTAATTGTTTCAGGGTTAACTTTCTTAATATTACATATATATGTAACATTTATATGTACATATATATTAAAACTTCGAAAGAAAAAAGACCAACTTGAGCAGTTGTCTGTTGTCTCCCCTAATCACATACGAAGGGCAAACATCCCCTGCTTGACTTTGACCTATTTTATTTATTTATTTATTTATTTATTTATTTATTTATTTATTTTTTGAGACTTAGTTTCGCTCTTGTTGCCCAGGCTGGAGTGCAATGGTGTGATCTCGGCTCACCACAAACTCCACACCCCTCCCATGGGTTCAAGCGATTCTCCTGCCTTAGTCTCCCGAGTAGCTGGGACTACAGGCATGCGCCACCATGCCCGGCTAATTTTGTATTTTTAGTAGAGTTGGGGTTTCTCCATGTTGGTCAGGCTGGTCTTGAACTTCTGACCTCAGGTGATCCACCTGCCTGGGCCTCCCAAAGTGCTGGGATTACAGGCATGAGCCACCATGCCTAGCCCAACTTTGACCTATTTTGAATTCCTGGTCTTTGTTTCTTTTTTTTTTTTTTTGAGACAGAGTCTCACTTTGTCACCTAATTGGACGCAGTGGTGGAATTATAGCTCACTATAGCCTCAAACCCCTGGGCTCGAGCAATCCTTTTACCTCAGCTTCCTGAGTACCTGATAGTACAGGCATAAGCCACCAAGCACGGCTAATTTTTAAATTTTTTGTGGAGACAGGGTCTTGCTCTGTCACTCAGGCTGGAGAACAGTGGTGTGATCATAGTTCATTGCAGCCTCGAACACTTGGGCTCAAGAATCCTCCCGCCTCAGCTTCCCAGAATGCTGGGATTACAGGCATGAGCCCCCACACCTGGCCGCTGGTCTCCAATTCTGTGTTTACCTCTGGGCCTGTTGCAGCCTCAGCCTCCCACGGACCAGATTTGGCCTTTGCTGGTGAACAGCTCCTAGTGGACCTCCAGGACCAGTCTCACCTGTGGCACAGTGGCAGGAAGCACTTGTGGGTGGCATAGGACTTAGACCACTGTGGAGGTTAGAGGAGGGCCTTTCCTGCAGGAGGTATGATCTGAGGAAGGATGCAGAATGGAAAATGTGGAGGGCGTTTAGAGGCCCTGTGTTACCACTTTGCCTGGAACAGATGGTTTGCATTGGGCAGTGGTTTTTTTTATTTTGTTTTGAGACAGAGTCTTACTCTGTCCCCCAGGCTAGAGTACAGTGGCCAGGTCCTCGTCCTCCTGGTCTCAAGTGATCCCCCCACCTCAGCCACCCCAAGTAGCTGGGACTACAGGTGCATGCCTACATGCCTGGCTAATTTTTAGTTTTTTTTGTAGAGAAAGCATTTCACTATATTGCTTAGGCTGGTCTTGAACTCCTGAGCTCAAGTGATTCTTCTGGCTCGGTCTCTCAAAGTACTGGGATTACAAGTATGAGCCACTGTGCCTGGCCTGTAGTGGGGAGCATTGAAGTAAGGCTGGAAAGAGAGCTCAGGCTCCTACAGAACGGAGAGCTTCTAATGTCGGGCCAAGGACACAAAGCCTTGGAGACCCAAAGATACTAAAGAACTGAGCCTCAACCTCTAGGGAAAGGAAGAAAGCATCAACCAAGGACATCCATGTCCCCCTCCTAGCTCCTTGATCTTTCTATACAATTTCGAAGTCTGGCTCTCCTATAGATTGCATGTTGTGTGACCCTCCCAAATTCACATGTGAAACTCTAACTGCAAGGTGACGGTATCAGGAGGTGAGGCCTTTGTGAGTGATGAGGTCATGAGGGTGAAGCCCTTGTGAATGGCATTAGTACCCTAATAAAAGAGACCCAAGGGAGCTCATTGACTCCTTCTGCCACGTGAGCACACAGCAAGAAGGCCATCTACAAACCAGGAAATGCACCCTCACCAGACACCGAGTCTGCCAGCACTTTGATCTCGAACTTCCCAGCCCAGGATGGTGAAGAATACATTTCTGTTGTTTATAAACTACCCAGTTTATGGTAGTTTGTCATAGGAGGCTGAGCAGACTAAGACAGGTTATTTGGGAAGGAAAGGAGCAACAGTCTGGTGCTTTAACTCAGTATTTTTTTTTTTTTAGATGGAGTTTTGCTCTTGTTGCCCAGGCTGGAGTGCAGTGGCGTGATCTCAGCTCACCGCAACTTCCGCCTCCCAGGTTCAAGGGATTCTCCTAACTCACCCTCCCAAGTAGCTGGGATTACAGATATGCGCCACCACGCCCAGCTAATTTTTGTACTTTTAGTAGAGATGGGGTTTCACCATGTTGGCCAGGATGGTCTTGATCTCCTGACCTCGTGATCTGTCCACCTCAGCTTCCCAAAGTACTGGGATTACAGGCGTGAGCCACCGCGCCTGGCCTAACTCAGTTTTTTTGATGCAAAGAGCAAACCTACATAAAACTTATTATAGAAGTGTATATAATCATAGACTCTTAGGGTGGAAAAGAACCTTGAAGTCCTTTGTACTCCATGCCCTCATCCATGGCTTAAGAACCTTCTGCAACACTCCACAGTGGGGCATTGAGCCACTGCTTGAATACTTCCAGTGTTGCGCAGCTCTCTACCTCTAGGAGCAAGCCAACCTTCATCCATTTTGTCTAGTTCAGCTTCCTTGGCATTACACAGAGCACCTGTAATCCCTTTCCCACAAACTGCTAGCTGCCCCTGGTTTTCTTTCTTTCTTTTTTTTTTTTTTTTTAACTTTTTTTTAGAGACGGGGTCTCCCTATGTTGCCCAGACTGGTTTCAAACTCCTGGACTCAAGGGATCCTCCTGTCTCAGCCTTCCAAAGTGCTGGGATTACATATGTGAGCCACTGCGCCCGGTCCCCACATACCTGCCCCCCCCCGCCCCTGCCCCCGGTTTTCTCTCCTCTTTTATTGGCTCTATTTTCCAGGGTCCTTACAACATTTCTCATGTGACATGATTTTGAGTCTCCTTCCATTCCCACCTCTGACCTTGTACTGGCTTTCTTTATAAAGATAATGTTTTCTGGGTGAGGACTGGAGAAAGCATTTATGTAGGGTTTTAAAAAATAACAGCTTTATGAGACATACTATGCATATCATAAAATTCAGCCATTGGAAGGTGAGTTTCAAACACTTCCATCCCTCTCAATGCTCCTTTGTGCCTCTGTGCAGTCAATTCCCATTCCCTACCCTTCCCCCAAGCTCTAGACAACCGCTGATCTGCTTTTTGTTTCTATAGTTTTTTTTCTTTTTCTTTAGGGTCGCTTTTTATATAATTGTCTTTTCCTGTCGGCTTTCTGAGAGCCCATAGAAGCAGCTTTGTATTGTAGAATATTCCTTTAAGAGGGTCTTTTTTGAGATTTTTGCCTACAGATGCAGACAGGGTTAATAAAAATTCATGAACGATCGCACCATAATGGGTTATTATATAATTTACCTTCCTAATAGCTAAAGAATCATCCAAATGGCACAACCAGAGGCTCTCCCAAAGTATCCCCCAGGGCCACTGTCCAAATACAGAGTACTGAATGGACTATTGATCCAACCCAGCATGGCACTTGCTTGCTTTTTGATGCCTTGCCCTGGGTCATGAGCAGCCCAGCCACAGGAACCTTCTGCTCTGCTCCCCTAGGAGGAGTTTCCCAGTCTCTCCAAGCTCAATCCTGCCTTTGTCTGCATCCTCCTCCCTCCAAAGACCATCTTTTCCTCCTCCTCTAACCTAAGTCCCACTCACTCTTTTAGATCTAGACTGGATCTTCCAGATGCCTTCACTGGAAAAGCTCTCTATGCTCAAATACCATGTATTTCAGTCTCATGCAGCACCATATATGACCATCAAGGACTTGAGAGTAGGGACCTTGCTATTAAACCCCCACAGCACTCCCACAAGGCCTTGGATGAATGGGCTGTCCTGACTCCTGATCCATGATTTTTCTCTCCTTTGAGCCCCTATAGGTCTTCGAACATCTCTTATTTTCTGCCTTATTTCATAGTCCTTTGAATACCTCATTATGTTGTGGGTGTCTTGTGGGCAGTGGATTACTCATCTTTAAGTCCTCCTTTGGGGCCTGACATGGTGCCTTGCACATAATAATAACAATAAAATAACAGCTACTAACATTTGCATGTCACTTTGTAGTTTCTAAAGTGCTTTCACATCCATTTGCCATTTGACCTCCCAGCAATCCTGTGATAAAAGGATGATTATTAGCCTTTTTTTTTTTTTTTTTTTTGAGACAGAGTCTCACTTTGCTGCCCAGGCTGGAGTGCAGTGGTGCGATCTGGGCTCACTGCAACCTCTGCCTCCTAGTTTCAAGTGATTCTCCTGCCTCAGCCTCCTGTAGCTGGGATTACAGGCACACGACACCATACCCAGCTAATTTTGTATTTTTAGTAGAGAGGGGGTTTCACCATGTTGGCAAGGCTGGTCTTGAACTCCTGACCTCAGGTGATCCACCTGCTGTGGCCTCCCAAAATCCTGGGATTAAAGGCTTGATCCACTGCACCTGGCCTATTATACTTTTTTTTTTTTTTTTTTACAGACAAGAAGTCTCTGCCCAGGGTCGTTGCTTTTAAGATATTCTGATGCAAAATGCCAGTACTCTGCTCCTCCATTCTACAGATCAACAAATCTTTCTACAGCCAGGTGCAGGGGGCTCTTGCCTGTAATCCTAGCACTTTGGGAGGCCAAGGCAGGCAGATCACTTGAGGTCAGGAGTTTGAGACCAACCTGGCCAACATGATGAAACCCCATCTCTACTAAACATACAAAAACATTAGCTAAACATGGTGTCGCACGCCTGTCGTCCCAGCTACTCGGGAGGCTGAGGCAGGAGAATCGCTTGAACCTGGGAGGTGGAGGCTGCAGTGAGCTGAGATTGTCCCGCTGCACTCCAGCCTGGATGACAGAGCGAAATTCCATCTCAAAAAATAAAACTGTTGAATTGATGTGGTGCTACTTGGCCACCTGAGGTACGAGATGTAAGGAGCAGGATTGAATTATTTGTTGTAGCTATTGTTGCTGCTTGTGTATTCCTTATATATTCATCCATTTATTCTTTCAACAAACAAGTACTGAGGGCCAATTTTATGTCAAGCCTACACATTGGTTAAGCACTGGTAATGCACAAAAAAATTTAGGCACTGCCCTCAAATTGCTTACCATGTTGGGACACAGATGCACAAGCAAACCAAGCATTGAAATAGAAAAATAAAGAGGCTGGGTGCGGTGGCTCATGCTTGTCATCCAGCGCTTTGCGAGGCCGAGGAGGGTGGATCACCTGAGGTCAGGAGTTGGAGACCAGCCTGGCCAACATGGTGAAACCCCATCTCTACTAAAAATACAAAAATTAGCCGGGTGTGATGGTACGTGCCTGAAATCCCAGCTACTTGGGAAGCTGAGGCAGGAGAATCACTTGAACCTGAGAGGTGGAGGTTGCAGAAAGCCGAGATTGTGCCACTGCACTCCAGCCTGGGTGACAGGGCAAAATTCCATCTCAAAAAAATAAAAATAAAAATAATAAAAGTAAATAAATAAAAGAAAAATAAATAGTGAGCTGTGTGAACTGGGAGGGGGCCTTGGAGTCAGTCGGGGAGTGTCAGCGAGAGCTTCTCAACAAAGGCATCTCCTGAAATGAGTCACAAAGGGCAGGTGGGGGAGAGAGAGACAGTGTGTCGCTTTTGAAAGACAGCCTTAGGTCAAGCATGGTGGTGCACGCCTGTCATTCCAGCACTTTGGGAAGCTGAGGCAAGAGAATCACTTGAGGCCAGGAATTCAAGACCAGCCTGAACAACATGGCAAAACCCCATCTCTACAAAAAAAATGTTTTTTTAATTGGCTGGGCGTGGTGGTGCGAACCTGTAGTCCTAGCTGAGGTAGGAAGATCACTTGAGCCTAGGAGGCCAAGGCCACAGTGAGCTGCGATTGTGCCAGTGCACACCAGCCTAAGAGACAGAGTGAGACCCTGTTTCAAAAAAAAAAAAAAGAAAGACAGCCCTGCACATTTCAGGAAGGAAGAGGGGTGGACAGTGAGGGTCAGATTGTACCAGGTCAAATAAAAATTCTCGTAGGATAGCAGGTGGTGTCGCCAGTGGCTAAAGGTATATCTGAATTTGTTTTTCACACACAAATGTATTTTCTTTAAATAATTTTAACTTCAACACTAAGCATCTATCAAGCTCTACAGACAAGAAATTGGCCTCAGTCGTCCTTGGTGTGACCCCTTCCCCAGATACTGCAAGGTTCTGGGATCTTCCATAGCCTCAAGACATTGGGACATGCCCACTCACAGATCATTTTTGCTAACATACAGAATCACATAATCTACGGGCTCCTTCAGACCCAGAAGTACAGAATTATCAGAAAAATGGTTAGAAAAATGAGCACAGGAAGCCAGGCGTGGTGGCTCACGCCTATAATTCCAGCACTTTGGGAGGCCAAGGCGGGTGGATCATGAGGTCAGGAGTTCAAGACCAGCCTGGCCAACATGGTGAAACCCTGTCTCTACTAAAAAAAAAAAAAAAAAAAAAAAAATACAAAAATTAGTCGGGCGCTGTGGCAGGTGCCTGTAATCCCAGCTACTTGGGAGGCTGAGGCAGGAGAATCGCTTGAACCCAGGAGGCGGAGGTTGCAGTGAGCTGAGATCGCACCACTGCACTCTAACTTGGGTGACAGAGCAAGACTCCATCTCAAAAAAAAAAAAAAAGAAAAAGAAAAATGAGCACAGGAGCCAAATCCCCCTGGTTTAAATAGTGAGCCTCAGTTTCTTAATCTATGAAATGGAGAGAGGCCGGTGTGGTGACTCGTGCATGTCATTCCAGCACTTTGGGATGCAAGGCAGGAGGATCGCTTGAGGCTAGGAGTTTGAGATCCAGTCTGGGTAACATAGCAAGACCTTGACTCTACAAAAAAATTTAAAAAATCAGCCAGGTGTGGTGGTGCATGCCTGTAAGCCCGGCTGACTGGGGAGAATTGCCTGAACCCAGGAGTTTGAGGTTACAATGAGCTATGATCGCACCACTGAACTCCAGTTCTCAATGACAGAGCGATACCCTGTCTCTAAAATATAATAAAATGGGAAGAATTATTGTATTTAACTCATAGAGTTTATGTGAGGAATAAATTAATTACAGCATGTAAAATTTTCAAAAGTACCTGTTAAAATATAACCGCTATATTATTTATTTCTTTTCTTTTCTTCCTTTCTTTCTCGCTGTCTCTCTCTCTCTCTCTTTTTTTTTTTTTTTGAGACAGTGTCTTGCTCTGTCACCCAGGCTGGAGTGCAGTGGTGAGATCACAGCTCACTGCAGCCTCAACCTCCTGGGCTCAGGTGAGCCTCCCACTTCAGCCTCCTGGGTAGCTAGGACTACAGGTGTGCACAGGTGCGTGCCACCACACCCAGCTAATTTTCATTTTTTCTTTTTGTACATATGGGGTTTTACCATGTTGCCCAGACTGGTTTCAAACTCTTGAGCTCAAGTGATCCTCCTGCCTTGGCCTCCCAAAGTGCTAGGATTACAGATGTGAGCCACCACACCTGGCCAGCTCTTCATTAAAAATTAATTATAGCACGGGAACCTTGGGCATGGCTAGGAACACCACTCAAGTTTTGTATTGCCCAGGAGCAGAGAAAGGGTCCCCACTGCTCAAGGGACCCTCATGTATTTATCTTCTATCAAGTCTCTTGGAGCCTCTCTTCTTGCCTTGACACTGCTCCCTCACTTCTACTTCTCAACACACCTGGCAAGATGAAGGCACCTGAATTTGAATTCCAATTCTGTCATTAATGAGCTGCCTGGCCTTGAACAATTCACGTAAGCTCTTAGACTCTTTTTCCTTATCTGTTAGGTAGATAAAAGTCCTGTCTCACAGAGTGCTGTGAGGATTATAAGCAACACGTAATGAAAGATGCTTTGCATGTATCTGACACAACCGAAAACACTCAATAAATGAAAGAAGAGAAGACTTATTAGAAAGCTGTTGTTGGCTGGGTGTGGTGGCTCACACCTGTAATCCCAGAACTTTGGGAGGCTGAGGCTGGCGGATCACGAGGTCAACAGATCGAGACCATCCTGGCTAACATGGTGAAACCCTGTCTCCACTAAAAATACAAAAAATTAGCCGGGTGTGGTGGCACGTGCCTGTAGTCCCAGCTACTCCGGAGGCTGAGGCAGTAGAATTGCTTGGATCCAGGAGGCGGAGGTTATAGTGAGCCAAGATCACGCCACTGCACTCCAGCTTGGTAACAGAGCAAGACTCCATCTTAAAAAAAAAAAAAAAAAAAAAAAAAGCTGTTGTCTTCCTGCGTGGTTTCATTAAGAGACAGAACTAGCAAGAGAGGCTGCTATTGACATAGCAATTAGCCACTACCTTCCCTCTCAGCTTCATCTAAGCAATATAGCTCCCCCATCTCAGAAGCAGAATGTCCACTTACTGCCTAGAAATGTTCATGGTAGGGTGAAGCAGCAGGAAAGAAAAGAGGAGGAGAGGTGAGAGGGATGAATAAAACACAGAAACACAGGCTGCAGCACTGAATCGACATCAAAGCATATGGGTGAAGCTGGTTGCTGTGGTATGGGCCTATAACCTCAGCTACTCAGGAGGCTGAGGCTGGAGGTATCCCTTGAGCCCAGGAGTTCAAGGCCAGCCTGGGCAACATAGTGAGATCATGTTTCTTAAAAAAAAAAAAAAAATAGCCAGCAGGCAAGAAAATGTAAAATTGAGATTCAGGACAAAATGAGTAAGAGACTTTTTTTGAAAAGAAATCATCTATAAAATTTGAAAGCAAAATACTTCTTTTTCTTTCAGTTTTAGAACATTTTCATGAAGGTTCTCTTTAGGCAAAGAAATTGATCCTGTAGTTGCAGTTAGTTCTATTGTTAGGGATCTCAGCTTCCCTTGTGTGTGTGTATATATATAATATAATATAATATAATATAATATAATATAATATATAATAATATATAATATTATATATTATATATATTACATATTATATAATATATTATATATTATACTATATATAATATATATTATATATAATATATATTATATAATATATATTATATATAATATAAATTATATTATATATATTATATTTAATATATTATACATAATATATTATATATTATATTTAATATATTATACATAATATATTATATATTATATATAATATATTATACATAATATATTATATATTATATAATATGTAATATATTATACATAATATATTATATAATATATAATATGTAATATATTATATATTATATAATATGTAATATATTATATATTATATAATATGTATTATATATATTATATAATATGTAATATATTACATATTATATAATATGTAATATATTACATAATATATAATATATTATATATAATATATTTTATATAATATATTATATATAATATATTTTATATATTATATATATATAATTTTTTTTAAGAGACAGAGTCTTGCTCTGTTGCCCAGGCTGCAGTGGTGCAATCATAGATCACTGCAGCCTCGAAATTCTGGGCTCAAGCAATCTTCCTGCTTCAACCTCTCAAGTAGCTGTGACTACAGGCAGGCACCACCATGTGCAGTTAATTTTTTGTAGAGACAGGGTCTTGCTATGTTTCCCAGATTGGTCTCACATTGCTGGCCTCAAGCCATCTCCCCACCTCAGCTTCATGACTTGTGCATGTTCTTCCAGATGGTTTACTGTCTCCAACTTGCAAAACCTTGGCCATAGATACTGTCTGGTTTAAATCTCTCAACAAGCCATGATGTTTTGCCCTCATGACGATGAGCCTGCTTCATCTCAGAGGTGAGGAAACAGACTCAGAAAGGCCCTAGCAGTTGGGGAGTGGGGCGTCGCCACCTGCTCTGATTTGAAGGAAAGGTCATCTCAGTGTATAGAACTTCCTATAGAAATATCTGTCTGCTTAGTACACCAAACAGAGCACGCTTGCCAGATCCTATAAAGGACCCTTTAATCAGAACAAGGAAGGCCAGAGGAAAGCAAGCATGTTCCCACCTATTGTTGCTGAGTTTATGGCTCTTTACACACATCTGCTACTGAGAGGTGCAGTGGAGAAACACGTAGTCGGGAAGTACCAGGAAAGCACAGGCCAGCACTTAACCACAAATATGTGGGCTTGAAAACCCTGTCTTGCTCAGAAAGATCTAAAGGTGGATGCACGTTGGCTGGTTCCCAATTTGCTTTCTTGGCTTTCATTGATTGCTGTTAATTTTTTTTTGAGATGGAATCTTGCTCTGTCACCCAGGCTGGAGTGCAGTGGCGCAATCTCGGCTCACTGCAACCTCTGCCTCCCGGGTACAAGTGATTCTCATACCTCAGCCTCCCAAGTAGCTGGGCTTACAGGAGCATGCCACCAGGCTGAGCTTTTTTTTTTTTTTTTAAGTAGAGACAAGGTTTTACTATGTTGCCCAGGCTGGCCTCAAACACCTGTCCTCAAATGGTCTGCCCACCTCAGCCTCTGAAAGTGCTGGAATTAGAGGCATGAGCAGAGCTGTACCCAGCTGCTGTTAAGATATTTTCAAAAGAATCATGTATAGCTTAAACAATTTAGGTGATTCCCCTGATAAAATCTTGTAGACACTCTACAGAGCAATCTACCTGCAGGAAGCAGGTGGAATAGAAGCTTTGTAGGTGTACACAGCGTCTTTTTTCATTTCCGTGGCCCACACTAAATGTAATAATCAATGCCTTCTATTACACTTAAATGTTTGTCTCATTTCATCTTCTAGACAAGCTATGAGGTGATTATATATATATATTATATATATTATATTATATTAATATATATTTAATATATATTATATATATAATATATATAATATAATATATATAATATATATTAATATAATATATATAATATATATTAATATAATATATATAATATATATTAATATATATAATATAATATATATTAATATATTATATTATATATATTAATATATATTATATATATATTTAGACAGGGTCTTGCTCTGTTGCCCAGGCTGGAATGCAGTGGCGCAATCTTGGCTCACTGCAATCTCCACCTCCTGGGTTCAAGCGATTCTCCTGCCTCAGCCTCCTGATTAGCTGGAATTACAGGCACACACCACTATGCCCAGTTAATTTTTGTACTTTTAGTAGAGACGGGGTTTCACCATGTTGGCCAGGCTGGTCTTGAACTCCAGACCTCAGATGATCCACCTACCTCGGCCTCCCAAAGTGCTGGGATTATAGGTGTGACCCACTGCGCCCCACCAAGGTAAAATTTTTTAAATCTCCATTTACAGATAAAGAAACTGAATCCCAGAGAGGCTCAGTGACTTCTCCAATGTCACATAGCAAGGATGTGGCAGTGATGGGATTTTTTTTTTTGTATTTTTTTTTTTTAGTAGAGATTGGGTTTCACCATGTTAGCCAGGATGGTGTTGATCTCCTGACCTCATGATCTGCCTGCCTCGGCCTCCCAAAGTGCTAGGATTACAGGGGTGAACCACCACGCCTGGCCAGTGATGGGATTTAAAGCTAGGTGCCTGGGTGTTCTTTCTATACCATCCATTACCTCCCAAAGAATCTGAATCTTGATTAGAAACTGTTATGCTCTTATAGTTCCTTGATTTTCTGTCTTATATTCTACCACAGGACATATTTGCCACAGGACATAATGATTACTTTTTACATATAAAAATAAAATTTTTTTTTTGAGTTGGAGTCTTACTCTGTCACCGGCTGGAGTGAAGTGGCCCAACCGCCTCCCGGGTTCACACCATTCTCCTGCCTCAGCCTCCTGAATAGCTGGGACTACAGGCACCCACCACCATGCCCGGCTAATTTTTATATTTTTAGTAGAGACAGAGTTTCACCATAATGGCCAGGCTGGTCTTTGTGACCTTGTGATCCGCCCACCTCGGCCTCCCAAAGTGCTGGAATTATAGGTGTGAGCCACTGTGCCTGGCCTAAAATTAACTTTTATTGGGAAGGTAGTATTTGGAAATTACCATGTAGATTTTTTATATAATAATTTTTAAAAAATTCTTTTTATTATTACTATTTTTTGAGATAGGGTCTTGGTCTGTTGACCAGGCTGTAGTGCAGTGGTGAGACCTTGGCTCACTGCAGCCTTGAACTCCTGGGCTCAGGTGATCCTCCCACCTCAGCCTCCCTCCCAGGTACCTGGGACTACAGGTGTGCACCACCACACCTGGCTAATTTTTGTATTTTTTGTAGAGTCAGGGATTTCACCATGTTGCCCAGGCTGGTCTCTAACTCCTAGGCTCAAGCAATCCTTCCATTTCAGCCCCCAAAGTGCTGGGATTACAAGTGTGTGCCACCATGCCCAGCCTATATGGTAATTTATAACATTGTTATTATTCTTATCTTTTATTTGCTGTCCAGGTTCTTGTAAACAATTCCAAATGAAAAAGAAGTACATCAAGCCAAATAGAAGCCTACCAGTTCTACTCTTTCCCCTAAAGTAAACATTTTTCATGGTTTTGAGGGGACGCTCTTGTATCCTTTTCTTACCACTCAAAATATGTATGTGACAGCTACAGATGTGTATCCATTTTACAGATGCAGAAACCGACACTCAGAGAGGTTGAGCCAGTGACCAAGTTCAAACAGTAGGCATATAGTGGAGCTGGGATCAGAATTTGGGTCTAAAAATGCCCGGCCCACGTTCCAACCTCTCTAGCCAACATTTGGTCCTAACACAAGGGCCAAACAAAACATTGCGCTTGGGTCAGTTGTTGGCTTAACTCTCACATAGATTCCTTGCTCTCAGATGAACTGCTAGGATACCCTGTGGACTTCAGTTTGTTAATTTGAGAAAAGAATACAAACATGCCTTCACCCGACTTCAACCACGATGGGGCTGAGAGAACTCATTAAATAACGTCTGCATAGCATGCTGAGCTCCCTGGCAAAAGGGTGCAGAAGGTATTGGGTGGGAACACACTGTCCCCTCACAAAGATGTGCCACACAGCCTCCTCTGGAGAGGTGCAGCTGTGGTTCTAGGGTTTCCTTCCAGCTGGCTCCTTCTGTGACCTTGAAAAGTTCCCAGTCTCTCTGCACCTTTGTTTCACATGCTGCTGCAAAACATGGCTAATAATATAATACTTTCTACTGTGTTCATCAAAGGGAGCAAATTAACAGACACAGCCTTCCAGTATATTCTTGTGTATCTGTGACTCTATCTCTAGCACCTGCGGGCAAGTCAGATGAGATGACTAAGGAACTGTCTGTCTTATGTCAGACAAAGAGACTAGAAAAGGCGATGGTGGAAAAAAGAGAATACATTTTAGCTGAAATGTGTTTCTCTAAGGACGTGGAGCGTTCCTAAGATCCTCACTTTTGCAAAGTTTTTTGATCTAGTACCTTGGCTAACACTTTGGGCGTGGTATCTCACGCTTGTAATCCCAGAACTTTGGGAGGCTGAGGTGGGAGGATCACCTGAGGTCAGGAGTTTGAGACCAGCCTGGCCATTATGGTGAAACCCTGTCTCTACTAAAAATACAAAAATTAGCCGGGCGTAGTGGTGGGTGCCTGTAATTCCAGCTACTTGTGAGGCTGAGGCAGGAGAATCACTTGAACCTGGGAGTGGAAGGTTGTAGTGAGCTGAGATCATACCAATGCACTCCAGCCTGCGCTACAGAGTAAGACACTGTCTCAAAAAAAAAAAAAAAAAAAACAAAACACTTTGTTTCTCCCTGAAATGTCCTCCCCCATTGCCTCTTGTGAAATTGTACCTGTCACTCAAAGTGCTGCTGAAATGCCACATTTCCATGAAATTTGCCTCTATTCTTTTAACTAAATATCATTTCTTTTTCCTCTGAACACTTTGTTTATATCTCTCTTTACCTCATATTCTGCCAGGTATTATAGCATTTCTAAAAATGAAAGTCTTGGCTGGGCACGGTGGCTCATGCCTATAATCCCAGCACTTTGGGAGGCCAAGGTAGGTGGATTACTGGAGGCCAGGAGTTTGAGACCAGCCTGGCCAACATGGTGAAACCCTGTCTCTACTAAAAATACAAAAAATTACCTGGGTGTGGTGGCACACACTTGTAGTCCCAGCTACTCAGGAGGCCGAGGCAGGAGAATTGCTTGAACCTGGGAGGCGGATTTTGCAGTGAGCCAAGATTGGGCCACTGTACTCCAGCCTGGGAGACAGAGTGAGACTCTGTCTCAAAAAAATAAAAATAAATAAATAAATAAAATGAAAGTCTTATTCTCCTAGTGGATTGTAACTATGTTAAAGGCAAGAATGATATTTTATTTCTTTGACTCCTAAAGCTGCTAACACAGCTTCTTATACTTAGTGGTTGTCTAATATTTGATTGCTGAATGAACAAATGAAATATTTTTAGAGAAAACATTTAAAGTAGCAATGATATGAGTTTGGTGAAGGCTGACACCAGAGAGTGCCAAAGAATTTTATCTGATTAGTTGTGATCTGTTAAATTCCTATCCACTGATGGACCCATCAAGCTATTGATGTATATCAATCCTTTGAACAAATGCTCCTTGAGCAACTCCTAGGGCAAGATGCTGTGCAAGCTTCTTTAGCAAGGAACTTTGCTGATCCTGAGTCCACGGAGTCTTTCCTGCTCAGGTTTCTGGGCAGAGTGAAGGAGGTTGTATTAGTGTGGAGTGGGCTCTGATCTTGGTTCTGATCCTTGCTAACTATGTGATATAGTTTGGCTGTGTCCCCACCCAAATCTCATTTTGAATTGTAGCTCCTCTAGTTCCCATGTGTCATGGGAGGGACCCAGTGGGAGGTAATTGAATCATGGGGGCAGGTCTTTCCTGTGCTGTTCTCATGGTAGTGAATAAGTGTCATGAGATCTAATGGGTTTGTAAAGGGGAGTTCCCCTGCAACATGCTCTCTTGCCTGCCGCCATGTAAGATGTGACTTTGCTCCTCCTTTGCCTTCTGCCATGATTGTGAGGCCTCCCCAGCCATATGGAAATTTGAGTCCATTAAACCTCTTTCCTTTATAAATTACCCAGTCTCAGGTATGTCTTTATTAGCAGCGTGAGAGCAAACTAATACCCTATGTAACTTTGAGCAAGTCAGTTTCAGTTTGTGTGTAAAGTCAAATGGATAAAGAGAGGATAATACAATAGCTCCTGTTCTGTCTGACTCCCAGAAGTACTGGAGGCAAAGTGCAATGAAAATGTGAAAACATTTTGTCTTCTCTAAGAGCACTATGAAATAAATACATGTAAGCATACATGCGTACATTAATATATAAATACGTATGTGTGTGTGTATATATATATTTTTTGTTTGTTTGTTTGAGAGGAGGTCTCGCTCTGTTGCCCAGGCTAAAGTGCAGTGCTACGATCTCGGCTCACTGCAAACTCTGCCTCCTGGGCTCAAGTGATTCTCCCACCTCAGCCTCCTGAATAGCTGGGATTACAGCTGTCTGCCAGCACACCTGGCTAATTTTTGTATTCTTAGTAGAGACAGGGCTTCATCATGTTGGCCAGGCTGGTCTTGAATTCCTGACCTGAGGTGATCTGCCCACCTCGGCCTCCCATAGTGCTGGGATTTCAGGTGTAAGCCACCATGCCCAGCCTATACATATATATTTTTAAATTAAGGAATGCAATGTGTCGTATACATCCAACAAATTATAAACAGTACCTTTAGGAGCCTTAGATCAAAAAGCTCACTATGTCCATTTTATGATATACACTTTGGAAACAATGCATGACAATTATTTGTCATAGGTTTTTACAACAAAAGCTTAAAAAAAACTGAGAAAAAATCCCCAATTTTAAATTTTACTACAAAATACCTGGAACGAATAGGGTTTTATGAGATTATACAGACACAGTGTTGCATACTTGTAATCAAAGTGCATATTCTAATTCGTGTCCTAGTTTTATTTTTAGGATTATTTTGAATAAACCTTTCCATATTTATGATTTTAATGGCAATATAACCTATCTATCTAATACCAGAATTTATTGAACTATTTCCTAATTGCTGACCATTTGAGTAGTTTTCCTCCATTATTACACATGGCCTATTTTTAATCGCATGCAGATTCCTACCCACTACCTAGCACATTCTTGGCTTGGCTCCCTCTACTGTTAGTTGATATATACCCAAGGAATGCCAACTCATTTTATTATTAGCCCGTACAAAACAGAATCAGGAAGGAACTACAAATGTTTTATTTTTAAAATCAGACTGTGCATTTCCAAGATGGTTTGGGAACGATTTTCTTTGGAAAGAATGAAGTTTTGGATTCTTGCATCACACTTTCAATATAGTAGGGAAGAGGGTGACGGCCTACTATATGCTGGGGGCTTTATCCATGTATCAAATATTTATGGAGAGCCACCAACATATCAGGAACTGTTCTTGGCTGAGGAAAATGGTGTAATTCTTATCCTTAGGGAGCTTACAGTTTGGTGAAGAATAATGTATTAGTCCGTTTTTGCACTGCTATGAAGAAATAACTGAGACTGGGTAATTTATGAAGGAGGGTTTAATTGGCTCACAGTTCTGGAGGCTGTACAGGTAACATGGCTGGGGAGGCCTCAGAAAACTTTCAATCATGGCGGAACTTGAAGGGGAAGCAGGCATGTCTCACATGGCTGGAGTAGGAGGAAGAGAGAGCGGGAGGTGCCACACACTTTATACAACCAGATCTCGTGAGAACAGCAAGGGGGAAATCCGCCACCATGATCCAATCACCTCCCACCAGGCCCCACCTGCAAAACTGGGGATTACAAGTGGACATGAGATTTGGGTGTGGACACAAATCCAAACACTGTCAGGTAAAGACCAGTGCATAGGTGATGACCCTGTCATATGAGAAGAGCCACTGGAGCACAAAAACTCAGGGCACATGAGGGAGCACAGAGGCCTCGCCAGTCTTGTGGAGGACCTGGGAAGACATGCCAAGGAAACTGAGTCTGAGGACACGTGGGCGTGAGCCTGGAGATTACGGTAGGGAGGAGTAGTCCTGGCACAGGGAACCATGTTTATAGAAGCCCGAGTGAGACGGATTATTTGTTTTTTAGGGCTGGTGAAGTTGGGCCTACTTGAAGTATCCAGTTTGAGTAGGAGCATCAGTAGAGATGAAGGTGGTACAACAAGCTGCAACTAGATTAGGAAGGACCATGTTGAGTGGCTTGTGTTGGTGGAGTGCGGTGGGGGGAGCACAGCCTCTTTAGAAAACATTTGGCAGCTTCTTAAAAAGTTAAACATCAACTTACCCTATGACCTGGCAATTCTACTTCTCTCTAGCTAAGAGAAATAAAACGAAAGAGAAATAAAAACAAAGAGTTGTAAGTGAATGTTCATAGCAGTGTTATTCATAATATCCAAACAGTGAAAACAACCCAAATGCCCATTGGTGGATGATGACTGGAGTAGCACAATGTGGTCTATGCAAACAATGGAATATTATTCAGCCATAAAAAGGAATGAAACTTTCCTTTTTCATCTATGATACAGCATAGATGAAACTTGAAAACATTGTGCCATGTGAAAGTAGTCACAAAAGATCACATACTGTATGGACTCTCTAGATATGCAATGTCCAGAATAGGCAAATCCACAGAGACAGAACAGTAGGTAATTGACTGCCAGGGGATAAGGGTGTTGGGGAGAAGTAGAGAGTGACTAATAAAGGGAATGGGGTTTTCTTTTAGGTAATGACAGTAAACATTGATTATACCTAAATTGATTGTGGTGATAGTTGTAGAAGTCTGTGAATATACTAAAAAACCACTGAACTGTGGGCTTTAAATGGGTACTCTGATGAGGTGGTTCACGCCTGTAATCCCAGCACTTTGCGAGGCCAAGGCGGGAGGATTGCATGAGCCTAGGAATTCAAGACCAGCCTGCACAACATAATGAGATCCTATCTCTAAAAAAAACAAAAAATTAGGCTGGGCACAGTGGCTCATGCCTGTAATCCCAGCACTTTGTGAGGCCAAGGCGGGAGGATTGCATAAGCCTAGGAATTCAAGACCAGCCTGGACAACATAATGAGATCCTATCTCTAAAAAAGCAAAAAATTAGGCCAGGCACGGTGGCTCACGTGTGTAAATCCCAGCGCTTTGGGAGGCCGAGGTAGGTGGATCACCTGAGGTCAGGAGTTCGAGACAAGCTTGGTCAACATGACAAAACCCCGTCTCTACCAAAAATACAAAAATTAGCCAGGTGTGGTGACGGGTGCCTGTAATCCCAGCTACTTGGGAGGCTGAGGCAGGAGGATCACTTGAACCCGGGAGGCAGAGGTTGCAGTGAGCCAAGGTCGCACCACTGCACTCCAGCCTGGGTGACAGAGTGAGACTCCGTCTCAAAAAAAAAAAAAAAAAAATTAGTCATGGTGGTGTGTGCCTGCATTCTCAGCTACCCAGGAGACTGAGATGGGAGAAATGCTTGAGCCCAGGAGTTTGAGGCTGCAGTGAGCTGTGATTGTGCCACTGTACTCCAGCCTAGGTGACACAACAAGACCCTGTCTCAAAAAAGAAAAAAAAGAAAGTAAATTGCATGATATATGAATTACATCTTACTGAAGCTATTAAACAAATATATCTACGCTGGGTGAGGTGGCTCACACCTGTAATCCTAGTACTTTGGGAAGCCAAAGAGGGAGGGTTGCTTGAGCCCAGGAGTTCGAGACCAGCCTGGGCAACATGGTGAAACCCTGTCTCTACGAAAAATGTATAAATTAGCTGAGCATGGTGGCACACACCTGTAGTCCCAGCAATTCCCACCAAGGTGGGAGGATTGTTTTAGTTCAAGAGTTTGAGATGGAGCTCAACTGTTACTGCTCAGTCTGGGCAACATAGTAAGATCCAGCCTCTACAAAAAAAATTAAGTGGACATGGTGGTGCGTGCCTGTGGTTCCAGCTACCCTGGAGGCTGAGATGGGAGAATTGCTTGAGTCCAGGAGTTTGAGGCTGCAATGAGTCATGATTGTGCCACTGCACTCCAGCCTGGGGGACAGAGCTAGACCCTGTCTCAACAACAACAACAATGACAAATATATCTGGAAGCAATTAGGGAGGTCATTAGATTTTAAGCAGGAAATGGCATCATTAGATATGCTCTTTAGAATACATTCTCCGAAATCAACGTGGAGAATGATTTGGAGAGGGCAAGGTTCAAAAGAGGGAGGCCAGTGGGGAGGGGCAGGTGCAGGAGTGGGGTCACATATGACACCCCAAATTAAGACTGTAGTGGGCTGGGCGCGGTGGCTGCCGCCTGTAATCCCAGCATTTTGGGAGGCCGAGACGGGCGAATCACAAGGTCAGGAGATTGAGATCATCCTGACTAACACGGTGAAACCCCGTCTCTACTAAAAATACAAAAAATTAGCCAGGTGTGGTGGCAGGCGCCTGTAGTTCCAGCTAGTCGGAAGGCTAAGGCAGGAGAATGGTGTGAACCCGGGAGGCAGAGCTTGCAGTGAGCCGAGATCACGCCACTGCACTCTAGGCTGGGTGACAGAGCGAGACTCCTTCTCAAAAAAAAAAAAAAAAAAAAAAAAAAAAAAAAAAAAAAGACTGTAGTGATACAGAGAGAGCAGTGGGTGCGTCGGAGGCATTAAGAGTAAAATTGATGTGACTTGGTGACTGTTGGATGTGGGAGATAGGAATTTAGGGATCTCACCCAGTTACTACTGGAGGGGCAATTCTCTCTGATGGAAACCCAGAAGAAGTTAGTTTAGGGGAAAATGCTGAGCTCAGTTCTGGACATGATGAGTTAAAGGCATATGTAGGGTATCCAAGTGGCATCAGTTACATGATTCTGGAGCCCAGAGGAGAGATCCAGAAGTGGTGGTATACAGTATGTCATTTTATTCTCCTACTACCTTGAGGTAGCTATGGCTCCACCAGACACAGATATAGCTGTAGACACTGTAGCAGGTAATATGTATAAGAGTTGGCTTTCAATCTGCTTCCATCAAAGCCAAATATTTCCATGAAACATAGCAATGCTTCACGGGTACAAAGTCAGCTTCTGCTATTGGCTTATTGTAGCCAGTACTGGTATAGCTACAGGAACCCTTTTTTTGTTGTTGTTGTTGAAATGGAGTCTTGCCCTATTGCTTAGGTTGGAATGTGGTGGTGTGATCATGGCACTGCAACCTCCGCCTCCCAGGTTCCAGCGATTCTCATGCCTCAGCCTTCTGAGTAGCTGGGTTACAGATGCAAGCCACCATGCCGGGCTAATTTTTATATTTTTAGTAGACGGGGTTTCGCCATTTTGGCCAGACTGGTCTTGAACTCCTGGCCTCAAGTGATTCACTTGAGTGCTGGGATTACAGGCATGAGCCATCACGCCTGGCCAACAATATATATATATTTTTAAAGCTTTAGTTAGGACCTGGGTTCTATCAATGGTTGAATAAGGGAGCTATAAAAAGAAACATTTAAATCTAAGAATGGCTTAAAAATGTAGACTGGGCCGGGCACAGTGGCTCATGCCTGTAATCCTAGCACTTTGGGAGGCCAAGGCAGGTGGATCACGAAGTCAAGAGATCAAGACCATCCTGGCCAACATGGTGAAACCCCGTCTCTACTAAAAATACAAAAATTAGCCAGGCATGGTGGTATGCATCCGTAGTCCCAGCTACTCGGGAGGCTGAGGCAGAAGAATCGCTTGAACCCAGGAAGGGGAGGTTGCAGTGAGCTGAGATTGCACCACTGCACTCCAGCCTGGCAACAGAGTGAGACTCCATCTCAAAAAAAAAAAAAAAAATGTAGACTGTACAAATGGCCAACAGGTATATGAGAAAATGCTCAGCATCAAACCACAATGAGACATCATCTTATTCCAGTTAGAATGAATGGCTGTCATTAAAAAGACAAAAAATAATATGCTCTCAAGGATGCAGAGGAAAGGGAATGCTTATATGCTATTGGCAGGAATGCAAATTAATACAGCTATTATGGAAAACAGTATGGAGATTTCTCAAAAAACTAAAAATAGAACTACCATATGATTCAGCAATCCCACTACTGGGCATTTATACAAAAGAAAAGAAATCTGTACCTCAAAGGGATACCTGCACTTGCGTGTTCATTACAGCTCTATTCACAATAGCCAAGATATGGAATCAACCTAAGTGCCCGTCAGTGGACAAACAGGTGAAGAAAATGTGGTACATATACACAGTGGAATACAATTCAGCCACAAAAAAGAATGAAATCATGTCATTTGCAGCAACATGGATGGTACTGGAGGTCATTAACTTAAGTGAAAGAAGCCAGGCACAGAAAGACAAACTTCACATCTTCTCACTCATATGTGAGACTTAAAAGTTGATTTCATTGAGGTAGAGAACAGAATGATAGAAAGCAGATGCTGGAAATGGTGTGTGTGTGTGTGTGTGTGTGTCTGTGTCTGGTACTGGGGAGATGAAGAGAAGTTGTTTTATGGGTACAAACGTACAGTTAAATAGGAGGAATGTATTTTAATGTTCAATAGCAGAGTGGGGTGACTATAGTTAACAACAATAAATTGTGGATTTCAAAACAGCTAGCAGAGATTTCAAATGTTCCCAAAGCATAGAAATGATAAATACCAGCTGGGCATGGTGGCTCACTCCTGTAATCCCAGCACTTTGGGAGGCTGAGGTGGGTGGATCACCTGAGGTCAGGAGTTTGAGACCAGCCTGGCCAACACGGTGAAACCGTCTCTAGTAAAAATACAAAAATTAGCCGGGTGTGGTGGCACATGCCTGTAATCCTAGCTACTCAGGAGGCCAAGGCACGAGAATTACTTGAACCCAGGAGGTGGAGGTTGCAGTGAGCCGAGATCACTCCACTGCACTTCAGCCTGGGTGACAGAGCAAGACTCCATCTCAAAAAAAAAAAAAAAAAAAAAAAGATAAATACCCGAGGTAATGGATATCCCAAATACCTGACTTGATCATGACATTCTATGCATGTAGCAAAATATTGAATGCACCTTATACATATATACATATTCAAATATTCGTATACAAATATTATGAATCAATTAAAAAAATTTTTTTTGATACAGGGTCTCACTCTATCACCCAGGCTGGAGGGCAGTGGTGCTGTCTCAGCTCACTGCAACCTCGACCTCCTGGGTTCAAGCGATCTTCCTACCTCAGCACCCCCAAGTAGCTGGGACTACAGGTATACGCCACCATGCCTGGCTAATTTTTGTATTTTTTTAGAGACAGGATTTTATCATGTTTCCCAGGCTGGTCTTGAACTTCTGAGCTCAAGTGATTCATCTGCCTCCGCCTTCCAAAGTGCTAGGATTACAGACATGAACCACTGCACCTTGCCAAAAAATTTTTTTTTATGTAGACTGGATACTGCATGTATCCCTCTTGATAGTGCATACCACAGAGCAGCCTGGTCCAGTGGACAGACAGACAAGCAGACAGGCAGACAGATGGGCAGTACTCACCACTTACTTGTGAGGTGCCCTTTGCAAGTTCTCCAATTCTCAGATTTCTCATCTGAAAAATGAGAATAACTATATTTACTATGTGATAGGATTACAGATAAACACTTTGTAAAGTGCCTGGTCTGGCACAGGGTAGACCTCAATAAATAGCCATTTTTATTAACATGATTATCTCAAGTTTTTTGAAAGTGCTATAAAGTCAGTATTCTGATTCTCTCTCTTTTTTTTTTGTACTCTCTTCCAGTTCCTAGATCTGCTCTAGCTAGATAAATCAATCCTGCCTCTTGGTAAATGTTATTTTAGACTAAGTATATTTAAAGTTTGTTCCCTTAATGAATTGCATGATTTAAAAAACCGACAGCTCTTTGATCTAATTTGCTGGCAGATTATGCAAGAAATAAATATTGTATTGAAGTCCAAAAGCTAGTCAGTTCTTGCCTCTCTCCCTCTTCCTCCTCCTCTCTTTCTCCCTCTGTGTGTATAGCAGGAAGGGAGAGTGGTGGTAGGGCACACATGTTTGCTGTACTTGTTTCTGACTCAGACCCAGATGGCATGGATCTTAAAGACCTCCGTGGACTTGTTGCTCTCGGCCCATTTTTTTTTCCCTACTTGCGGCTACAGTCTTGTCTTCTTTTCTATCAAATCTTGACTTTCTCTATCCTTTGCTTCTCCAGGGTGTCTGCCCCTATCTGAGATTTCCAGTAGACTTTGTGGGTCAGATGGCTGAGAGAGCAAAACTGTATTCAGCTGGACAACATTTAGGGCAGAAGGGAGTGGCCAGGGCTTCCTCCAGCCTGGGGCAGGGAGAGGGGGCAGGTGGGGAAGGACCTGCCCCATGAGGGCTGCTGTGGAACCTGGCTGGTTTGGCAGCCTTCCTTTTCTCCCTTCTCCAAAAGATGCTACTGACAGCCAACCAGAAAGCTTTCTGTATTCATTTTGTATCCTGAGAGCAAACACACAGCTTTGGCAAGAAAACGTTAGACCTATAATAATAATACAGTTCTCTGACATTAGAGTGCAAAAACATTTTCCATGACAGCTTAAAATTAATCACCACCTCTTGCTGCTATAGATTCCTCTCCTTTATGCAGTGCCAGCTCTGGGCCAACTGTTAAGGCAGCACATGGCTCCCAGGGAAAGAGCAGTGAAGTCTGCAGAGACAATCAGCAAAGCTGATTTTCTCCATACCCCCTTTTGTCCTGGTGAGGATGTGCTTTCTGCTAACAGAGTGTAAGACGGGGCTGGTAACTGATCATGGAGAACAAGCCACAATCGACACTTACGGATGGGATTATAAATGCATCTGGTGCTCTTAGTGACACTGATAAGCCACAAGGGACTCCCGCTGAGCAACTGAGTGTTCCCTAAATTGTTCCTTATGGTCTTTGAACTTACATCAAGGGAAACGAAAGGAGCCTGCACATCTATCACTTTCTTTATCCTGCTGATAGAAATTAATAATCAAACACACAAAGGCTACCCAGACAAGCCCAAAGTTGAATTATTCAACAAATATTTTTTGCTAATTTCATTTTTTACATTTATATTTTATTTTTCAAAATTAGTTCCTGTTCATGGTAAAAAGTTCAAATTGTACACAGGATATACAGTGAGTGTGGAAATCCTTCCTCCCACTCCTGATTTCTTAGTCTCAGTCTATAGAAGTAACCACTAGAAACAGTTCCCCATATATCCTTCAAGAAATTGTTCTTGCACATAGAGGCACGTGTGTGTGTGTGTGTGTGTGTGTATTTGCACTATGCAGCTGGCTTTTTTCATTTAGCAATATGTTATTAGGCACCTCTTCATACCAGTATCTGGAGATCTACTGCACATTTTTTTTTTTTAACATTACATAGTATTCCTTGGTATGTCTTTATTTGTTTTTTAAACTGGACCTTAATTATGGACATTTAAAGTGTTTTTTGTTGGCCAGGTGCAGTGGCTCACACCTGTAATCCCAGCACTTTGGGAGGCCAAGGCGGGTGGATCACGAGGTCAGGAGATCGAGACCATCCTGGCTAACACGGTGAAACCCCATCTCTACTAAAAATACAAAAAATTAGCCGGGTGTGGTGGCGGGAGCCTGTAGTAGCAGCTACTCAGGAGGCTGAGGCAGGAGAATGGCGTGAACCTGGGAGGCGGAGCTTGCAGTGAGCCAAGATCGCGCCACTGCACTCCAGCCTGAGCGGCAGAGGGAGACTCAGTCTCAAAAAAAAAAAAAAGTATTTTTTGTTGATTTGTTGGTTGGTTTGGTTTGCTATTATGTACAATGTCACAATGCACATTTTTTGGGACCCTTATCTCTTTGCATACTTGTACAAGTTTATCTGTAAGATAAATTCCTAGAAGTGGAATATTTAGGGCAAAGGGTAGGTGCAATGTAATTCGTGAAAGATATTGTGAAATTGCTCTTCAAGTAGACAATAAGCATATCCTGAATGCTTCCTCCATGCCAAGACCTGTTCTGGTGTTAGGGATAAAGGGTCATAGTCCTTTTCCTTGTAAAGCTCACAGAAGAGACACACAGCCCATAAATTATTATAATATGATGTGGTAAGCACTATAATACAAATTTTATAGCACTTATCACCTTTCTATATTAGCTACTAGTTTTATCCCCTCGATTTTTTTTTTTAGTTTTAAAATTTCAAATCGTTATTATTTTTCGGATTGTGATTTTTTTTCAGGTTAAAAAACAAAAACGAAAAACAGAGGTGGGCTTTGCAGGGAGAGCATAACAAATCCAATCCATAACTGAGAGCCTTCTATGTCCAGACACTCTTGTATATATCATGTCACTTATTCTGTATCAGGTTACCATTATTTTGATTTATTGATGAGGAAATTGAGGTTAGGAGTGGGTAAGAAATTTGCTCTAAGTTGTACCATTAATAAGTGATATAGTTCAGTTGAAAAGCTGTGTCTCTTTGGTGGCAGGCTCAGGCCCTTTCCCCCAAGCAACCCAGCCATGCCACATGAGTTCAGCCTTCACAGTAACCATCATGAGCTGATAAGCAGAGGCACAACGGCTGAGAGCAGCAGAACTGCACCCAGGATGCAGAAAAACAGTGCCAGTAAGACCTGCTGCTTGCCCCGGGAAAACTTGCTGATTAATAGGTGAGAGAGATCGCCATCTAAATATGTGTGAGGCTCACACCTGTAATCCCAGCACTTTGGGAGGCTGAGGTGGGCAGATCACTTGAGGTCAGGGATTTGAGGCCAGCCTGGCTAGCATGGTGAAACCTTGTCTCTACCAAAAATACAAAAATTAGCCGGGTGTGATGGCACGCACCTGTAGTCCCAGCTACTTGGGAGGTTGAGGTGGGAGAATCACTTGAATCTGGGAGGCGGAGATTGCAGTGAGCTGAGATAGTGCCACTGCACACTGGCCTGGGCAGCAGAGCCAGACTCCATCACAAAATAAAAATAATAAAAAATAAAATAAAAATAATAAAAAATAATAAAAAATACATACATACATACATACATACATGTGAACTATAAAATAATCCCCTAAACTTACATCATTCCAGACCAACGTTGTGGAGAGGATGGTTCCCTGGATTAAGAAGATTGGCTGGTTTAAGGCCGGGTGACTTGGCTCACGCTTATAATCCTATCACACTGGGAGGCTGAGGCAGGAGGATTGCTTGAGGCTAGGAATTCAAGACCAAGCTGGTCAACATGCAAGACCCCCTCTCTAAAAAGAAAAAAAAAAAAGAAGAAGAATGTCTGGTTTAAAGGATGAGAGGATTGCATGGGAGGGGTGTGTGTGGTGCCAGGCTGTCAGAGGTCTGGGCAGGCTACTCAGTCGTGCTGTGCATGGGGATTACGAGGAAGATGAGGCAGCGGAGTTAAGTTGGAGGCACATGAAGAAGATGTTCAGGGCCGCATCCAGGAGTCTGGAGGTTTTTTTAAGTATGAACATTTTTTTTTGAATAGGAAATGTACATGAACTAATCTGTGTTGCAGAAAGATGGAAGTCAATAGTATGCAGGAGAAATTGGACTGAGGGTAACTTGGAGGCAGTGAAATCAATGAGGGGCCCACTGTGAGAGTCTCCATGCAAAGAACTGGTGGCTGGACTGGAAAGACGGCCGTGGAAATGGAATAGACAGGATGGGCTTGAGAGGGGTCATGGAGTTAGACTTGACATGACCTGATCTAGCAGGTTCGCTGCAGGAAGGAGGGAGAAAACTAGAGATTGCTAGCCCAGGGTAAGTGGTAATGCCATTCATTCATGGAGACGAGGTTGGGGGGTGTCACAGGAAGAAGAGTGTTTGCTGAGTGATGATTAGGAGTTCAGCATCGGTTAGGGGAGTTTGAATTCAAGTGGGACATGCATGTGGCATATCTAAAAAACAGTCGGGAAATACAGGCTGGAGTCTGGGAGAGAGGCCAGAGCTCCATGTGTAGATTCAGGAGTCATGATTAGAGGTTATCACTGAAGCAAGGGAGATCATTTGGAAGGAAGAGTGTATGGAGAGGCAGACCGTGGGGAAGGCCTGATTTTAAGGGATGCTTAGGGAAGGAATCTAAGGAAGAAAATGGAGTCACAGAGAGACAGATGAGAATGCTGGTAGTATGGAAACCAAGGGAAAGAGTTTTAATAAGTAGTGGTCAATAGTTTGGGCATGGCAGAAAATTAGAGAGGACGAGGGTTGAAAAAGCCACTTGAGTGCCACCTCTAGAAACCTTTGAGGTAATGGGTTTCCGGGAGTGGAACGGTGCAGTATGCTAAAAGCCAGGTTGCAAGTGGGTGAAAGAGAGAATGAGAGGTGACTGAAGTCAGCGCCTTCGCTTTCCTAAGGGAGGATGGGAAGTGAAGTAGGCTTGAGGTTATCTAAAGCATTCCCAGCTTTTCAGTTGGCTCAGAAATTGGGCCATGACAGAGCTTATGGTTGGGGACATCTGAGGATCCCTCTACAAGGAACTGAGTCCAAAGTTCAGGGTCCAAAGGGCATAACGTGCGCCACTGCTGTTCAAACAGTAGTTCCTAGCACTTCTTCTTTTTTTTTTTTCTCCCAAGACAGAGTCTTGCTCTGTCACCCAGGCTGGAGTGCATTGGTGCGATCTCAGCTCACTGCAGCCTCTCCCTCCTGGGTTCAAGTGATTCTCCTGCCTCAGCCTCCCAAGTACCTGAGATACAGGCATGCACCACCATGCCTGGCTAAGTTTTGTATTCTTAGTAGAGACAGGGTTTCACCATGTAGGCTAGGCTGGTCTCCAACTCTTGACCTTGTGATCCACCCGCCTGGGCCTCCTAAAGTGCTGGGATTACAGGTGTGAGCCACCGTACCCAGCAGTTCCTAGCACTTCTAAGAGGGAGCAGCTAGCATAATCTAACAAGAGCATAATCTTGGTAGATTATGGCTCCCATAATCTACCAAGCCAAGTACAAGTGAGGGGAGTGTCTGGGGCAGCTGAACTTCAGAGTCCAGCAGTGGCAGTGATGACCCTTGCTAAGAGCCTTTCTGTAAGAAAGTGGACCCACCACCATGCTAGGGTTAATGGTCAGAATTCCAGGCTCTGGGAGAAGCAACTCTCAAGAGTAAGAGGCTGGGTGTGGTGGCTCACTCCTGTAAACCCAGCACTCTGGGAGGCTGAGAAGGGTGGATCACTTGAGGTTAGGAGTTTGAGACCAGCCTGGCTCACATGGTGAAACCCCATCACTACTAAAAATACAAAATTAGCCGGCCATAGTGGCGGGTGCCTGTAATCCCAGCTACTCGGGAGGCTGAGCCGGGAGAATCGCCTGAACCTGGGAGGCGGAGGTTGCAGTGAGCTGAGATCACACCACTGCACTCCAGCCTGGGCAACTCCGTTTCAAAAAAAAAAAAAAAAATACAGAGTATGACAGCAGGGACAAAGCAGGTGTCCATCCCAGAAACTGGGGACAATGACTTGGAAGAGGAGATCAGTGGAGAAATCAACTTTGGGTCTGGTTGGCAACAAAAGAGTCTCTAAGTGCATGAGGACACAAAAGAGCACCCAGACCTGGGAGCTGAGGTGGGAAAGGTGATGTGGTGAGGGAAGAAGGGTAGGAGCTGATGAAATACCACCACAGAGGGAGATTTACAGTCAAGCTAAAGAAGACTATGCCTCAGGGCCATGTGTTCATGTGGTCACACACTTTAGTAAAATACTAAAAATTAAGATATTATTAGAGCCAGGTGCAGTGGCTCATGCCTGTAATTCCAGCACTTTGGGAGACAGAGGCAGGAGGATTGCTTAAGGCCAGGGTTCAAGAGCAGCCTGGGCAACATAGCAAGACCCTGTCTCTATGAAAAATAACAATAAAATTAGCCAGGCACGGTGGTACATGCCTGTAGTCCCAGTTACTTGGCAGGCTGAGGTGGGAGGATCATTTGAGCCCAGGAGTTCAAGGCTGCGGTGAGCCATATTGCACCACTGCACTCCAGCCTGGGCAACAGAGCCAGACCCTGTCTCACTTAAAAAAAAAAAAAGACATTTTAGCTGTCATTGGTCAGCATTGCTGTGCATCCCATTTTTCTTGCCCTCTGTCACTTTTCTCCTTGTGTTGGTGGTAGTAGAATGGCCATGAGCATTTGGAGAATACAGCTCAGTGGAAGTTGATTTGTGAGTGCATTTAATCTGGGTTTAGTGAGATATGTTTCTGTGTTTATAGTCCCTTCCATATCTGCTCACATTGTTCCTAGCCATTCAGGTGCAGTGACATAAAGGTGTGGGGCTAGAGGATATCGTGATATGAATGTCCCACAACATCCAGCCCCAGGAGCATGGGGAAAGTGGAGGAGAAACAGGTCTTGAAATGTAGCATCAATGTGCAGTCTGTGGAAAATGAGCAATATTTGCTAAGCACTTTAAAAATGTAACAACAGCTCTAGAGCTTAGAATTATTAATAATAAGAAGCAAATTTCAAGGAACCATGTTAGAGAAAAAAGAGTTTTATCCTTCTATTCTCTCCATATATTTTAACAAAATCATTGTCCTACAAAGAAGTGATCAAAGACAATGCAGTAAAAAAGTAGGAAAAATGTATTATACAGGGATGTTAGCCAGCAAATTGCTAAAAATATTGTATTACCTTTTCTGGTTTTTTTTTTTTTTTTTTTTTGAGATGAAGTCTTGCTCTGTCTCTTAGGCTGGCATGCGGTGGAGCGATCTCGGCTCACTGTGACCTCTGCCTCCTGGGTTCAACTGATTCTCCTGCCTCAGCCTCCCGAGTAGCTGGGATTATAGGCGCGTGCCATCACGCCCAGTTAATTTTTGTATTTTTAGTAGAGACAGGGTTTTACCACATTGGCGAACTCCTGACCTCAATTGATCTGCCCACCTCGGCCTTCCAAAGTGCTGGGATTACAGGTGTGAGCCACTGTGCCCAGCCCCTTTTCTGGATTTTTTGATTCCTTTTCTGGATTAATCAGATTTAACAAATTGCTATTTGTTGTGATTTATTTTCTCATTTTGAGTAAACATTCATTTTCATACCCAATTTAAATTTTAGTTTTCTATGTTTTTTTAATCTGAAAGTGGACCCCCCCCAAACTGCATAAGCTTCAGACCCCATCAGACCGGGATCTGCCCCTCTTAGATCATTGCATATTTATTGTATAATTGAAGATAACTGGGACTGGGAATATCACTGGTTGTTCACAACCTTTTTGTGTCTGAACAGGGAAGAAAATCTAGATATTTAAATACGTGGGCTCTATTTTACTGTAACCTCTTTTCTTGATACCACAGAGAGGCTGGTCTATGATTCATCCTGCATAGTAATGAAGCATGACTGACAGTGAATTCTAAATACTATAATAGGCAAGGTTTTTGGAGCAAAGTTTCACTTTGTACAAGTACACAATAAATACTTGCTGATTTGAGGAACAATTGTATGTAAATGTATCCCTGCTGAAATCAATAAGAACATTTTTAATCTAAAGGAAGCTCATAGCCAG